>NC_000016.10:48501894-48804924 GCF_000001405.40 Homo sapiens
GGTTGAGAGTCTGGAGGATTTCAGCCTGGATTTCACATACCATCCTCATCATGAGGAAGGAAGCAGCCCCCATCTGGGAGCTGGGAGGTAGGTTGGTTGCCGACAGCACCAGGTTCACCTACTGAGGGTTCACATCTGTGAAAAAGTTTCTCCTTCCCACTAACTGGATCCCATTTGGCCTGGTTTGAGTCATGTGTTCATCCCTGGGCCAATCACTATTGCCTAATGGAAGGATTCTGATAGGCCACATCCAAGTCGCATGATCATGTTGAGTCATGTGCTCATCTCTGGACCAATCACTGTGACCTACTGGGCAGATTCTAATAAGCCAGGCCCAAGTCACATGATCACCTTCCTGATTGTGGGGGTGAGAAGTCAGGATTGTAGTTACCAAAAGAAGGGGAGTGAATCTCAGAGAAACAAGAACAGTGGCTTTCTCTACATATATCTACTCAAAAACAGCAACAGCAAACAAAAAATTAGAAGGAAGGATGAAGACAAACACTAGGAACATAAAAGTCTCTCCTATTCTCTAGATAGATGCATCCTTAGGATCAACCTCTACATATCATTTTGTAACTGTTATTTTTACTTATTTGTTGAGGACTTAGTATATACAGTGCTCTAATAAAGCTCAGCACAGAGGAGGCATAGAAAGACTGGGAAAAAAGGTAAGTGCAGCTGGGAGCAGTGGCTCACACCTATAATCCCAGCACTTTGGGAGGGTGAGGCAGGAGGATCGCTTGAGGCCATGAGTTCAAGGCCAGCCTGGGCAACATAAGATGTCTGTCTGTAAAAAACTAAAAGAAAATAAATTAGCCAGTGTGGTGGCACATGACTATAGTTCCAGCTACTCAGGAAGCTGAGGCGGGAGGATCGCTTGAGCCCAGGAGTTCCATGCTGCAGTGAGCTATGATCGTGACAGAGTGAGACTGTGAGTCTTAAAAAAAAAGAAAAAGTAAATACTTTTTTAAGCTTTTAATATAAATGAGCACACTGTCCCTAGAGGGATTTCATCTTTGTACACCCACTCACTGTGCCTAGACTTCCCTACCCACCAGCCTCAGCATAGCACAGCCATGGAACCATCCTCCCACAGAAGACAATGCTCAGAGGTCTCTTTCCAGGAAGGCCTTTTCAGGAGGCCTCAACCTCCAATTCGAGTCTCTGAGGCTTAAAAACTGAAAAGTCTGGAAAATGTCCATCTTACACCCTTTCACCTCCTTATTGGAGGCCCTATGCCCCCCCGATGTCCTTCTCTCCTGTTGCCCTTCAGGTGTTGGCCAGAGATAGCTTAAGGCAAGAACTGTTCAGGACCATTTATGGTTTTTAATATCAGAGCTTGGGAAGACTTACTGGTGGAATTTCAGGCATCGGGACCCGCAGTGGAGGAAATCCTATAATTTGATGTCAGACTGACTTGGGTTTCATCCCCAGCCTTATCACTTACTAAATGTGTGGCATTGGGCAAAATACTGAACGGATCGTCCAGTTATTTTGAGGATAAACTTGAAAGTACTACTATATTTTAAATACCCATCAAGGGATCTGGTTTAAAGTCAGCACCTGGTAAATGTAATGTTGCACTGTGACTTGCTTTGCTGTTTGACCTTTGCGAAATCCCCGTGTCTCTGGACAATGAGGGTTGAATGAGATGTTCTGCCTGTTCTGAGAGCCTGGGATTTCCAAGTGCAGGACGTGTTGGAAGTCCAGTGCAGAGAATGGCATGGTGTGTGTGCATGCATGCACCTGTATGCCTGTGTTTTGTGTGGAAGCATGAGTGTATGTGTGTCCCTTCGCACTAGGAGAAGATGTTACCCTTGGAACCCCAAATTCTGTGGAGGCAGAGAACCTTCCAGCTTCCTGCCACCATGTCAGGGTGGCAATCACTTGAATGTTTTGGAAAACCTGAGAGGCTGGCAGGGGGATGGATCTGCAGGAGACCAAAGTTGGGTTGCCAGGGAGTCACCTCCACTCCTTCCCCAGGATGCCTGAAAGAAATAAGGGGGCTAGGTGGGTTTGGCCTGGCTCCTCCACAACTCTGTATCTGTGCACAGCGGGCTCAGCTCTTCCTGCAGTGTGCTGGCTGGTGGCCAGGCCTCGTTTTCAATGTTCACAGCTAAATTGGATCCAGATGTTGCTGAGGAATCTGATATTAAACAAATGCATTCCCTGGGCAGCCGGTTCTTTCTACTGCGGAAGGGCAGGAAGCCTCGGACCCCCAAGCCTGGGCAGAGGTGTTGGAGGGGCCCAGGCTGGTGGGATCTCAGGTTGTTTCTTCTGTGGGGCAGTAGGGTGTTCCCTAGCTGGCCTAACTTATGGCCAGGTTATCATGTTCATGAAATATCTGGTCAAATGATGGGCTGGGCCTCTTTCAAAGGTACATGAATCCCACCTCTCCATCTTGGGAGCTGCCTCCAGACCAGCTTGATTTCTTGTGTGCTTTCCTTAACTTGAGCTTGTCCTTTCATCAAGCTTGGAAGGGTCCGGCTGCATGGAGCTGGTGGTGGAACATGTCAAGGGAGTCCAGGAGCTGAGCATGGATGCTCCATCGCCCTCCTATGTTTTGAAATCTACTGAATGTCACAGGTAATCTTCCCTCTCTTCCTTCCAGGGGTACTGTGCGCCAGGCATTCAAAGACAGCACTCAGGAGATCTTCATAGCAGCCCTCAAAGTAGGTTTTAGCCTCTGCTCAGAGTAACTGTTAAATAACTCCATGGAGGTTACAACAGCAGAACAGCAGAGGCTGGTGGAGCCACAATTGAAGTTCAGGTCTGGCTGACACTGGGACAGTGTTTTTTCCCTCTTCCATGGTGTATTCATCAAGCACTGGGCCTGACACCAGGGGACACAGATAAACCAGAACCCCTGCCCTGCGGAAGCTGGTGGGGCAGGGAGGAGTCAATAACAACTGAGACAGACCGGAGCAAAAGGTGGGCTGAAGCAGGGCTGGAAATGACTTCAGTGGAGCACAGGAGAGGGAGAGACGCAGCTGCAAAGAGGTGCTGACTGAGTCAGGGAGAGGCTGTTACGGAGGGGGACAACCCTCAGGGATGGTGGCTCTCTAAAGGAGCAGGACATGGCGACTAAATGCAATGTGGGATCCCAGGTTGGCTCTTGGATTAAAAATAATAATAATAATAAAAAGCTACAGGCTGGGCACAGTGGCTCACACCTGTAATCCCAGCACTTTGGGAGGCCGAGATGGGCAGATCGTTTGAGCTCAGGAGTTCGAGACCAGACTGGGCAACATGGTGAAACCCTGTCTCTACCCATGATACAAAAACTTAGCCGGGTGTGGTGGTGTGCATCTGTGGTCCCAGCTACTTGGGAGGCTGAGGGGGAGGATCGCCCGAGCTCAGTGGGTGGAGGTTGCAGTGAGCTGAGATCGCACCACAGTACTCCAGTCTGGGCGACAAGAGTGAGACTGTCTCAAAAAAAGAAAAAAAAAGTTACAAAAGGCATTACCAAGGTGACTGATACAATTTAAATATGTAGTCTATTTTAGATAAAATAGAGTGTCAATATAAAATATCCTTAACTATATTTAGATTGTGGTTAAAATTACAAAATTAAAATACAAAAATACTAAAAATACAAAAAGTAGCTAAGTATGGTGGTGCATGTCTGTAGTCCCAGCTACTTGGGAGGCTGAGGCATGAGAATGCTTGAACCCGGGAGGCGGGGATTGCAGTGAGCCGGGGATTGCAGTGAGCCGAGATCGTGCCACTGCAGTCCAGCCTGGGGAACAGAGTGAGACCCTGTCTCAAAACAACAATAACAAAAAAAGCCTATACATTGAGATACAGCAAAGTGGTAACATGTCAACAACTGATGAACTTAGATGAAAGATATAAGGGTATTCATTGTACTATTCTTGCAACTTTTTGTAGGCTTGAAGCTTGTAGGAGAAGAGAAGCGGGAGAGGGCAGAAGGGCAGGGTCCTGGCAGCTCAGAGAGGGTGGGTGAGTCCAGGAAGGCAGCACAGGCTGTGGAAGGCAGGGGCAGAGAGATTGGGTGCAGAACAGTGGGAAGGCCGCTGCCAGCCTTGGAGTGCAGGAGAGCACAGGGAAGGTAGGAGGAGGAGGGAGCCATTGTTTAAAGATTTCTCTAGTGATGCAATGGAGAATATCACACAGGCTACGGGGCACAGCAGCGGTGAGCAAATGCCTCCTTAGGATGGGAGCATCCTGAGCCCTTTTCTAGGAAGAACAGAAAGGGTGGACAGAGAGAGAGTTGATAAAGAATTAAGGACACTGGGTGCGGTGGCTCACGCCTGTAATCCCAGCACTTTGGAAGGCCAGGGTGGGTGGATCGAGAGGTCAGGAGTTTGAGACCAGCCTGGCCAACATGGTGAAACCCTGTCTCTACTAAAAATACAAAAATTAGCCAACCGTGGTGGCACATGCCTGTAATGCCAGCTACTTGGGAGGCTGAAGCAGGAGAATCGCTTGAACCCGGGAGGTGGAGGTTGCAGTGAGCTGAGACTGCACCACTGCACTCCAGCCTGGGTGACAGAACAAGAATCCATCTCAAAAAAAAAAAAAAATTAAGAGAGCCCGTGTCTTATTTCCCTATTTTCTTAGCTCTTGACCCAGTGTGGCATCATCCACCTGGCTTTCTCCTTCATGGCAATGTGAGCCCTCTGAAAGCAGTAATTCTTCGCTCCTCTTCTTTATCTTCATGGCTTTGCCCCCAGCACATGGTGGGGCTCTGTAAATATTTTTGAATGAATGAGTGACAAGGTGTGTCTTAGTTTTCTGGGGTGGCTGTGGCAGAGGACCATGGACTGGGTGGCTTCAACAACAGGAATGTGTTGTCTCACAGCTTAGGAGCCTGAGAGGCTGGAGTCAAAGTGTAGGCGCTGGCTCCTTCTGAGGTCTGTGAGGGAAGGTTCTGTTCCAGGCCGTCTCTTTGGCTGATAGACAGCCCCCTTCTTCCTGTGCCTTTTTGTTTTTGAGACAGGGTCTCGTTCTGTCGCCAGGCTGGAGTGTGGTGGCATGATCATAGCTCACTGCAGCCTGGACCTCCTGGACTCAAGTGATCCTCCCACCTCAGCCTCCCAAGTAGCTGGGACTACAGGTGTGCCCCACCATGCCCGGCTCATTTTTAATTTTTTTTTTTTTTAATTTTTTGAGATGGATTCTCACTCTGTCATCCAGGCTAGAGTGCAGTGGTGCAATCTCAGCTCACTGCAACCCCTGCCTCCTGGGTTCAAGTGATTCTTCTGCCTCAGCCTCCCAAGTAGCTGGGACTACAGGCGCATACCACCACACCTGGTTAATTTTTTTGTATTTCTAGTAGAGATGGGGTTTTACCATGTTGGCCAGGCTGGTCTCGAACTCCTGACCTCAGGTTATCTACCCACCTCGGCCTCCCAAAGTGCTGGGACTACAGGCATGAGCCACTGAGCCCGGCCTTAAAATTTTTCCTGAGACAGGGGTTGTGCTGTGTTGCCCAGGCTGGTCTTAAACTCCTGGCCTCAAGCAATTCTCCCATCTCAGCCTCCCAAAGTGCTGAGATTACAGGCGTGAGCCACTGTGCCTGTCTGTTCTCCCTGTGTCTTTACAATATCTTCCTCTGTGAACGTCTGTCTCTGTGTCCACATTTCTCGGTTTTCTAAGGCACCAATCATATTGGATTAGCATGCTACTGCACTGGTCTTAATTAATTACATCTGCAATGATGCTATTTCCAAATAAGGTCACATTTTTTAAGTACTCAGGGTTAGGACTTCAACACATGAATTTTTGAGGGACACAATTTAACTGATAATGGGGGAAGTGGGGGTAGGGGTGCATCTGGGGTTGGAGGGGAGGGATGAAGGCTGGAATTGGTCTAGGCTGGATGCCAGGGGTAGGCTGACCATGACACTAAGGCTGGAGACTGGGATGGGTTGAGGGCACCCAGCTGAGTGTTAAAAAAGAAGTAAAAAGGGTCCTCCTGCTCTGTGTGGCCCCGGGGAGCTGGACTAAAGCCAAAGGGAGGATGTTTTGGTTCCATTGAAGGGAAGCCTGTATGTTAAGAGGAACGCCAGTCTAAGTACAGAAAGAAGGAAGGTGCTCTGAGGGTGGGAGGTGAGTGTCCCTGCAGGCTTGGGGCTGAGGACACAGGTGGGCCTGAAGCTCCCAGGTTGTCCAGTGACCAGTGAGGTGCGATCTGGTGTCTGTCCTCCTGCTGAGGCCTGGCTGGGAACAGTGACCACACATGGGCAGTCAGGAGGAAGCTGAGGAACTCAAGGGCTGGAGAAGGTTCTGCCCCCACACTCCTCCCTGTGGACTGCCACCTGGCCAGGCCAGTTACAAAGTGTCCCTCAGGGCCCCCAAAGTTGCTCCCCAAGTTGGCTCTGGGCAGATCAGGATACCCGGACTTTGTGGATCAGGTTCTATCAGTAATGTTGGGCCACTCTGTTCCTGGTTTTCCAAAGTGGTTCTGTTCCCAGTTTTCCAAAGTGGTTGTAACAATTTACCCTTCTGCCATCAGTGGATTGCAGAGAGTTCCAGGGAGTTCCAGTTGCTCCACATCCTCTTCAACGTTTGATATTTTCTGTCTCATTTATTTTAGCCTTTTTGTTGGGGATAGCTGTGGTTTTAAACAGCTAAACCACACTTTTGTTGGTGCTACTGAGAGGTGACAGCATGCTGGCAGTCCTCACAGCCCTCGCTCGCTCTTGGCGCCTCCTCTGCCTGCGCTCTCACTTTGGCGGCACTTGAGGATCCCTTCAGCCCGCCTCTGCACTGTGGGAGCCCCTTTCTGGGTTGGCCAAGGCCGGAGCTGGCTCCCTCAGCTTGCAGGGAGGTGTGGGGGGAGAGGCACAAGCAAGCGGGAACCCGGGCTACGCACGGCACTTGCGGGCCAGCTGGAGTTCCGGGTGGGCGTGGGCTTGGCAGGCCCCGCACTTGGAGCAGCCCTGGGCAATGAGGGGCTTAGCACCTGGGCCAGTGGCTGCGGAGGGTGTACTGGGTCCCCCAGCAGTGCCGGCCCACCGGTGCTGCACTTGATTTCTCGCCGGGCCTTAGCTGCCTCTCCTCGGGGCAGGGCTCGGGACCTGCAGCCCGCCATGCCTGAGCCTCCCCACCTCCATGGGCTCCTGTGCGGCTGGAGCCTCCCCGACGAGCGCCGCCCCCTGCTCCACAGTGCCCAGTCCCATTGACCACCCAAGGGCTGAGGAGTGCGGGCGCACGGCGCGGGACTGGCAGGCAGCTCCACCTGCGGCCCCGGTGCGGGATCCACTGGGTGAAGCCAGATGGGCTCCTGACTCTGGTGGGGACTTGGAGAACCTTTATGTCTAGCTAAGGGATTGTGAACACACCAATCAGCACCCTGTGTCTAGCTCAGGGTTTGTGAATGCACCAATTGACACTCTGTTATCTAGCTACTCTGGTGGGGACTTGGAGAACCTTTGTGTCTACACTCTGTATCTAGCTAATCTAGTGGGGACGTGGAGAACCTTTGTGTCTAGCTCAGGGATTGTAAACGCACCAATCAGCGCCCTGTCAAAACAGACCACTTGGCTCTCTGTAAAATGAACCAATCAGCAGGATGTGGGTGGGGCCAGATAAGAGAATAAAAGCAGGCTGCCCGAGCCAGCAGTGGCAACCTGCTCGGGTCCCTTTCCACACTGTGGAAGCTTTGTTCTTTTGCTCTTTGCAATAAATCTTGCTACTGCTCACTCTTTGGGTCCGCACTGCCTTTTTGAGCTGTAACACCACAAAGGTCTGCAGCTTCACGCCTTAAGAGCTGTAATACTGCGAAGGTCTGCAGCTTCACTTCTGAAGCCTGCGAGACCAGGAACCCACCAGAAGGAAGAAACTCCGAACACATCCGAACATCAGAAGGAACAAACTCCAGACGCGCCACCTTAAGAGCCGTAACACTTACTGCGAGGGTCCGCGGCTTCATTCTTGAAGTCAGTGAGACCAAGAACCCACCAATTCCGGACACACTACCATAGGAACATGCCATGCCCTGGCAAGGTTGAGTTCCTATACTGTCTGCCCTTACAGCACATATGACATTTACAATTGTTCACTTCTGCATGTGCTCTTCTGACCGTCTCTTACCTCCATTCCACTACACCAGAAGCTTTGGAGGGAAAGGACTGCATTTGTTTTCTTTTCTTTTTGTTCCCAGTGTAGAGCCCAGGGCCTGCCACATAAATGGCCCTCCAGTCAACTAGGATTTGGAGTAACAGTGAGTGATCTCTTAAAGTGGTGACTCTCTATATATATATATATGGGCACATGTTCTCAAGACCTCTTGAGACTGTGCCTCAGGAAAATACTTTTTTAAAAATATGCATTTATTTTGGTCTAAGTTAAATAAGTCCAGAAGTAAGAAGTCCAGTCGCTGAACTCGTGCTTATGGCGTGGTGACCTGTGATTGTTGGGAATTCAGGCTTGCTCTCTTGGGTGGCTCTGCTATTCACCACTCTTGGCTTCCACATTGTGGTCCATGATGACTGCTCAAGTCATAACTTCCAAACTCCAGCCAGCACAGGGGGAGGAGATGATGATGCTTCCATTTTTAAGAATGTTTTATGAAGTTGTGTATACACTACTTCTGCTTATATCCACAAGTCACATCACATCACCACATATGCAAGGGTGCTCCTAGATGGAAGTTAGGGCTCGATTTCCAAGAAGGGGAGAGTCACCAGCAGTGCCTGCCACAGCCCTCAATAAATATGTATTGACTGGAGGAATGATCTTAGTCTGCACAACAACCCTCCAAGATAGGTGGTATTATTCCCATTTTATAGATGAATACACTGAGGATCAGAGAGGTTAAAACAGCCTGCCAAAGATAGTAAATGGGTGGCCCTGCAGCCCTGGGGCATCTCACCCCAGGTTTGGCCAGCTGTTGGCTTCCTGTAGCAACCTGGACATTGTCCTCCCCACTCCAGGCCCATTTTTCTGCCTGTCCTATAAGCCTGTGGGTCTTTCCAGCTCTGACCTTCTGAATTTCCATGACAAGCCTGTAGTCCCTCTGCTCAGAAGAGCCAGAACCTTCTAGTTCCCCGCACGGGGCTACATCAGGGGATGGTGGAAGTCTAAGACTAGCTCTGTGAGGGCCTGGCCTCCATTCCTCCCACTGAAGACTCTGACCACCCAGGGAGGACCTACTCCTGACCCCAGCTGCCCAGTAGGCCCCTGTCCTCGCTGTCCCTCAGGCCCCACGCGCCTCCACCATCCTGCTTTGTTTCCTGCATCCCACCAACCCAGTTCCCGCCTCCCAGCCAATGCAGGGCCCCTGATGCTGGGCCAGAGGAGCCATCTCAGGCTGCAACTGCTGGTGGTGGGCACAGGTGGGGCTGTCCTCTGCCCACACACTGCACATGAGTCAGGAGCTGCTGGGAACGCTGTCTGGTTTCTGGGTGTCTGGTCCCAACAAGCTCTCCTCCCATCCCAGACCTGCCCGCTGTGTCCTGCCTGCCTTTGACGGGAGCTGCAGACTACAGTGAAATGCTTTCCTTCCCTGCCAACCCAATGCTTCCACCAATGAAATCCCAACCTTTGCATAATCCACAAGGAATTTGGCCTCTGGCTGCAAGATTGTGTTGCTGACTGTCTCCTGGACGCCTGTAAGGCTCACCCTCCACAGCCTTCCCATCACATGACGTAGGCTCCCTAACACATTTAATCCCTTCTGCGGGGTGGGGGACTCACCTCCTCTCCCATCTCTTCATCTGCTCACTACATATTTATTGAGCACCTACTCTACGCCACATTGTGCCAAGCATAGGAAATACAGTGCTGAAAAAGTGAGTCCCCATGGCCTAAAGAGAGAGATGGGCATTAAATACAATCTCTCCATGAACATTTGATGACAGCATGAGCCATGTGTGCTAAAGGAAGGGAACACATTTCTATGTGCTCATTTATGCCACAAAGATTTATTGAAGGCCTTCTGTGTCGCAGGCTGTGTTCCATGACAGTGTATTAGAAAATTCCAGCCTAGGCTGGAGCTGAGGCTACCTGAGTTATTATGAAGGATGAGTCAGAGCTACCTGGAAAAAGTGAGAAGGGAGCCTGGGGTGGAGGGGTGGGTACAGAAGTGCTCTTGACCGAGGGAGAGCGTGTGTGGACCTGGCTTAGTCTGTCCCTCCAAGAGGAAGGCAGTGTGGCTGAAGGATGGAGACCAGGAAGTGAGGAAGGGGATGACATTGGGTCCCTGTGTCTCCTTCTAGTCCATTTCACTGGTCAAATCTCACCTCCTCAGTATATATTGATCACTTTCTGCCTTTAGATCCCCAATGTCACCTGCATGGGCCTGTCCCTGCTTAGGGAGGGGTCTCTGGAGGGCAGGCATTCAAAGGCAGAGGAAGAGGCCAGGCGCAGTGGCTCATGCCTGTAATCCCAGCACTTTGGGAGGCTGAGATGGGCAGATCACTTGAGGTCAGAAGTTCAAAACCAGCCTGGTAAACATGGTGAAACCGTCTCTATTAAAAATACAAAAATTATCCAAGAGTGATGGTGCATGCCTGTAGTCCCAGGTACTCGGGAGGCTGAGGCATGACAATTGTTTGCACCCGGGAGGCAGAGGCTGCAGTGAGCCAAGATCAAGCCACTGCACTCCAGCCTGGGCAACAGAGCAAGACTCCATCTCAAAAAAAAAAAAAAAAAGAAGGCAGAGGAAGAGACATCCAAGTTCCAGCCTGGCAAGTAAGGAGCTTAGGCGCAGCCATGCTGTCCACACAACAAGTAATCAACAAAGGAAACAGAACAATCAACAACCCTTCTTAGAATCATCCACGAGGTGAGGTCACAGGGCACACCACTGCTCCCTTCCATTGGAGAGACAGACAGGCGAACACAGAGAACCACACCTTACTGAAGCACAAACCTGCCTATGAGCTGAAAACTCTGGAGGAATCAGTGCAGGGCTATGGAAACCGGAATTGTAATTGACACATTGCTGGAGGCTCAGTGTGGACAAGCCTGAGAGACAAAACTCCAGTGCCACCCAGTCATGAGGGGCTTCCATGCTGTTGTGAATTTTACCCCTGGGAGTTCTACCAGGTCCACATGGTAATTACAGGAGAAAAATTCCCTTATGCTTCCAGCAAGGTAAGAGAAACATTTTTGAAATTTTGAAAAATGTCAGAGCATTCTGTTCCTCTCAACAAGATCTGCCCTCAGGAAAAACTTCTACCAGCTCCTAAACTTCTGAGGTTTTATCAGAGCTTTATTAACCCAAGGAAAGGATAACACCCAACTCCAGCCCCCTTTGTAGCAATCCTGTCCGATTTATGGGGGAAACACTGAAAAGCACAGGTGTTCAGTCCAGAGACAGACTCTCAAAAGACTGAGACCTGCTGGGCATGGTGGGTCACACCTGTAATCTCAGCATTTTGGGAGGTTGAGGCGGGAGGATCATTTGAGGCCAAGAATTCAAGACTAGCCTGGGCAACAGAGTGAGACTTCATCTCTATGAAAAACTTTAAAAATTGGCCAGGCGTGGTGGCTCATGCCTGTAATCCCAGCGCTTTGGGAGGCCGAGGCGGGCGGATCACTTGAGGTCAGGAGTTAGAGATCAGCCTGGTCAACATGGCAAAACCCCATCTCTATTAAAAATACAAAAATTAGCTGGGCATGGTTGCCCACGCCTGTAATCCCAGCTACTTGGGAGGCTGAGGCAGGAGAATCACTTGAACCTGGGAGGTGGAGGTTGCAGTGAGCCAAGATCGCACCACTGCACTCCAGCCTGGGCAACAGAGTGAATCTGTGTCTTAAATTAATTAATTAATTATTTAATTAAATTAAATAATTAATTAATTTAATTTAATTAAATAATAAAAATATTAAAAAATAGCCAGATATTGTGGCGTGTGCCTGCAGTCCCAGCTACTCAAGAGGCTGAGGTGGAAGGATCACTTGAGCCCAGGAGCTCAAGGCTGTAGTGAGCTATGATTGTGCCATAGCACTCCGGCCTGGGTGACAGAGTGAGACCCTGTCTCAAGAAAAAAAAAGACTGAGACCTAATCACAGGACTATAGAAAGCTTCCCTTCCCCCAACTACCATGCCACTAAAGGCCTATCTCCTATAGTTCCTTTTACCCAGGACATCATGTCCACCTTTCAACAAAATTATAAGATGCCTTAGAAAGAAAAAAACACAATTTGAAGTGACTGAGCAGGCATCAGAACAAGACTCAGTGGAGGCTGCAGTGAGCGGAGATCGCGCCACTGCGCTCCAGCTTGGGCGACAGAGCAAGACTCCGTCTCAAAAAAAAAAAAAAAAAGAAAAAAGGAAAGAAATGGAAGGATTAAGGTATAGAGTGTCTGGAAAAAAAAAATTTAACAAAGGAAAGAAATCAAAGGATCAAAAGTAAAAAATCCTGAAAGAAGCCACAACAAAAACCATCTTAGCTAAAGAGAAACAAAGATAAAAACTGATCTAATTTATTCTTAGAAACCACTTAGGAAGATGGGAGTAAACATTTAAAGTCTTAAGAAAAAAATCCACCAACCCAGAATTCTGTATCCTACAAATTTATCCTCCAGAAGTGAAGAAGAAATAAAAACTTTCTCAGACAAACAAAAATTGAGACCAGCCTGGCCAACATGGTGAAACCCCAGCTCTACTAAAAACACAATGGTGACGCATGCCTGTAATCCCAGCTACTTGGGTTGGGGGTTGCTGAGGCCAGAGAATTGCTTGAACCCAGGAGGCGGAGGTTGCAGTGAGCTGAGATCGCGCCACTGCAGTCCAGCCTGGGTAACAGAGTGAGACACCCTGTCTCAAATAAATAAATGAGTAAATAAATATATAAATAAATAGAGGGAATTTGTTGCCAAAAGGTTTGTCTTGCAAAAAATGTTAAAATAAGTTCTTCAGAGAGAATGAAAATAGTATAGGTCAGAAACACAGATCTACATAAAGAAAGAAAGAGCATCAGGAAATGAATAAGTAGAGGCAAAATAAAAGCTTTTATGTTTTTAATCCATCTATCACATAACAGTTTGCTCAAAAGAGGAACAATGTATTCAATTATGTATGCTGGCGGGGTGCGGTGACTCACACCTGTAATCTCAGCACTTTGGGAGGCTGAGGCTGGCAGATCACCTGAGGTGAGGAGGTTGAGACCATCCTGGCCAACTTGGTGAAACTCCGTCTCTACTAAAAACACAAAAGTTAGCCAGGAAGCGTGGTGGCAGGCGCTTGTAATCCCAGCTACTTGGGAGGCTGCTTGAATCGATTGAACCAGGAGGTGGACGTTGCAGTGAGCCAAGATGGCACCACTGCACTCCAGCCTGGGTGACAGAGTGAGATTCCGTATCAAAAAACAAAAAAAATTATATATGCTTAAACATACATGCTTATGGATGCTTATGTATAGATGAAATGAATGATAACAATGAAACAAGGAACAGGAGAGAGAAATTAGAAATATTTTGTTATTATAAGGCACTTGCACTACCCTTTAAAAGGTGTAGTGTTATTTGAAATCAGGTTTGATTTAGTTTCAAAAGTATATTGATTTGTGTGTGTTTGTTTATAAAGAAAAATTTTTAAAAATGTATATTGCAAGTTTTAAGGCAACCAAGTTTTGAAGTAGAAGTAATATACTAAGCAAGGAGAGAAAATGGTATCCTACAAAATGCCTAATTAAAACCACAAAAGGCAGAGACAGAGTAAAAGACAAAAATAGGAACAAAGAATAAGGGCAGCACATTTTAAAATATGGTGGATAATAATCCAATTACATCAACAATTACTTTGAAAGCCAGTGCTCTAAATGTACCAATTAAGGACAGAGATTGTCACAGTATATCAAAAAATAAGATTCAACTGTAAGTTGTCTACAAAAAACCCACTTTAAATATAAAAACACATATACTTTAAAAGTAAAGAGATAAAGAAAGATATTCCATGCCAATGCACATCATAAGAAAGCAGTAGTTCTATTAATTTCAGACAGAGCTGACTTCAGCAAGGAAAGTGATCAGGAATAAAGAAGGCATTACAGAATGAGGGAGGGCTCAGTTCTCCAAGGCAACAATACTTAATATGTACACGCCTAACAACAGAGCATCGGTGCCTGAGAGGCAAAAACTGACAGACCTTCGAGAAGAAATAACGAACCCACTTTTAAAGTTGGAGATTTTGGCTGGGTGCAGTGGCTCACACCTGTAATCCCAGCACTTTGAGAGGCTGAGGAGGGCAGTTCACCTGAGGTCAGGAGTTTGAGACCAGCCTGGCCAACATGGTGAAACCCTGTCTCTACTAAAAGTACAAAAATTAGCTGGGTGTTGTTGTACGCGCCTGTAATCCCAGCTACTCAGGAGGCTGAGGCAGGAGAATCACTTGAACCCGGGACGCAGAGGTTGCAGTGAGCCAAGATCGCACCACTGCACTCCAGCCTGGGTGACAGAGCAAGACTCCGTCTAAATAAATAAATAAATAAATAAATAAATAAGTTGGAGATTTTAACACCCCTTTAACAGAAATGGACAGATCCAGCAGGCAGAACTCAATAGTACCATTAACAGCTGGTATATTGATCTATAAATGGCCTCACCCAGTGACAGCAGATTACACATTCTTCTGAAGCTCATATGGAATATTCACCAAGACAGACCACATTCAGGGCCATAAAAAACACCTTAAGGCCAGGTGTGATGGCTCACACCTGTAATCCCAGCACTTTGGGAGGCTGAGGCAGGCAGATCACCAGGTCAGGAATTTGAGACCAGCTTGGCCAACATAATGAAACCCTGTCTCTCCTAAAAATGCAAAAATTAGCCATGCATGGTGGCACGCACCTGTAGTCCCAGCTACTTCGGAGGGTGAGGCAGGAGAATCGCTTGAACCCGGGAGGCAGAGGTTGTGGTGAGCCGAGATTGCACCACTGCACTCCAGCCTGGGCGACAGAGCAAGACTCCGTCTCAAAAAAAATAAATAAATAAAAACAAAAAAAATCTTAATACATTTAAAAGAATAGAAACCATCCAATGTCTGGCCTCAGACCACAGTGGAATTAAACTAGAAATCAGTAAGAGAAAGATAGCTAGAAAATTCCCAAATACTTGGGGATTAAACAACACACTTCTGCATAACACAAAGGTCAAAAAAGAACTCTCAAGAAAAATTTAAAAATATTTTGAACTAAGTGAAAATGAGAACACAACTAATCAAAATTGTGTGATGTAGCGAAAGTAGTGTTTAGAGAGAAATTGATAATATTGAATGTATGTATCAAAAAAATAGAGATCTAAAATCAACAATTTAAGCTTCCCCTTTAGGAAACTAGAAAAAAAAATTAATTTACACAAAGCAATTTTACACAATTATTTGTGTAATTAATTTACACAAATTTGTGTAATTTGTGTAATTAATTTACACAAATTAAATTTACACAAAACAGAAGAAAAGAAATAATAAAAACCAAAGTAAAACTCAATGAAATTGAAAATAGGAAATCAATAGAGAAAATCAATGAAACTAAAGGGTGGGTCTTTGCAAGACCGATAAAATTCATAAGCCTCTAGCCAGACTAGGAAAAGAGAGCAGACACAAATGACTAATATCAGAACTGTAATTCACTACAGATGAATTAAAAGAATAAATTCATGAGTTAAAAGAATAAAAAATAATATTATGAACAATTCTATGCCCACCAATTTTATGATCTAGATAAAATACACCCATTCCTTGAAACATATAATCTGCCAAGCTGCAATGGAGCAAAGATAGTCTTTTCAACAAATGGTGCTGGAATAACTGAACATCCACATGTCAAAAAATGAATCTAGGCTGGGTGCAGTGACTCATACCTGTAATCCCAGCACTTTGGGATGCTGGGGCAAGAGGATCCCTTGAGCCCAGGAGTTCAAGACAAGCTTGGGCAATATAGTGAGATCTTGTCTGTACAAAAAAAATAGAAAAAGTAACCAGTTGTGGTGGTGCATACCTGTGGTCCCAGCTACTCGGGAGGCTGAGGCAGGAGGATTGGTTGAGCCCAAGAGGTCAAGGCTGCAGTGTGCTGTGATTGTGCCACTGTACTACTACCATCTGGGTGACAGAGTGAGACCCTGTCTCAAAAAAAAAAAAAAAATCTAGACACAGAACTTATACTCTTCATAAAAATTAACTCAAAATGGATCATAGACCTAAATGTACAAATGCAAAACTATAAAACTCCTAGAAGATGACATAGGAGAGAACCTTGATGGCCTTGAGTATGGCAATGAATTTTTAGATGCAACACCAAAGACCTGATCCATGAAATAAATAATTGATAAGCTGGACTTGATTTAAATTTAAAAACTTCTGCTCCATGAAAGACAATGTCAAGACAATGACAAGACAAGCCAGAGACTGGGAGAAAATACTTGCAAAAAACATATCTGATGAAGGACTATTATCCAAATATACAAAGAACTCTTGAAACCCAACAATAAGACAATGAATAATGCTATTTAAGAATGGGCCAATGGCCTTATCAGATACTTCACAAAAGGAGACATACAGACAGCAAATAGCATATGAAAAGATGCTCCACATCATATGTCATCAGGGAAATGCAAATTAAAACAATGAGATACCACTATGAACCTATTAGAATGGCCAAAATCCAGAACACAAACAACACTAAATGCTGATGAGGATGTGGAACAACAGAAACTCTCATTCACTCCTGGTGGGAATGTAAAATGGTACAGCCATTTTGGAAGACATTTTGGCAGGTTTTTATAACACTAAACATCATCTCACCATTTGGTCTAGCAATTGCACTCCTGGGTATTTACCCAAAGGAGCTGAAAACTTATGCCCACACGAAATGCTGCAATAGGCCAGGTGCAGTGGCTCAGGCCTGTAATCCCAGCACTTTGGGAGGCCAAGGCGAGAGGATTGCTTGAGCCCAGGAGTTCGAGACCAGCCTGGGCAAAACAGCTCAACCGCATCTCTACAAAAAAGTTGAAAAATTAGCTGGGTGTGGTGGCGTGCACCTGTAGTTTCAAGTACTCAAAAGGCTGAGGTGAGAAGATCGCTTGAGCCTGAGAGGTCAAGGCTGCAGTGAGCCATGATTGCACCACTGCACTCCAGCCTGGGTGACAGTGTGAGACCCTGTCTCAAAAAAGCAAAAAAAGCTGCACACAGATGTTTGTAGCAGCTTTATTTATAACTGTCAAAATTTGGAAGCAACCAAGATGTCCTTCAGTAGTGAATGGATAAATAAACTTTGGTACATTCAAACAATGGAGTATTATTCAACATTAAAAAGAAATTAGCTATGAACCCACAGAGAGACATGGAAGAAATTTAAATGAACATTATTAGGTGAAAGAAGCCAATCTGAAAAGGCTACTTACTGTATGATTCCAACTATATGACATTCTGGAAAAGGCAAACCTATGGGAGCAATAAAAAGATCAGTGGTTGCAGCCGGGTGTGGTGGCTCATGCCTGTAATTCTAGCACTTTGGGAGGCCGAGGCTGGCGGATTGCCTGAGCTCAGGAGATTGCCTGAGCTCAGGAGTTTGCCTGAGCTCAGGAGTTCGAGACCAGCCTGGTCAACATGGTGAAACCCTATCTCTACTAAAATATAAAAAATTAGCCAGGTGTGGCAGCGTTTGCCTGTAGTCCCAGCTATTTGGGAGGCTGAGGCAGGAGAATCGCTTGAACCCAGGAGGCAGAGGTAGCAATGAGCCGAGATCACACCACTGCACTCTAGCCTATACAACAGAGCGAGACTCCGTCTCCAAAAAAAAAAAAAAAAAAAAAAAAAAAAAAAGATCAGTGGTTGCTAGAAGTTAAGGGGAGGGAAAGATGAACAGGGGGAGCACAGAGGACGTTTGGGGCAGGGCAACTCCTCTAATGTGTGGTACTGCAGTAGTGGACACGTGGCATTATACATTTGTCAAAACCCATAGAATGCACAATACCCAGAATGAATTCTCATGCAAACTATGAACTTTGGGTGATGGTGTGTGGAGGCAGGTTCATCACTTTTAATGAATGTACCAATCTGTTGGGGGATGTTGATGGTGAGGGAGGCTGCTGGGCATGTGTGGGAACAGGGTGTATATGGGAACTCTCTGTACTTTCCATTCGATTTTTCTGTGAACCCAAAACTGTTCTAAGAAATAACATTTACTAATTTAAAAATTTTTTAAATGCTGGGCCTGGTAGTGCATGCCAATAGTCCCAACTACTAGGGAGGCTGAGGCAGGAGGATTGCTTGATCCCAGGACTTTGGGTTCAACCTGGGCAGCATAGTGAGACCCCTGTCTCTAAAGACAAAACAAAGTTCAAAAAAAAAAAAAAAGGCAGAGGAATGCCAGGCAGTTTTCCTTCTTGCCTCCCAGCACTCAGCAGTCACCCATCTCGGCTCCCTGGACTACCTGGGGCCATGTTGTTCATCCCAGCAATGCGGAGGGAGGCCTGCTAAGCTCAGACCTTGGGAACCTGGATAAATAAGGCTCAGCTGCTCTCAGGGCGTTCACAGTCTAGTGCGGCTGTTCTCAGCCTGGTTGTACCTTACAGTCACAGGAGGAGATTTAAAATTGTCCCTGCCCAGGCCATACTCCAGACAGCTGAATCAGAATCTCTGGGGGTGGTAGCCGGGCACAGTGGCTCATGTCTGTAATCCCAGCACTTTGGGAGGCCGAGGCAGCCAGATCACTTGAGCTCAGGAGTTTGAGACCAGCCTGGCCAACATGGTGAAACCCCGTCTCTACTAAAATTACAAAAATTAGCTGGGCATGGTGGTGCACACTGGTAGTCCCAGCTACTCGAGAGGCTGAGGTGGGAGGATTGCTTGAGCCCAGTGGGCAGCGGTTTCAGTGGGCCAAGATTGCACCACTGCACTCCAACCTGAGCAACAGAGTGAGACTCCATTTAAAAAAAAAAGCTGATTTAAAGTTCCTCCAGTGAGAAAGACTGACTGGGGGAGAAACAGAGCTATGAACAAGCAGATACAACCCACGGAAGAGTTCCTCAGGTGACATCGCTGAGGGCTGGTAACGTGGCCTGGGAGCTACGGAGAAGCTGTTCTGGAGAAAGTGATTTAAAGGAGGAGTCGGAGCATGTCAAGCAAAGCAGGTGGAGTGGAGAGATGTCCCTGCAGAGGGGACAACAGGTACCTAGGCCAGGAGGAACAGGGAGGGCCTATAGTCTACACTAAGGAATTTGGACTCTACCCCAGGTAAACGGGGAGCCATTGGAGGCTTTTATTTATTTATTTTTTTCCTTTGAGATGGAGTTTCACTCTTGTTGCCCAGGCTGCAGTGCAATGGCGCGATCTCTGCTCACTGCAACCTCTGCCTCCCGGGTTCAAGTGATTCTCTGCCTCAGCCTTCCGAGTAGCTGGGATTGCAGGCTTGCACCACCACCATGCCCAGCTAATTTTGTATTTCAAATAGAGACGAGGTTTCACAATGTTGGTCAGGCTGGTCTCAAACTCCTGACCTCGGGTGATCCACCTGCCTTGGCCCCCCCAAAGTGCTGGGATTACAGGCATGAGCCACCATGCCCAGCCCATTGAGGGGCTTTAAGCAGAGGAAGAATGTGGCCCACTAGGGAGCATGTTGGAGACTGGCTTGCAGAGGCCAGGCTGGGAACCTCGAACTTTAGGCTTGGAACCAGCTCTTCGAACTTGGAGCTTGGAACCAGCTCATTCCTCCATTGATTGCTTGTTTCCAAACTTAACTGAAATGTTGCAGGCAGGACCATCGGTGTCCCTTGGCAAATAGTACGTGCTCAGTAACCATTTCATCGTTGATGTTATTTGTCGACCAAGTCAATGCGATGCACAAAAATGTCCTAGTGGAAACAGGAAAGGGAGTACTAGAGAGGATGGGACTCAGTGCCTGATTCTTCCTGTCTTCACGTACCAGTCAGGCCCTGTGGAGCCACCATGGGTGACTCTGAGACCATCTTCCAAAGGTTGGGAGAGGGAATTTGGAGAGGACAGAGTGGTGAGGCAAGGGGGTCCCAGGTGGAAATCTGTACTCCCAGGAGTCAACCCCACCTACTATGGGGCTGGCTTATTCCCAGGAATTGACAGTTTTCTAGGGGCTAAGGTGGGAGACTCACCTAGGGGGGACCCCAATTTCCAGTCCTGCAGAAGGGAAGTGAGGAGCAGAGGTTGCTGGGAGTTTCTCGATCCACAGCGGGTAAAGTGGGGCCCAATTTCCCCACCAACAGCTTTACCCAGGGGCAGATGGGTGGGGTGCAGCGTTCAGAGGGAACCAGGCTGCTCTATGGAAAAGCCACCTGGAAAGCCCCAGCCCAGGCTTTGGGGTTGGGGGCCATCTGGCTGAGACAGCTCTCGAGGGAGGCCTGTCCTGACCCACAGGATGTGCTGTTTTCCCGGAAGAAGGCGCCTACCAACCCAAATAGACCAAGGGGCGGGGTGGGGAGCGAAGCAGTGCAGGCTGGGGTTGGGGGTGGTGGGGCAGGAAAAGATGTGTGGAGAGAAGGTGTATGGGCCTGCGTTGAATCCTGGGCCTGGACTGACTCCTTGGTGAGGTGGGGACTCAGCAGGACTTACGTGGATGTCACCTTGTTCAACAGGCACATGGCAGGTGGTGGAGCCATTGATAAGTGGGAAGCTTTTATTTGGCCCCAAGACAGAGTCTGAGTTTGTTGGCATTGCCCTGGAAACCCAGAGCATGCCCAGGATCCGGTGAGAAGATGCCCTGACTCCAGGCACAGCACTGAGGGGAGAGGATGACTTTCGGCTGAGGGTGGAGTGGCAGACACAGACACGAAAAAGTAAAAGGACAATGGAGAGGTCAGAAGGAGAGAGGAGTCTTGGGCTCCAAATGTAGAGGGCACTCAGGGGCAGGCCAGAGCCCTTCCCACTGGTGAGGCTTGGATGGAAGTCTAGAGCTGAATTCTAGCTCAGGGCCCAGAGTGCTAAAGACAGGCTCACCAGGGACTGGGCTGCCTAGGCTCCCAGCTCTAGGCTGAGCTTCCCCCATCTTGTGCAAGGGAAGAGCGAGGTGGCCCTGCCACCAAACTTCACCCAAGATGGAGCCACCAAAGACCTTAAAATCCACTCCCTGGCTGGGTGTGTTGGCTCACACCTTCAATCCCAAACACTTCGGGAGGTCAAGCCTGGACAATCCCTTGAGGCCAGGAGTTTGAGACCAGCCTGGTCAAGAAAGTAAGACTCCTATCTTTAGAAAAATTTAAAAAGAAAAAAAAAATGATCCAGGCAGAGTGGCCCACGCCTGTAGTCCCTGCTACTCAGGAGGCTGAGGTGGGAGGATTGCTCACCCTCCCCAGCCCAGGATTTTGAGACTCCAGTGAGCTATGACCTTGCCACTGTACTCCAGCCTGGGTGACAGCATGAGACCCTGTCTCTGAAAAAAATAATAATAAAAACAAGCCCCCTGCCTCCATGCTCCAGAGCAGGCCTTGGCTCCTGGATTCAGGTCCGCCAGGATCCCTAAGGGCTCCAGGGAAGGTGTCCTCATCTGGCATCCAGAGGGGCAACTTGCAGGGGCAACCAGACAGCTGGAAAGAGCGTGTTGGGTTTTGTTTTGGAAGGGTATATGGGAAGACAAGAAAAGGCCGCCTTTGTTTAGGAGGCTGGCCCTGGCTGGTGAGGCGTGCTCTCACTGGGCAGTGGCTGTCTGCCTTTTTGGGAGCAGCTGATGGACTGTCTGCAGGTGCTGCCCACCAGGCCTGGGGCGAGCTCTCCCCTCCCTGCTAATGCTTCCTAGGACTCCAATCACTCGGTATTTCAGCACAGTTAGGCCAGTCCTTCTCTTCACTGTTGGGGAAACTGAGGTACCACCACAATGTCACCAAGGGGATGCGACGGGATGAGTTGCTTATACATGTGATCAGGGCCTGATTTCCACTACTACCAACACTGCACAGAGGTCAGTGCGTCCCCACGGAATGCGGAGGTCAGGCCTGTGACCTTCCTTAGGAGCATGGGGTAAAATGAGGGGCTTTGTGTTTTCCAGGCAGAACTCTTCAGAGAGGCTTTGGCTTAAGAGGTGGGGAGAGGATGGACCCCACCCAAGGAGCTGAATTCCAGGAAGGTGGCAATTCTCCCCTTGGTGGAGACCCGGGACCCCTCACACCCAGCACCCGAGAGTGGCTGGGCCAGGGCGGCAGTGGTGTGACATCCCATGTCAACCTCAACACCCCTGTGGCAGCCCTAAGCACAGAGACATTTGTCTTCAAATGAACCATTAGTCTAACCAGGAGTCCCCGGAGGGGGACAGTCCAGAGGGGCCTGGCCCTGGAGAGCCTGCATGGAAAAGTCCTGGAGCCCTTGCAAGCCTTAGCATGGGGAAGGGGGCAAAATGTGGCTGGCACTGGTGTCTCTGCAACTTTGGCAAATGGGGGTTCCAAACAGATTTAATTTGATTTAGAAGATCAAGAAATGTGATTTAGAAATGCCAAGAAAACCACATTTTCACCTGGAGTGCCTCAGGTGGACTTGTGCCTATTGTAGGTATTTGACAAGGTTTCTTCTCTAGGTCAAGTAGTTTATCTCAGCCAGGCCTTGGCTCACATTGGCTCGTGCCCCCGAATGCCTCTCCCTCTGCTCCCAGCTCCACCCTGCCAGTCCTACCCAGCTTCCTCTGGGAGCCTTCCTTGCACCCTCAGATGGGATGGGTCCTCTTCCCAGGCATGTGGGTTCTCAGACGCAGGCAGAGCTGGTGCATCTGTCTTCATTCCTCTAAAGTACCCTTCACACCTCAGGGCTGTCCCACAGGCAATTCCCTCTGCCCTTGTGGAACTTATGAGACATCACTCAAATGCACATGTAAACAGCATGATGTCAATGTGATCACTGCAAAGAGGAAACCTCCACTCTTGCCCCATCCAAAGTACACTCCACACCTCAGAGCTGTCCCACCGGCAATTCCCTCTGCCCGGAATGCACCTTCCCAGAACTGGCTAACGCCAGCTCTGATGGCCCCAGCCAGGCCCCTAGGGAGTGAATGATCTTTCGGGTCATCCCAGCACCCAGCACCCAGCCTTCAAGTCTCTATCTGAGTCCTCAGATATCATGAAGTAGAGACAGGCCAGACTCAGTGTCCTTTTTACATTTCCGACCCACAGTAACGTGGAAGATAATAAACATTGTTGAAGCCACTGCTCTTGGGCGTAATTTGTTACACAGCAGTAGATGTGAGGGCCGACTCCCCACTCCTGCCCCTCCCTCTGTGAGATGCTCACAGCACCCTACTGGTTTCCTCTTTGCACTGACCACATTGTCACCATGCCTGTTTGCATGCATATTTGAGTGACGTCTCATTAGCTCCACGAGGGCAGGAACCTTGGCTGCTGTGCCCACTGTTTTGTCCCTAGCAGTGAGCACAGCATGGTGCCTGGCTCTGTGTTCAAAACATGAACCTTGAATGAATGAATGAATGAAGCTGGTAAGAGGCAGGAGCCTGTCTCAGTGACCTGGAGGTGGAATTTGAATCCTTCCTAGAACGTCCTGTCTCCTCCTTCTGGGAACCGGCAGGTGACAGTGAGTGAGGTGGTATAGGGGGCTGGAGGGGGAGAGAGTAGTAGGTGGCAGCCAAGGGTAGATCCCCACGGCCACCAGTGCAGGGAGGATTTCAGACTCTGATCCACTGGCAGCACTTCCTCCTCTTTGTCTCCTTTGGCCTCTTCTCATTGTTTTGGACACACCAGCTGCTTCCTGTGGCACACCTGGAGGATGGGCAGTGCTGTCCCTTGGCACCCTCCCACAGGCTGTGCTCTCACATCTTTCATGCCCACTCCCACAGGGCCCACATGTTTCTCCTCCAAGGAGACTCCCAGGTTACCCTGAGGCTCAGGCACCTGTTGGTTCCTGTTACTGCCCCAGGGCCCCTCATCAGCACTAGGGAAGCAGGCAGCGTGACGTCTTCAGGTCACTGGAAGTGAATATAAGTTGACTAAGACTCAAAACAACAAAATACGCAAACAACCCCCACCCCAAACTGCTTCCCTCTACCCATACCTTAGCAACCATCATCTGACAAGTAACAGACACGTTAGGTGACCCAGGAGGCACCTTTGCCGCCATCTCTCCTTGGAGGCGGTACCCTCCCAGGAGGCTCCCACCCAATTCCCTTGTCTTCTTGTCTCTGAGGCTTTTTCTGAGGTCAGGGGAGGGGGCGTCCTCCCCTCTACCCAGCATAACTTGGTTGGGTGCTGTGGCATGGACCTTGCTTGGGGTAAGGGAGTGCCCTGTGCCCTCCTGCCATCCCTAGTTCCAGGTTTCCTTTATTCTAATTTTCTAGCTTGATGAAAACGTTGGCATGTTTATAGGACCACGAATAAAATGCAGTGAAATTTACCTTTTGCATTCCCTGAAACAGTCAGCCTGTTTCCTGAAACAAGTTTCCTTGACCTTTGGACATTCCAGGAGTCACATTTCCCACCCCACGCTGCCCCCACCCACTGGCTAGCTGATCCTTCCACTGTGCTGGGCTAAGGCTATGCTTACGTTGACATCACTGAAACCCTACGTGCCAAGCTGTGCATAGAGGAAGGCAAAGTGTTCTAGGAAGCAACGGAATACAGGTGGTCCCTGGCGGCTCGGTCTGCAGGTGAAAAAATGCAGGTGGGGGTTGTTTTTTAGGGCTGTGTAGGGACTGATCTGGGAATCAGCCAAGGGAGCATAAAACCTGACACCACCTCCCATAATCTGGGTGCCCAGCACCCTCCATTTAACTCTGGCTTGGTGGAACCCCCTTGCACTTCCCTCCACAAGTGCCACTTGGGTCACAAGCCGCCATTCTGTTCATTCACCTGACAGTGCGCCCTTCTCCTGGTCCCTGCACCTCTGACACACACAGATGATGGTGAGTTGACTCCACCTGGTGGCTCCTTGGCCCAGGTTATCAGTGATGACTCAAGGCTGAGCTGCCTATTTCCTGGGAGGCGCTTCTTAGAAAGGAATAGGCCCTGTCACTTCCCAGGTAGCTTTCAGCAGCCCCTACCACCTCTCCCACCTACCTTCGACAGAGTTGCTTGCCAGCCTTCTCAGCTGGGGCTTCCTGGCAACTACACCTTGCCAGGGCTTGCAGCCCAGCAGCATGGCAGGGGCTAATGGCCACAGGGTTGTCATGGGAAGCACCAGAGGGCCACAGGATCCCTAGCCTGGGCCTGTCTCTAGGTAACCTCAGAATGCAGGCATGGAAGAGGATCAACCCCTTGTCGGGCAGCAGAGGAGACTGAGGCAAAGAGAAGAAACCTTTCTGATGTGCTCCTCCTCACTGGACCTTTCTTGTCCAGCTTCCCTTCCATGGCCCACACCAGGAGGCAGCAACTGGCTGGCTGTGCACAAGGATGGAAATGGATTACACCAGGGTGTGCACTGACCCAGGGACCATGCGTCCAAATGCTGGTAAGCCACCTATGAAGGATGCCCATGGGGTGGCATCAACTAAGCCAACCAGATTGGGACCAGACTAAAGAATATATGGGGACTAGGGGCTAGAAGCGAGAGGAGACAAGAGGGACCAGAGAGCCTGGAGCCAAGGCTGTTGCTGCCCCCAAACCACCTCAGGCACTGTGGACTGCCAAGTCCTGATGGGCCCCCAAACCACCTCAGGCACTGTAGACCCCAAGCCCTTACGGGCCCCCAAACCACCTCAGGCACTGTGGACCCCAAGTCCTTATGGGCCCCCAAACCACCTCAGGCACTGTAGACCCCAAGTCCTGATGGGCCTCAACCAGGCTCTCCCTGCGTCACTCTCACCCTCATCAGGGCTCCTATGTTGGCTACCCCCTGTCCAAATATATCTACCCACATTCGGTGTTTTCATTTTTTTTTCTGTAAGCTTTATAGTTTTACATTTAGACATGATCCACTTTTTTTTGTTTATTTGACACAGAGCCTTGCTCTGTCACCTAGGCTGGAGTGGATCTTTGCTCACTGCAACCTCCACCTCCTGGGTTCAGGTGATTCTTGTGCCTCAGCCTCCTGAGTAGCTGGGATTACAGACAGCTGGGTGGCTGTACTACCATGCCCAGCTAATTTTTGTATTTTTAGTAGAGATGGGGTTTTGCCATGTTGGCCAGGCTGGTCTTAAACTGCTGGCCTCATGTAATCCGCCACCTTGGCCTCCCAAAGTGCTGGGATTACAGGCGTGAGCCACTGCACCTGGCCATTATCCATTTCTATTTAATTTTTGTATATGATATGAATATAGGTGGAGGTTCATTTTTGGTTTATGGATTATATTAGTTTTCTGTGCTGCATAAGGACCACAAACTTAGCAGCTTAAAGCAATACACATTTATTTTATCACAGCTTCTGTGGGGCCAGGAGTCTCTGCACAGTTTGGCTGCATCCTCTTCTTAGAATCTCCCCAGGCTGCAATCAGGGTGTCCCTGGGCTTTGTTCTCATCTGGAGGCTTGACTGGGGAGAATCTGTTCTAAGCTCATTCAGATTGTTGGTGGGATTCATTTCCTTGCAGCTGGAGTACTGAGGGCTCCAGCTCCCTGCTGGTCACTCACAGCTCCTAGAGGTCTCCTACAAGTCCCTGTCACATGGACTTCCCAAACACAACTGCTTACTTAATCAAGCCAGCAAGGAGAGTCTGGAGTAGTCAGCTAGCAAGATGGAATCTTATATAATGTAACATAATCATGAAAATGACCTCCTGTAGCTTGTCAGGCTCTATTGATTAGAAGCAAATCACAGGTCCCACCCATACTCAAGGGGAGGGGTTCCACTAAGGTGTGAACACCAAAAGGCAAGGGACCCTGGGAGCCATCTAAAAGTGAGCCTGCCCACCATGTGGACACATTATTTGCTAAAAAGAATATCCGTTCTCCATTGAATTGTCATCACAGTGGGATTTCTTTGTTTGTTTTTGTTTTTTGAGACAGAGTCTCGCTCTGTGTCACCCAGGCTGGAGTGCAGTTGCACGATCTCAGGTCACTGCAACTCCCACCTCCCAGGCTCAAGCAATTCTCATGCCTCAGCCTCCCGAGTAGCTGGGATTATAGGTGTGAGCCACCATGCCCAGCTAATTATTTTGTATTTTTTAGTAGAGACAGAGTTTCACCATATTGGCCGGGCTGGTCTGCAACTCTGGCCTGAAGTGATCCGCCCGCCTCGGCCTCCCAAAGTGCTAGGATTACAGTCATGAGCTACTGTGCCCAGCCCACAGTGTTTTAAAAGAACCAGTCAATCATATTTGTGTGAGCCTATTTCTGGACACTGCCATCTATTCCATTGATCTTTGTGTCCATCCTTTTGCCAATAACATTATGTCCTAGGTGGGGTGCAGTGGCTCTTGCCTATAATCCCAGCACTTTGGGAGGCCAAAGCTAGAGGATTGCTTGAGGCCAGGAGCTCAAGACCAGCCTGGGCAACATAATGAGACTCCATCTCTACAAAAACAAACAAGCCCATAACATATTGTAGCTTTATAATAAATCTAGAAATCAGGCAGTGTGAGTTCTCCAACTTGGTTGTTCTTTTTCAAAATTATTTTTGGATATTTTATGTCCTTTGCCCTTCCATATACACTTTACAATCAGTTTGCAAATTTTCATCCAAAGAAGCCTGCTGGAATTTTTATTGGGATTGCTTTGAATCTATAAAAGTAATCAAAAAATTTGAGTCAAGATTTAAAAATTGATATGAGTTGACATGTTAACAACTTCAGATTTCTCATTTTTCTGGAAAATGGGAAGAGGGGGCACCACCAGGCCTGCAATCCTACAGGAAAACAACCAACTCCCCTCCTCCCTCCATGGCCACATGCTCAGTGCACCTGCGCTTCCCCCTCCCCTCCACCATGGGGACTCACACTCTCCTCTTCACACTTTGTTGCTGGCCTGGCCCTCTTAGACACTGGAGTTGGTGGCTCCTGTGTTAGCTTCTCTTGGCTCTGACTTTTGGTGGGGGGCTGGATGCTCTCCCTCCCACTCTTGGCCTGGCTAATGTCTTCTCATCCTTCAGAACTCAGGGCTCCAGGAGACCTTCCCATACCCAAGTGAGGTGAGGACTCCAGGCTTGTGATCTTGGAGCTCCCTGTGCTTATCCTCAGTCCTTGCCCCAGGGGTGAGGTGCTTGTTGGGGTGATCAGTAACTCAATGTCTGTCTCTCCCAGCAAGCTCCCTGAGGCCAGGAACCATGTCTTTCGGTCACTGCTGTATCTCCAGTGCCCACCATAATGTCTGGCTCATAGTACATGCTCAATAAATGTTCACAGGATAAATGAGCCCTTCTCCTAGGCTGTGGCTGATATCCTAGAAGAGTTCCTTCTGTCCTCCTAGCTCCCCACCTCACTCCCTTGGTCCTCTAGTTTGACGATGTTCCTGTGAAAAATGACCAAGTAGGACTCTCACGTTCCTGGCCTGGAAACTGCTAACTTCTAACAAGATAGATAAGCTCTTCAGCACCTAGGGCAGGCCCTGGCTGGACATGCAGGACACAGCCCCATGTGTTGCTCTGAGGGCTCTAGCTTCTTTTCTGGTCGCAATCATTTTAAGAAATTAAAGCATTATTTACATACATTAAAATGCACAGACCCTAATTGTTCGATGTTTTGACAGTTGTATACACCCATATAACCACCATGCAAAACAAGATATAGGACATTTCCACAATCCCAGAAAGTCCCTTCACGTGCTTCCCCTCCCCCCCACTCTCTGGCTGCCGTTCCCATGTAGTTTTGCCTGTTCTTGAAATTTATATAAATGGAGTCATCCAGTGTGTACTCTTTGTGCCTGGCTTCTTAAACACAACATAATGCCTGGGAGATTCATCCACCTTGCTGCATCTGCCTGTGCAGTCTGCATATACTGTATGTACTAGTCTGCGTATCTGTTGCATAGTATTCCATTGTATGGGTGTTCCACAGTTACATGATGCATTCACTTACCTGTTGCACACTTGGGTTGTTTCCAGCTTTGGCTATTAGGAACAAGAAGGCTGCTATTCACATTCTTGTGCAAGTCTTGTGTGTGTGTGTGGACATATGGTTCATGCTCTTAGGTAAATACCTAGGAATGGCACTCCTGGGTCATAGGGTAGATAGGTATGCCATTTTGTTTTCTAAGGCAGCCTTGGCTTATTCTTCCTACTGTTGACCTCCTCTCCTCTGGATGGAAGAGGAGATTCCAAGAATCAGGGCAGGTTGGAACTGTAAGAGCCTTCAGAGGTCAGCCCCCAGCTCTCATCCTGATATGGGGATCTAGGCTTATGAGGGCATGGCTCATCCACGATGCGCAGAGCCAGACCTGATAGGGCCAGAATGGCAACTGGGCCTAGACTCTGGCCCAGCAGAGATGGAGAGGGTGTCTGGATAGCAGTGACGGCAGTGGTGCCAGGCCTGGCTTCTGCAGATGTTGTCGGTGTTCCTGATACATTTGCTTCTGGCGTCAGCCAGGTTGGGAGGGTGTTTGTTCTTGCAAGTAAAAGTTTCTTGATGGAAACATGTAGAAGTTCAAGGTGCAGACCCTGCTCACTGCCCTGTACCCCAACCTAGTGGGAGTAATGGGAGATGCCAGCCAGCTGAGTGATTGAAGCCACAGCTGCACAAGGGCAGAAGCCATGCCGAGTTGCTCACAGCCATGTGCTTCCTGTGCCTGACTGAACACAGAAGCTGCCCAAAAAATGACAGCTGCACGGAGGGACAGTACAAGCTGCCAGAGGCTGATGTACTCAGGTGGGGCTCCACGGGAGACTTCCTGGAAGAGGGGGCCTGGAGCTGATGCTGAAGCACCGCCTCTCCCAAATCTCACAGTGCTCTCCTAGTCCTCCATGGGTTCACAGCCGCCCCATCCAGCAGCCGGGTGGGGACTCTCACGTATGTTCGCGCACTTGGACCCTGACACCCAGAGAAGGGAAGGGGCAAGCCCAAGGGAGTCCACAGCAGAGCTGGAACCAGAACTGGGCTGTGCTTGACTGAGAGGAGATGGCTGTGGGTGACACGGGGAGGGACATCCGCCCTCACTGCCCTATAACGACCCTCCAGAGAGCAGCGGTGCCTGGGCCTGGAAGTGTGAGTTTCCACTCTGAACAGATGGTTGCAATTACCAAGTGCAGGACGGGCAGGCGAGGAGCACACTCCCATAGAGGGAGCGGAGCAGAGGGCTGCAGAGACATCCCGAGCACAGGCCAGCTGGCCGCGATTCCTCCAGCACTCCAACTTCAAACATGAAACTGCCTTCTTTTTGCTACTTCTCTCCACCACCTGGGCATATGATTCTGACAATTTCATACAATTTTTAAAGAAAAGAAAAAAGCTCTATTTTTCTTGGAAAGCTGTGCCCAGTTGGTTTTCTATAGATTTGCTCTCTGGAGGTTCCCCTTGGCAGGAGGTCAAAGCCTTAGGGGAGGCAGGGTCCCCCCAGCTCTCGGGCTTGGCAATTCTGAACATGACAAAGGCTGTGGGCAATGATTTCTCCTCGGCCATGGAAATCAGGTGTTCCAATGCACAGGAGCCCTGGCCCTGCCTTTCCACACTCTCTCTCCACTCCACGCCTCTCACCCCCCACCCCCGTCTCTGTCTCTCTTTCTCTCCCTGCTCTTTAAAAAGGGTCCTTGGCTGGCCCAGTTGCTCATGCCTGTAATCCCAGTGCTTTAGGAGGTTGAAGCAGGAGGATCGCTTGAGGCCAGAGTTAGAGACCAGTGTAGGTAGCTCGATGCCATCTCTAAAGATACATAAATAACTAAAAATAACAAAATACAATGAAAAGGGTCCTGTTCTGTCCTGTACAGGAGGAAGATGAGTGAAGCCGTTTATTTTCCTTTGAGATGGAGTCTCGCTCTGTTGCTCAGGCTGGAGTGCAATGGCACGATCTCGGCTCACTTCAACCTCCGCCTCCCAGGTTCAGGTAATTCTCCTGCCTCAGCCTCCTGAGTAACTGGGATTACAGGCACATGCCACCATGCCCAGCTAATTTTTTTTGTATTTTTAGTAGAGATGGGGTTTCACCATATTGGTCAGTCTGGTCTTGAACTCCTGACCTCAGGTGATCCGCCTGCCTTGGCCTCCCAAAGTGCTGGGATTACAGGCATAAGCCACCATGCCTGGCCAACCTTTTTTTTTTTTTTTTTTCCAAATTTAACTTTTAAGTTCAGGGGTACCTGTACAGGTTTGTTATATAAGGGAACTTGTGTCATGGGGGTTTGTCGTGCATTATTTTTCCTAATCTTCTCCTTCCTCCCATCCTCCACCCTCCAATAGACTCCAGTGTCTGTTGTTCCCCTCTTTGTGTCCATGAGTTTTCTCATTTATTAATAACTCCCACCTATAAATGAGAACATGAGGTATTTGGTATTCTATTCCCATGTTAGTTTGCTAAGGATAATGGCCTCCAGCTACATCTATGTTTCTACAAAATACATGATCTCATTCTTTTCTGTGGCTGCACAGTATTCCAGAGTGAAGCCTTTTAAAAATTCATACAAAGTTGATTGAGGTTGTGGCTTGGTGCGATGGCTCACAGGTGGGCGGGTCACCTGAGGTCAGGAGTTCAAGACCAGACTGGCCAACATGGTGAAACCCTGTCTCTACTAAAAAGTACAAAAATTAGCCGGGCGTGGTGGCAGGCACCTGTAATCCCAGCTACTTGAGAGGCTGACGCAGGAGAATTGCTTGAACCCGGGAGGCAGAGGTTGCAGTGAGCTGAGATTGTGCCACTGCACTCCAGCCTGGATGACACAGCAGAACTTCGCCTCAAAAAATAAATAAATAAATAAAAATAAAAATAAAAAAGTTGACTAAAGGAAAAAGAACTACCCCAACCCTGGTTATGTAGGGCTTGCTGGATGTAAATGGACAATGGTATTCGCTTGCAAACCAGGGTGACCAAGTGTACAGGCAGGGGTCACTGAGACTCCAGGCAGTTAAGGGATCCTCTTGAGTAGAAGTTACATACGTTAAGTCATGATTAGGAATGACTGTGCTCCATTAAAAAAAACAAAACAAAACAAAAAACAAAAAGAAAAACCAACTTGATTTTTTTTCCCCAAAGAGGAACCAGATGCATTTTCCTGCTGCCAGAGAAGGCTGTGAACTGTGCAGTCTTGGGCAGCAGGGCTAACTTTCCCCTGGGTCCTGGCCCTTCAAGGAGGGTGCACATGGAGGCCAGAGGTGCAGACAGACTGTGGGTTCTGCAGAGGAGCTGGCTCATCTCAGTGGTCTTGGGAAGACTGAGCCCCATCATCTGGTACCAGGACCTTTGGGCCATCTCGTGCTACTGACAGGCTGAGCCCTCCAGAACAGACATTGGAAGCAGCTGAACAGTGAGTCCTCCATACATCGAAGGCCCCCATCTCGACCCCGCCATCCCCTTAATACGCCCCAGGAATAGAGCTAGGTTAACTGGTTGCCCTCTTGTTACAAGAGTCAGTGAAGGCTGGAGCCAGAGTTGTCTCCAAGGTGCAGAAACGCAGGCTTGGGTAGGGTTTTCCAGAGGAGAGTGTGCACCCAGCTGGCCTTCCACGCTGGGGAGAGGAGGCAGAATACATCTCTTAGGATATAGCCAGACCCTCTTCCCTGACTTCTCCAGCTCCAAGATACTTACAAGTTCCTCTAAAGCTCCCCCACGGAATCTTCTTTTCCATTTTCTGTTTCCCTGTGCGAGCGCTCTCCCATCCGCAGCACCCCTCCCCAGCCCAGTTAGCTCCCTTCCACCCCATCTATACTTCCAGGCTCTGACTTCCCTGCCCTGTGAGGCTGTCAGCCTCCACAGTGGCCCATCCCAGCAGACATTTAGAATGCAGAAGCTATAAACAGAGGATGGTAGACATCAAGGCATGAATGAATGGCCATCTTCCTTGTGGTCCCTGTGATACCGGGATTCCAAGCCCCAAAGGGGTGGTTTGGGCTGGGGATAGTAATTCTGATAAGCTGGAGTGCTCGAAGGTCTGGGATGGACGCCACCTCCGCAGAGGCCAAATGGTGGACGAGGGCCTCTTCCAGCTATGCCTCGTGCCTTCTTAGAGCCAGAGTTCTCGGAGGGAGGGACCAGGTGACTGGCAGTCCCGCTCCACCGTCCCCACCTCTACGGGTGTGAGATGCTCTGGGTGGTCCTCAAAGCCAGAGTTCCTGGGCTGGGGAGGTGGGGGTTTATTAAAGCTGGGAGTGTCAGACAACTAGAAAAGGCTCACAGGGAAAAGAAACTCATCTTCAGGGGAGGCAGTGGAAAGAACAAATGTGGGAATAAGACCTGGACTCAGTCCTGCCTTACCGAACAGCTGATGGCCATGGGCAACCCAAGCTAGCTGGGCCTCTGTCCACACTGCAACTGTGAAACGAGGGCTCTCCACTGGGTGGCCTCCTCCTTCCCTTCTCAGCGGTGTGGCTGGCCCTGCTGGGCTCTCAGGTCCCTGGTGCCTGTGGGATGGTGACCAGGGTTTGCAGGGAGTGCACAGTGGGGAGGATGAAGGCGCTGCTTTGTGGAAAGAAGCTTGCAAGCTCAATGGGTACCAGCTGCTCTCCTCCCTCTTGTGCAGAAATTGTCCCCACATGTAATTAAGCCAGCTTCTGTCAGGAGGTGAGGACACACAGTGGGGCCAGGTCGGGAGAAACACCTGATGCCAATGCCAGCCCCACTGGTACTCAGGAACCAGGAGGGAGCCGGAGGGGTCCTGGCCTCCCCTGCTCCGTGCCCCACTCTGTGTCCTGCCTCTGTAGGGCCTGGGATTTGAAAACCACCAAAGGTCAGATGAGGCCCTGAGGGACCCTCGCTGGAGCCACATGTATTCTAGGGAACACTCACCGGCCTGGGTGCAAAGGTGCCTTCCTCACCGTGGGACTCAGGATGGGAAGGACTCTCCCAGGAGCCAGGCCCGTTTCTTAGGATTCAGTCCTGGTTGCAACCATTGCAACTACTCTTTAGTAGGGAGGTGTTTCTCAACCATGAGGGCACGCCGGGTCACTTGGGATTACCAGAAAACGTGGATGTCAGATTCTGATCTCTAGGGTCTGGGGTGTGGCCTGGGCAGCGCTGCCCCTGGGGATCCCAGTGCACAGCCAGGGTCACAGACCACCAGCTCTGAGGGCAGCAGCACTAGCCCTTGACAGATGAGGGCCCGAGGCCTTGAGAGGCTGCGTAACTTTCTCAAGGTCACGGAGAATAAGTGCAGGAGCAGGTGATGCCCTCACTCCACGGGCTGGCTGGGCATGAGGCCTTCAGAAGAAGGGCCATTCTGGTTGTTCTCTCCCTTCCCTGGCACTGTCCCCTGCATGAAGTGGCTGCTCAAGACCAGGGATGGAGGAACCCTGGAGGGGCTGGGAAGGTGCAGCATCCGGAGGGGATGAGGGGTTTGGGCCCCACCCCTCACCGGCTGGGCCTCATGTCCCTTAGCCACACAGTGGGAAGAAGTAAGGGTTCCCAGCCCTTCTCAGAGTGGAGGTGTGACATGCCAGGGATCCTGAGGGGCTGGCAAGGGGAGAGGGTCCTGCTGGCATTGAGAGACACCCTGGTTTGGGGGAAGTCCCCTGAGCAAGCCCACGTGCGCAGCTGCTAGGGGCAGGCTGCGGGAGGCCCTCTTCTTCCTGCTGCCTGTTTTGGTGGCTGAAACTTTAGACTGATCCAGGAGCCAGACAGGCGGGCAGACAAGCGCATTCTTTTTGGGGGAGGCCGCCGCCTCCTCTTCTCGCTAGAAGCAGGGAGGAGGGGAGGACAGGGCCTGCCCAGGCCTGACCCCAGACTGGGTTTCAGGCTGTGGGGCCAAGCAGGGCTCCCTGGGGACTCGGGGCTGGGGAAGGAAAGCCCCAAAGGCTGGAGTCTGCGGTTTGGAGTCCTGTGACTCTGGGAGCTGAAGCCACCAGGCAGGAGGGGGTGAAAGGGGGCTGGTTTAAGAAGCCCTAAGCCTCTGGGCTTTTGGCTCCAGCACTGGCTGTGGGTACTTCTGCTCTGTTTCTGGGCAAATCCCTGCCTGCCCAGTCCATTTCCCCAGTGAATGCCCCCAGCCCTGGCATCCTCGGTGTGTAGGGGATTGGAACCTGAGCCGGGAAAAAGGCCACGTACAGTTTCCAATCAACATCAACTCATCTGTGTTTCCCGAAATGAAGTGCAAGGTGGCTCTGATGCATACATGGGCTCACTCCTGACACAGCTTCTGCAGAACTGGTCAACTTCTTTAAAAAAATATGCTCTTGGCATCCTCTCGCAGGAACAGGGCTGGATACGGGCCCACCAAGCAGGAAGTGGGGAGGCAGCTTCCTTCCGCAGCCTCCCTGTGCCCTGAAGACTGACAGCCTTGACCCAGGTCTGTCATGGGCCCTCAATTCTTTTCCTTGAAGGGTGGAGGTATCTTAGGTGCCATACCAGCTGCTGAGTCACCTCTGGTGCAGCTTTGCCTTTCAGGGAGGTGGGATGGCCCATTGGAATTCAAATCCTAAATCCTGGACATCTTAGCTTGAAGAAATGGAAGTTCCTGAGCATCTCTGTACCTCAGTTTCCTCCTCTGCAAAATGGAGATAATAACAGCAGCACTTTAGGAGTGAGGTGAGGATTAAAGGAGACAGAAGCTTGCCGGGCACATGGGTGGTGAGGGCACGACACTGGTTGCCGGCCTCAGCTTTCTCAGCACCCTGCAGGCAGGCAGTGGCTGTGCTCACTTCCTCCGGGTGCTCTCTCTGGTGACGGCACCCGAGGGACTCTCCCAAGTGCCTGCCTTGTTCAAGGAACAATGCCCTCTCTAGAACAGCTGGACTTCCCATGGCCCTGCTGAGGCACTGAAAGAAATGTAGGCCCTAACCTAAGCACCCTCATCATTGGACCACAGGGATAAAGGAGTGCGTTCAGAACCTGGAGGATGACGGCTTAGCACTTGGAGATAAGACCTGGCTGGTGGGGGTGTGGGATGACCTGGAAGGGTGGCGAATAGTTAGGTAGGTGTCCGCAGGGCTGCTGATCAGAGCCCCAGTAGCAGTCACTGAGCGGGGCTCTGGGTTGGGCACAGTTCTAAGCACCACGTTTATTCCTCATGTCACCCTTGAAGTAGAAAGCATTATTATGCCTATTTTACAGGTGAGGAAATCCTCATCTGTAAAATAGGCATAATAAAATAATGCTTAGTTACAGTTCTGAAGTATACAGAAAGTCAAACTCCAAATGAACAGTGCTGGCATTTGCCCAACTAGGGAACTGGGGAAAAGAACTGCCGTCAGGGGACTGAAGAGGCAGTGGGATGGGCACAGAGCCACGGCAGCAGGGAACAGCTCGAGAGCCAGGCCGAGTTCTCTGCTGAGGGGCACCAGGCCTGAGTTTCAAGTTACTCAACTCCGAAATAGTTGGCCCCTTCCAGCATTTTCTGACTGGGGTGGATACTCCTGAAGCCCTGTTTGTGCAGGTCTTTGGACCTTTCTAAACAATCTGCAAATCCTTGCTAAAGACAGTAACACGTGTTACTCAAGACTCGATTTCAAAGGACGTAAATCCAACTGGAATGACCAGCTTAAGCAAAAAGTGTGTTAGAATACTGGGGTGTGGTGACGTCCGAGGAAGGGCTTTCCTGACAACAGGAACCCAAGGCTCATGCTGCCAGGAACCTCTCTCACGTCGCCGCTTCTTTCCTGCCACAGGTCGACTTCCCCCAGGGTGGAAAATGGCTTCTGACAGACCTGGGCCTGGCATCCCACGATTCCCACCACCACAGAGGAACTCCCCAGGAGTGACTTGGACTGGCATAGGTTGGGCCGGCTGTCGGCCCTGGCCAGGAAGCCTGAGTGCATCTAGTATGCAGCCTGCGCCAGGTACCCCTCCCCGGACCTGTGTGCCCAGGATGCCATGTGCTGGAGCCTGGCAGGGGAGGGAGAAGGGAGTGGAGTGACCCCAGCCCCACCCCACTGTCCCACTGCAGGGCAGTGGATTCCCGGCCTCTTACTGGTCCTGCTGCCAGATGCCGCAGTCAAGAAGGCACTGTCCTCCAGTTCAGTTGAGCAGACATTTATTAAGCACCTATCAAGTGCAAGGCACTGTGCTAGGCGCCGTGGGAAATACAGAGAACACAGGCGGTCCCTGCCCACGAGGAGCTCACAGTCTAGAAAGGGCAGCAAGACAGTACACAATCAGTGGCAGCAGCACCAGCCAGAGTGGCAAGTGCTCAAAGCGAGACACAAAGTGCTGTGCGGTCACAACATCATGGGGATGCTTCTGGCAGAAGCACTGGAAAGGAGACGAGGACTCAGGCTGGGCCTTCCAGGAGGGAAGCCATTTGGGAGAAGGGCATCTCTAGCGGAGAGAGGTCCATCTGCAGAGCCCACAGGTCATGGGAAACATGTGGCTGCAGGGAGAGTTTGGGGACAGTCAAGTATGGCTGGGAGGTGGACAGCCACGGACACTAAGCTCAGGAGATGTGAACTTTGTGGTCTGGTCAAACAGCCACTGCAGATCACTTCGCAGGAGGAGGGGTGACTAGAAGTATGTTACTGGAAGGTAAATCTGGCCACACTGCAGCATCTGGACGGCAGAGGGCAGCGCTGGGAGGGGCCAGCCAGTTAGGGCCCACCACCCCTGGGTGTCTGAGAGTGGGAGTAGCGGGCAGGGGCCAGCAAAGCACGAGGGCAGAGCAGGGGACCATACGGAGGGTGGGTGTGGAAGAAGGGAGGGGCCCCATGCAAGCTGCAGGTCTGGGGAGCCTGAGGATGTCATAGGGCTTCCTGGTAGAGTGGAAAGTGCACTCCTGAAGGTCAGGGCCAGTCACTACAGAGAGGGGACAGCGAGGAGAGGGACGGTGTGGCCCTAAGGGTGACTGCAGTTTCTCAACATGTGGTCCGTGGATCACCTGCATGGGAACTGCCTGGGGAATGCGCTCATTTGCAGATTCCCGGGCCTTCCTCCAGAACTACTGGGCAAGCATCTGCCGGGTCATGCCCGGTAACCTACATTCTTAACACCAGCTGCCCTCTCCACCACCACGAGCCCCAAAGGTGGGGAAAAGTCTGCAAGCCACCTGCAGAGGAAGAATAGGGTGTTAAGGACTGGCTTTAGGCAAAAAGAAGAGACAAAAAGAATGAGGGAGGTCTGGGAGTGAGGGAAGTGGTGGGAAGCAGGGAAAGTCCGGTCAAGCCATGTGCACCAAGACAGAGCCCCAGCGCGGCCTTGCAGCCAGGCACCGGGCCGTCCCCAAGGGCTGCTCTCAGTCCGCTTTCACTTGGTGGGCGAAAGCCACATTTGCAAACTGGGAAGTGGAGAGTGGGAGGTGAGGGGAAGCACTAGCAATGAATGAAGAGGATTCTTCCGGGAATCAGGCTGTTTCAATCTAAAACATCCAAGATAAGTGGAAACACTGGGGAGGAAGGTGATGAACAGACGGAGGTGAGCCAGAGACACCTCCTGGGCAAGTCGGCCAGGAGGCGGGAGGCGTGGGTCAGAGACACTGCAGGAACTGGGTGAGGACAAGGAGGTGCGAGGAAAGGGGTTGGGGGATGGTCCCACAGGCAGCCACACCTGAGGCGTGGGAGGCAGGTAGGAGCTGGGGGAGGGCGGGGAGAAGAGGGGTTTCTGTGTGTAGATCTGAGTCCTCCCTCACATCCCAGCCGTGCCACAAGCCGCATCGGCATGAGGCCGGCTCTCCCTTCTTCACTGGTCTCAAAAGCCACCCAGGCCCAAGTCCCGGCCAGACAGCCGAGCCTGCCTAGCAACGCTGACCGGCCGCCCAGGATGGCCCAGACACCTTCTGTCTCCTGAATGCAGCCTACAGGGGTTCAAACAGACTGCTTGCATTAAGGTCAGACAAGGCTCTTTTACTTCCAGAGACAGCGGCCTGGAGCCTCGGGAAGAATGTAGGCCCAGGAATCACCCAGCCCCTCAGGACAACCTCTCTGAGCAACAGACATCCTCCCTGTTGAATGAGAGTGACATCTCTGCCCTGCCACCTACTTTACATGGATGCCACGAAGTGGGAGAGCCTGAGCAGTAGACAGGGAAGAGGCGAGCGGCCCCACTGCAGGAGGTAGACAGGCTACAGATACTTATGCAGCAGCCACACTGAGGCTAGTACTGGAGGAGGCTGAGAACCAGTAATGAGTTCTTAATGGTTTGATAATTTGGGTTTTTAAATATTAAATATTAAATATCAGGGGTTTCGGAAGGAATGATGAATTCCGTCTCATGCTGTAACTGATGAAGGCAACCAATGAGCAATCCTTCCTTCCCATAGCCGAGAAAGGGAAAGGGGACAGGCCAATCCCTCTGAAGCAGTAAGTCAGAACACGAAGACTTACAGAACTCAAACATCAAAGGTCAAGTAGCTTCTAGCCAGGAAAAGTGGTGGCCCCCTCAGCCTAGCCAGCACCAACCAGCATGGGTGGAGACTCAGCCTGGCAGTAAGGGCATTTCCTGGGTTTCCTCTGAAGCAGAGGAGAAATAGTGGGTCAGCCAGGCTGCTGGACTGAACCATGAGCCAGAAGGCCAGAATCACTGCAAGACAGCTCCAGCCCGCACACCTCAGTTGTGCTTTTGAAAACAGGTACAAAGCTGAGGCATGGGAGCTGTGACTGAAGTCGCCCTCCTGGCTGGCCTCGTCTTCTACCTCTGCTTCCACAGCTGGGTGACTTGGCCATAGGCCCAAACAATGGACAACCAGTTCCACATTAGGAGGCATCACGGACGCATCTGAGAGGAAACATGATTGAAGGACAAGCTTGGCCTCATGGAGGGCTCTGGATTCATCCCTTGAAGAACGCAGTGATCAAACAAAACCAAGAAGCAGGCCTGGAGGGAGCACTCTGGGATGCCCCCAAGTCCCCTCACCATTTACAAACCAGCACTGAGTTCTCAGCCTCCGCTCCTCAGGACTAGGAGACAAGATCCGGACAGGCAGGACAGGCAGCAAGCCGACTGTGAGCAGCCTGGGGGCGCAGGTGTAAAATACAAAGCCCTTTGAAGGTCCAGACAATAAGAGTAAAGATGTTAAGATTGCCCAGGAAAAGAACTTCACTGACACTGAATTTGGGCAACACCTAGAACAGACAATATTAAGATATCAATTCTGAGAAAGACTCACAGGAAAGGCTGTTTAGGAGGACACTAGAGACAAACACAGGGAAAATAAATACAGGGGCTCTGGGATCCCCCCACAGAAGCTACTAATGCTATTTATTGGCTTGGGTCACTTTTGAGAATAGAAAACCATTTTTTGGCAAAGCTGTACAAACTCCACATCAGGGCGTCTCCTGCAGTTGGGGACACAAGATGGCCACAGTGACCGGGCTCTTCATTAAACTTCCTCATAACCCGCTACGGTGTTCAGAAGCTAAGACGTGACTTCCAGAGCCAGGCCAGGCATGTGGAGGCCCCTGACTGTGGGCGTGTCAAGCCCTGGCTGGGGAGCCTGCTGCCTGCCCGGCCACTCCTCAGCTGTGGCTGTGGCTGTGGGCATGGCCGGACGGCGTGCACACTGGGCCGTCCCCTTTTGCGCAGGGTGGAAGGGGGAAGGAGGGTGGGACTCCATGGGCTCCACGATGTCTTCTAGCCCTGGTATTCTGTGAGACTAACTTCGCCCTGGTCATTCACCATGGCTAGGCACCAAGTGCCATCTAGTGGCACCGCGGGTCCACTTTCACAACACTCCAACCAAAGACTGCAGAACAAACCAACTCTTACCCACTTTAACTCCGGGGGTGAGGGCAGAGGAGGCTGGAAGGGTGAGCACACTTCATGGTAGTGATGGGACATACTCATCTCAAGAAAATATACTTTAAGACGTCTTGCTTTCCTTAAGAAAGCAACACTTTTTTTTTTATTTATTTATAAAGGCTAACCATATCCATTTGTCAATATTTTCGGCTTTAAGGAAAATAGTTTAAAAAACATAAAAAGGTAAATACACTCAAGAGTAACTGCTATTAAACAGTTCTGAACAGGCAGAAAATGTAGACTTTCCTTTAACAGAAAATGTTAAATCTGTAATAGCAGCATAATTTATATATAGAAAAAAGCTGGTTTTGAAAACCCAGATTTATACCCAAAACATTTTTTTTCTGTACAACTGCGTTTACACTGGGAAATAAGTTTCTTCACATTATGTTCATTCCCATCAGGTACAGGTGTGAGCTTGAGTTTGATCAGCCAGCCCTGAGCGCAAGCTCAGCGCTCAGCACAATCTTCAATCCAACACCATGGCAGAAAGCGCATTTAGATCTTTCATGTATGGGTGGGCCACCAAGATCTGGTCTATTTTCAGTCTTTGCTCTGAGTCAGGGAAGATCTTCAGAAGGGCTTCCCTCAGCTCGTTGGTTTCTGCAGAAGATCTCTGAGCTGGCATGGGCAGGTTCTGCTGGAGACTGGGGAGGGCTGGCAGCAGTGGGAAGTGGGGCTGCTGAGGGAGCCAGTGGCTTGAAGGGGCTCCCTGAATCCGGGTCGGAGGCTGGTGGCTGGTGCTGGCTGCCTGGGTGCCAGGGACTCTGAAGCTGGGGTCAAACATGCCCACATTTGGCAGGGCACTGAGTAGGGGCTGCATATCTCTGTGAATGGAAGTGAGTCCTGGTGAGTTGGGTTATAAGTAAACAAAAAATCATAGAGCTATTTTAGAAGGTACCTGCGGCAGGCCTTGAGGCTCAGGATGCCGCTCCCTGGCTTCCAAAGGCAGGATGCAAGACTGAGGTGGAGATGGTGCCATGAGACACCCACAGAGGAGCCTGCGGGGATTTCACTGACATCACCTCAAGGCGTGCCAGGGAATCAATGCGCTCTATGAGGGAGCACCACCCTCCCAGGTCTTCTGCTGTGAGGACTGACCCCATCCAGCTGTTTGGCTCTAACCAGGGTACCCTTGGGAGCTTTCAAAAGGTTTAACAGTGTCTTACTCTTCTGAAGATTTTGATTTTGTGCAGGACCCTGATTAATAGAAATTAGAAGAGACTCCTTTTGGGGAGAGTGGCAGTCCCCACCGACTCAGTCTAGATGAGGTGTGGGTGGGTGCCCACACTTGTATGCACATGGGTATGTGCGAGTATGTGTGTACAGGGAGGGCATCTGTATCGCTCAAAAGCCTCCCACTGGACTCGGCCTGCAGGCGAGAAATGAGGCTAGCTGAAGTTTCCCCAACTTCAAAAGCTCAACTAACTTCAACAGCCCCTCTGTGATGGAAGTGATTCCCAACTTCTTAACCGATTTCTGAGCCGCTCCACAAAGAGCCACCAAGTGAGAGTGAAAAGGCAGGCAGGACAGACCCCGTGCCAGGTTGCTCAAGGAGCAGGAGCAAGCAGAGGACTCTCCTTCTGGTAACTCTGACCCGCGGACCTGATTGATGCTCTGACACAGGCCTCGGGCCTGAAGCCCAGCAGGGGATTTCCAAGTTCAGATGTGGGGAAGCAAAATGAGATGGACTGATGAGCACAGCAGGTGTGGAAAATGGCTGCCATTCTCTTCATGTGGGTAGAAAAGCATGGCATTTGGGAATTAAGTCCTCGTCTGTGTCATAAAACCCAAAGGCTCAAAAGAGAAATGATTCACAAGACCAGGGAGTTGAAATTGTAGTGGTCTCCTAGGTAGAAGAGACCACCATGTAAAAAAAGAAACCCATCACCACCTACCACTGAATCCAAACCTACAGCTCCCAGTGGTTCCTGTTGCAAATGGAAAAGATCAGCTGGAAAGTGTGACTGCCTAAAAATGCTGAGAGAGCTGTGTGTCTTCCTCTCAGCTTAGACCCCCCATCACACCCCCATGCAAATACCAGCTGGGAATGCACAGAAGTGCAGCCTGGTTTAGTTTTTAAAAAGAGTAAACATCAGTCATGGGGTCATATGATCTCCCTGTTAGGTTCACAGGAATCTTTAGTTAATGTCTGTTACCTAAGAATTATGAAAACAGAAACAACCACTAACAAGGTGTCCTAAAAACAAAACAAACCCCAACTACAACAAAGAAAACCTAAACTACCAAATCATTTTCAGATAAATATTGAATACTGGCTTTTCCATTCAGTGAAGGTAGAAAGTAATGGTCAGTTCCCCCAGGCAGTGATTCCTAAGCAGTAAGGAAATTAATATAAGCATAACATGTTCAAAGCAAATGACTTTAGAAAGTGAATGTAAAAAGACACTCACACATACAAAATGACCCCATCAGGCACTCGTGATTCAGAGGGAGAGCTCTCACACATACATGATGAACCTAAGTAGTATTCGCCAGTAAGTGACCACCAGCTTGGAAAACTAGCTTTGTTTTTTTGTTTGTTTTTGAGACAGAGTCTTGCTCTGTAACCCAGGCTGGAGTGTAGTGGCACGATCTCGGCTCACTGCAACCTCCGCCTCCCAGGTTCAAGTGATTCTCCTGCCTCAGCCTCCCAAGCAGCTGGGATTACAGGCACGCACCACCACACCCAGCTAATTTTTGCATTTTTAGTAGAGCCAGGGTTTCACCATGTTGGCCAGGATGGTCTCGAACTCCTGACCTCAAGTTATCTACCTGCCTCGGCCTCACAAAGTGCTGGGATTACAGGCGTGAGCCACCAAACCCGGCTTTGTCTTTTTAAACCTACAAAAAGGCTGGGCGCAGTGGCTCACGCCTGTAATCCCAGCACTTTAGGAGGCCGAAGCGGGTGGATCACCTGAGGTCAGGAGTTCGAGACCAGCCTGGCTAACATGGCAAAATCCCGTTTCTGCTAAAAAAAAAAAATACAAAAAATTAGCCAGGCATGGTGGCGTGCACCTGTAATCCCAGCTACTTGGGAGGCTGAGGCAGGAGAATTACTTGAACCTGGGAGGCGGAGGTTGCAGTGAGCCAAGATCGCGCCATTGTACTCCAACCTGGGCAACAAGAGTGAAATTCCATCTCAAAAAAAATAAATCAATAAAAATAAACCCACAAAAAAAGTTTGGCTCCTGTCTTTTCCTAGGATGAAAACTGAAAGGACTATAGTTGAAAATCCGGGATGCTTGCTACATTAGCTTCCAAATATATGAAACCAGCACTAAATTTAAGGCTTAAAAAAAAAATTTTGGCCAGGCATGGTGGCTCATGCCTATAATCCCAACACTTTGGGAGGCTGAGGAAGGCGGATTCCTTGAGCTCAGGAGTTTCAGACCAGCCTGGGCAACATGGTAAGACCCTGTCTCTACTAAAAATACAAAAAAAGAGCTGGGCATGGTGGTATGCGCCTGTGGTCCCAGCTCCTCGGGAGGCTAAGGTGGGAGGATCGCTGAAGCCCAGTGGGGCAAAGGTTGCAGTGAGCCGAAATCACGCCACTGCATTCCAGCCTCGGTGACAGAGGAAGACCTTGTCTCAAAAAAAAAAAAAATAATTTTTTTAATGTCATTTTTAGTCTATAAAGACAGCACTTGCACTAAAGCACAAAGAATTGAAATAGAAGTTTTAATACAAGACAATCTGAAAAAGGAAATACCTAAGACAGACTTCCTTCTGAAGAAACTCCTCTAATCGAGGTCCACTTCTTCCCAGAGGATCATCGGGAACCATAAATATGTCCCCCACGAACGTGTACTGCAGCAGCCTACAACACAGAACACCATGAGGCTGAGAGACAGGGTCCTCACTGCCCAGGGCCTGCGTAAGGATCCCAAAGCAGCCACCTGATGCCAAAGCAACGGTCAGGTCAGCCTACAAATCCTAAGACTGCTCAACTGCCTAAAAGCGGGGAAAACACCCAAGTCAAACCCTTTTAATTTCTGTTTTGGACACAAAAACAATAGTCAGAACGTTTTATCAGCTGGCCCTCAAATTTCTCATTAAGACTTGCAGATTTGTACTGGGCTTAGGAAGCCGCTTCTTCTTCTAATATAACTTTCAATATAACTTTGAAAAATAAGATTTAAAGACTGTCAGCTTAGGACACAAATGCTGAACAAATGTTTAATTTTTGAATAAAACTGGTAATAAATGTGTCCATAAGCAAATCCACTGAAAATAATATTTTTAAAAAGGAAAACCATATATGAATAAAGGAAATCTGAGGTCTTTAGACCACTATTTATCATATCAGGGGAAAACAGAAAATAAAATAATTTTTAAAAGTCCAAGTGCCTGTGCTTGTTGTCCAGGTCTCCTTTCTACCTTGTTTTTGTGAATGCTGAAAGCAACAGCTTGGCTGGAGAACACCAGTCTTGACTGCATTTAAACCCTCCATGCATACATGGATGAGTGTCAATAAATACTGACAATGAGCCCAGGCAGAGGTCCAACAGAAACATGCCCTACAAGATTAGTAGCTCATTAACTGTGCCCAGAAGGTCAAAGACCAATTCTTGGTTCAGCTATCAACAACAGCTTTTTAACAGCATAGGTGTCAAAATGCATACAGTAATTAACTCTCACCTGGGCATTCATAACACAGAATCTTTTTCTAAAATCTTCTAATAATTTAGGAAAATATAAATAACAGGCAAGGTGCAACTGTGAAATCCCAACAGGGATAAATATCTAGTTATGCTAACTATATTGCAAGTTTTACTATATATTAGTTATACTTAGTGTGGGGCATGCTTACTTTATGTTTTAAGATTTCTGGTCTATATCACTTGTCCCTGGCACTATCAGACTCTTGCTTTCTATTTTAAATAACTGGTCAGGTGATACTGGTTAACCAAAAGTCCTAGAAGCCAGTGCCCACTGATCTTAGGGCATTTTTCAGCAGTGGACACATTCATAGTATTATTACAAATGAAAAACAGCAGTGAATGCTAAACTCTTGACATAACTTTGTTTTATTTTGGATGATATCTAAAGATGTTTTCAATATAGATTATTAAACTATGACTGTAAAAACCTCCAGAAAAGCATCAGATATTAAAAAGTGGAAATATTCTCTCCAGACCATGAAGAAGTGAAAGCCCAGTCAGCACACATTGCTTTCGGTCCTTTCCTCTTGCTGGAATCCCAGTTGTCATCAAGTTCACCCTTTCACTTCACAGCTGAGTAAAATAGGAGGCCGTTTGTGCTCCATCACACTTAACTGTACCTCCTGCTTCATGCAACAAAACTCTGATGCCCTAGAAGACTGCAGTGACAGCAGAGCATGCCCACACTCATCACTGCCAGCTCTGCTGCTCTGTGCTGGGCCCCCGCTTACCTGGAGGGGCCAGCCACCTATGAAGTGGGAGTGCAGCACAGTCTTATGATACTTTGGTCCCCTATATTGCCTTCTGTGGAGCCAAGGAATATAGAAAACAAAACGAACAAAATGCACACAGAAACAAACAATTAAAAACAAAACTTTTCTGACCAAAGACAAAGAAGAAAATATTACCTTTTTGTAATAATTTCTCTCCAAGAGACTGACTCATTCACAAATTCTCTGAAATTATCATTTGTCACAATTATGCCACCAGTTTTGTCCGCTAAGTGTAGTAGAAACCTATGGTAATATAAGAGAGTTTAAAATCAGCAACAGGCATCCTTGGCTCAGAGAAGCCATGTTATAAGAAGAGAATATTTCCTCTTCATAGGAAAACCATCAAAGAATTTAACCAAGGCTAGGCCACAGAAAAGTTTAGCCCCTATCAACTGAAGATCAATCAGAATGGTGAATATCTCTAAAATTATTAGCGTGATTACAAAATAGATTGTCTTTCATACAATTTCTTTTGTTAAATGATCTCAACTATAATTTATTCAAAAGTTGTATTATCAATAAACAGTGTTAATAAGAATGCATGAAGACCAGAGCAGAGAATGAGAGCTGACAAGCCTGTGAAATCATTATTCAGATTTAAGTTACTGAGCAACAGTATTTTGGTTCTAAGATTAGCTGTTTAGTACAATCAGCCTTACAATTCTTTTTCCTTTTTAAAAATTCATAGGTTCAAGCCGAGTGTGGTGGCTCACGCCTGTAATCCCAACACTTTGGGAGGTTGAGGTGGGCGGATCATTCAAGCCCAGGAGTTTGAGACCAGTCTGGGCAACATGGTGAAACCCCGTCTCTACAAAAAAATACAAAAAATTAGCCGGGTGTTCCCTGTAGTCCCAGCTACTCAGGAGGCTGAGGTGGAGGATCAGCTGAGCCCAGGCAGGTGGAGGGTGCAGTGAGCCAAGATCGTGCCACTACATTCCAGCCTGGACAACAGAACGAGACTGCTTCAAAAAAAAAAAAAAAAAAAAATTCATAGGTTCACACTGCTCTGATTTAAAAAGAGGTATCTAGAATTGCCATTTTGTTTAGACTAAGTTATAGATTCACTCAAATGGAAGATATGACAGGATACATGGTGATAAAAAAGGGAAAGGATGAAGCAGTAAAGAAGACTTCCATTTCACTGCTGATTATTCATGCTTAGACCCTCTTAATAAGAAATCTGTGAGGATGTGAATTTTATCCCTTAAATTAGGGTGACCACATTTGTCTAAGGCAATGTAGACAAAGATAATAAAAAATAAATTAAGGGACTCACTGGAATTAAAGGTAAAGACAACTGCTTTTACTAGCAGTGATGAGTACTTAATGGGGATTTAAAAAACCTCATTAGTTTCAGAGATCTTAGAAAACCTTGGAAAATAAATATGATTTAGTTCTTTGGCTTTATTAAATAACATTTTACAAATGATTTCTAACTGGTGTGAGTTGTAAGTGGTAATGTTTGCCCAGAAGTATTAACAAAAATAGGCAGTAAGGCTTCTGAGTTCATGTACCATGAATGAGAACATATATGCATGTTCTCTAAAAACCCAAAAAGCCGTATCAGCCAAGCAAGAGCTTAGTCTGCATACTTGTACGTGTGTTCCAACGCTGCTGGTGTTAGAATGAAGCTGCTGTGTTAAAGGACCTGAGCCCTGCAGGGTCCCTGCCCGTGTCACAGAGCTGAGCAGAAGTGTCCTTCCATTCCGCCTTCTAGTACTTCTCACCTATCCCCCCCGGCACCCACATATGGTATCCTCTTTCGGCTCTTCCATGCCACCTGAGTCTCACCCATCAGATCTGGTCTTGCATACCAGCCTGGTGCAGGGCAAGGGACTGTCAATGAGAAGGCCCTTTTGGTGAATGAATATATGTCTGCTGTGGTCCCAAGCCCCCCATCCCTCTGCCCAGGCCCTCTTTTCATCTCTTACCCATTTGACTATCATTCACTAGCTTGGGTCACAAGCTAAACACTATCTTCAATGGAGTGGTGTTTTGGTGGAACACAGGCGAAAACACCAGGGTTGTTGTTAGTGCTATAAGCCAGATGAAAATAAACAGGGCAAATGCAGGGGAGAAAAGAATAAACAGCTACCACTAGGCTACCAAATACTAGTAGACTTGCTACTAATTTCATACCATGAGGAGGATTTTAAAAACTGGTCCTATTTCCATTGGTTAAGTTTAGAACCTTCTCTTATTCAACCACAGCAAAACTCCCTTCTGTTACTTATGCACACGTCTTCTCAAAATTCTTTAGGGCAGAAGGTGCATCTGAATCATGCATGTCCCCAGAACCTACCTCGGTGTATCAGATTTGGTTAGTGCTCAATAAAGTTTTTAGAAAAAATTTAAAAAGGGCCAGGTGCAGTGACTCATGCCTGTAATCCCAGCACTTTGGGAGGCCGAGACGGGTGGATCATCTGAGGTCAGGAGTTTGAGACCAGCCTTACCAACATAGTGAAACCCTATCTCTACTAAAAATACAAAAATTAGCCAGGCCTGTGGTGGTACATGCCTGTAATCCCAGCTACTTGGGAAGCTGAGACAGGAGAACGGCTAGAACCTGAGAGGCGGAGGTTGCAATGAGCCAAGATTGTACCATTGCACTCCAGCCTGGGTGACACAGTGAAACTCTATCTCAAAAACAAAACAAAATATTTAAAAGGTACAGACTAAATCTTGGTGACTCAGATGCACTAGTACCTGCTTCCTGAGTTATATGCCAAGCTAAGAAATGCAGGCTTATAGGCCGGGTGTGGTGGCTCACACCTGTAATCTCAGCACTTTGGGAGGCCAAGGTGGGCAGATCACCTGAGGTCAGGAGTTCAAGACCACCCTGGCCAACATGGAAAAACCCCGTCTCACTGCAACCTGCTAAACTAAAAATACAAAAATTAGCCGGGCATGGTGGTGCTTGCCTGTAATCCCAGCTACTTGGGAGGCTGAGGCAGGAGAATCGCTTGAACCCAGGAGGCAGAGGTTGCAGTGAGCTGAGATTGCGCCACTGCACTCCAGTCTGCGTTGACAGAGTAAGACTCCATCTCAAGAAAAAAAAAAAAGAAAGAAAAGAAATGCAGCTTACTCCTATCACAGTAGGGTCAGTTCAGACACTTCTATTATGTAGAAGAAACCCTGAGGACCCAGGCATTACAATAACAGGCTAAGTCACTGACCAAAAGTAGACTGAGAGGAGATAATATTTGAAACCATTTTCAAGCCTGCCACACTAAGACAAGACAAACATTACTTTTAGCACCTACCAACCAGACTACAATATCTGCTTTTACTTATAGATTTTCAGCCATGTTTTACTAAAACACAAAGAGTTTCTTCTGTGGTGTTTCTAAAAACTATGTAGCAAATATCACTGAGCATATCACCTTAATGACCATAAATATTAAACCCACTGCATCAAGCAGGTCCTCTAAAAGTGTGGACCTGTCCAGCAGAGCAGGTGGCTGGCTCCTCACCACCCCACTCCAACCTTAGGAAGGAGAATGGCCTTTCATACCTGTCATCATGAGAAGCAATTCTTTCTCCAAAGACCATCCGGGCAGGAGTTAAAGATAATATTCCGAGCTCCTGGAGCTGGGTTAAGAAGTGCTGTTCTGTTCATGGAATAAGTTGAATATACATTCAGAAAAGGGCTATCTTCCCAAATGTATCAAGAAATGAAAGTACACTCAAATGTTTCACTTGGAGAGCTGTAGAAAACCTTTTTTCTATTGACTCAATTTTACTAACTCACTAGGAATTAAAAAAAAAACAAGCAAGACCCATACTAAGGCAAAAACAACATATGAACTAACTTCAGTTATTTTTTAAACATAAGATTAAACTCATTTGCTTCTCAAGAATAGTAGGCCAGGCACAGTGGCTCACGCCTGTAATCCCAGCACTTTGGGAGGCTGAGGCAGGTGGATTACTTAAGGTCAGGAGTTCAAGACCAGACTGGCCAACATGATGAAACCCTGTCTCTACTAAAAATACAAAATTAGCCAGGTGTGGTGGCGCGTGCCTGTAATCCCAGTTACTCAGGAGGCTGAGGCAGGAGAATCGCTTGAACCCAGGAGGCAGAGGTTGCAGAGAGCTGAGACGGCACTGCTGCACTCCAGCCTGGGTATTTAATGAAGCCTACCATCAAAAACTCTTTCAGAGCTATACTACAAGAAGTAGAGGACAAAGAGAGGGATGATAAGAGACCCTGAGAGAGGGTAGGGGTGAGGCTAGGGCAGATCTAGGGATAGGAGGGGCAAATGGTTCTACCACAAGAAAGATCCCTATGCCAAGAGTCTGTTGAAGCCTCCTCCTACTGGCCTCCTATCTAAATTCTCAAAGGTGTCCATACAAATATTTGCCAGTTTTCATGGGGGTGGGTGATGACAGTGGAGAATGGAGGGTCAAAGCTACATTTTAGAAAACCAGTAATGGGAAAAAGCAGCTAAAAGCTCAGGGCCTGAGATTCCCACACCTGCATTCCCTACAATGGTACTCACCACTGACTTAAGCAATGCAGAGCACATAAGCACTAAGAGACTCCTTCGGCAGGGCGTGGTGGCTCCTGCCTGTAATCCCAGCACTTTGGGAGGGTGAGGTGGGTGGATAACAAGGTCAGGAGTTCGAGACCAGCCTGGTCAATATGATGAAACCCCGTTTCTACTAAAAATACAAAAATTAGCCGGGCGTGGTGGTGCGTGCCTGCAGTCCCAGCTACTCGGGAGGCTGAAGCAGAAGAATCACTTGAACCCAGGAGGCAGAGGTTGCAGTGAGCCGAGATCATGCCGCTGCACTCCAGCCTGAGCGACAGAGCGAGACTCCGTCTCAGAAAAAAAAAAAAAAAAAAAAAAAAAAAAAAAAAAAAAAAGACTCCTTCAGGGATCCAATTGCAAAAATAACAAAATGAGTGTATCTGCTTCATTCCTTATGTACCCTCTGTTAAGATGAATATGCTCTTCAAAATGGGGGAAGTTGGGAATACTTGGGAACTGTGTGGTTTGACCATTTCTGCCCCACTAGTGACTAAACTTCACTTCCTGTTTAATGTGCTGGGCAAGTCCTGTACTGACCCTCCTTCCCCACAATCTACTTTATTTTTCCAGGCCCTCTGATGTGTTAAGTTGCCTGGCACAGCCCCTTCACCTATCTTCCTATCATGACCTATGACACAAACAACCTGAAGTTTCTCTAGAACATTTCATGATTCATAATAAGTTCAAATCTTTCGTGTGTGGCCTGCAAGTCAGCCAGAGTACTTTATGGTTAACGGAAATGATTTATATTAAGCCTTAAATAGACTGTTAAAAAGACGTAACTTGAAGGGGCCAAATTTATGAAGTGACTTCAAAAATACTATCTAAACAGTCAGAAATCCAGCCTAATAAAAAGACATTTTTTAGAAAGTAAAAAGAAAACGTGATATATAATGAACTCTTAATATAACTTCCTGTATAAATAACTATGTTAACTTTCCATCCTACCTCCTAGTATTTGTGATGCTGTGGCACTCTCTTCAATTGATGTTTTGCTAGGTGCAGTAGATTTACAATTTTATTTTTAAAGCCGCTGCCTATGGCACACAGCTCTATTCTAAATAGCATGTGTTGCAATTATAAGCCAACTCATTAAACATTTCACTAGAAATCTGAAAAAATCAGTTTGCCTCACCTGTGACATTAGGATCACGCCTTGTTCTCCACTGAGGGACAAATACAGTGATGTTTCTGTTGCCAAGCTTCCAAAAATATTCAACTGCAATTGCAATTCCACGACAAGAAAAGAACTTTTTCAGACCATGGCTAGAAATTACAAAGTAAAGAAAATAAGTAAAGTTTATTTCTGTTTAAAGCACAGTAAGTTTCACCATGAAAAGTTAACATACACATACAACAAACAGTAAGAACAAAGTTTCCTTTAATATTCTTACATTTTTGGCATTTAGTTGCACAAAGTTAGGATGGAACCCACTGTAGGGGACAGAACTCTTAATAGTGTCTTAGGATTTTTCTCACATTTTGTTAATCTAACTGGGTGTGTTGTTATGATAGAAAGCAGTGAGCTCCATGGTAATACTTGTTCCCTGTGACAGAAGAAAGGGACAAAGATGTGACATGGTCATAACCCCTGCAACCTCCGAAGATGCTGCTGTGTCCTGTCCCAGGAGGGCTCCACTCTTTTTAGGGAATGGCTATATTTACCCAGTTTACAGCTTACGAGAAACACGTTGAGGGCAAGACTCAAATGAAACTAATGGGGGGCCGTGAAAGGCTATTTTAAGAATGCAGAAAGCAGGGAAAAAAGGTAAAAAAAAAAAAAAATTAAAAGAACAGCAACAACAACAACAACAATGAACAGTAGAGAACACAGGTTAGCACACTTTTTCTGTTAAGAGCCACACAGTCTCTGTCATACCACCCAACTCTGAATGTGAAAACAGCCACAGATAACTGTAAGTGAATGTGTGCGGCTATGTTCCACATTTACAAAAACAGGTGGGCGGGCCTGATTTGGCCCATAGTTTACAATCCTTGGTATAGAGGATTAAAAAATGCCCACCCCTCCATCCATAACACATTTCAACGGAAAGGAAGAAAGTACTTAAATTTTACTCTCCAGCAGTTAATTAAACGTGGAGATAAAAAAGTGTTAAAAGTTTAAAATTCTGCAGGTGGTAATTTGTCTACTCATGGGTATTAGAAAGAAAAAAAGACTAAAATCTCAAACTGTGATGCTGTAGTTTATGAGATTAGCATAATCTATGTTCACTGCTTCAATGGTCACTTAGATTCCAGCGACAATACTCCCTGCATCTTCAGTCCTATCTTCTCTCCATGTCTAATGCTGCATGCCAAAACTGCTCTGTAGAAATACTTCACTTGAAAGTCCTGCCATGATGGGCATATGTGTCCCGAGTTAAACCCAGGCTCTCCTAATTCCAACCTACCCTGCAAATTCCAGTGAAACTAACTTTTAAATGCAGCCCAAGGCCTTTGATTCTGCTCAGGGCCTTCAAAGGCACTGTCCTACACTAATCCTGCCTGGCTTCCAGGACCCCTCCTCGTCTGACTCGTCAGAAAGGATCTGGCCAAGTGACCCTCCCACTACCATGAGACAACCCTCTTGGTTTTGGCCAGGTCTTGCTATCTCACCCCTCCCGGTCTCTGAGCCTTTCCTTATGTTGCTTTCTATATGTGTGATGCTCTTGCACCTTTCCTTGCTCCTTCTTCAAATGCCCTCAGGACTGAATGGGCTGAATTCTGGCCCGTCTTCTTCTATGAAGTTATTTCTAGACACAGGGCCTCTCTCAGCCTCCTTCCTCTTCTGAGTTCCAATCCTGTATGGTGCACGAGAATCACAGAGATAGAATGGCATTATGCCTGTTAGAAAAAGGAGTCACTAGGGAAAGAGCAGCCTGCCTGGGTTGCAGAGCCAGGGGGATGAGCTGGATCATACTCCGGCTTCCTCACGCCTGCCCTTTCCACGACCCCACAGTGGGACTGTCACCCCACCTGCATGTGCGTTCCTTGAGAGCAGGAAGAGGCTGGACACTTCACGAACATCTAATGCTCTGTGAGATTCACAAGAGCTACGCACAGACTCCTCTTTTTAAAGGCTATTTCTTTTTCAGTGAACCATAAATAAGATATTTCAGAGGCTCTTACCCCAGAAAATATATGTAAATAAACACACGCAATCTTGATAATTCAGGAGTGCTTTGTTTATCTAAAGGCATTCAAATATGGCAAGAAGGTAACAAAGTGACATTTTTAACTAGAAAAAAGACTGGGGGTGGTTCTTTAAAGGGGGCCTCTTTTAATCTTCCAAAAACAATAAATCATCCATCACTCTAATTGCTTAACAGCAGGGACATGCCCAGAGTTAACATCAACCACAGCCCTAATTTGAAAATCCACAACAGAACAACCTGCTGGTTCTTAGAAAAACCAAGAAATATGTATATTTAGTCCTCAAAAGGATAACCCTTGAGATAACTGCACTGAAAAGGTTTTTAAGGTGGCTCCCTGATTACTTTGACAGATACAAATGTGTGCTACCTACTCTCCCTCTTTTCCTTAAAGCTTCTAGTGATGGCAAGAGGAGGAACTGGATAGAGGAGGAGTACCCAGTTCAATTCCACTGGGTCACTATGTAACAAGGAAGGAAATGCAGACCGATGAATTCTGCTGCCCTGGACTCCTTACAAGTCTAGAGGGGGAACAGATGGAGGTTCTAGAAACATCAGCTCTCAACTAAATTCCAAAGTGTTATTCTCAGTAATAAGATCATATCACTTTTGATACTCTAAAAAAATCTCAGGAATGGAATTAAAATAGAGGTTCAAAATTCTGGTGGAGAACATACAAATTTACCCAAAAAATAAAACTACAATGACAAAAAATTAAGTGAAGCCAAATTATTGTCCTCAAAATAATACAGAGGGTCGATTAAGGACCCTTCTTCCTACTTCAAGTCCTATACCCTGAGCAGGCAGACATGTGCTTACTCATCACTGTCTCCTAGCCTCTCTGCAATCAAACCAGAGTAGCATGTTGACAGGTAAACCCAGACCAAAGGTCTATTTCGACCCAAAGTATATATATAATAACACCTTGCTACTTATGGGAAGGCCAAAGCTCTGGGGCTCCCAGTTCCAAATGCAGAATGAACAGTTATCAAGTCTGGGAGGCCAGGTGTCCAGGCCCTCAAGACATTTAAATGCCTGCTTCCATATAATTGGTTAAAGGTTATATCATCTGGTTGTTTGCCATATTATAGAATGCTGGCAACTAAAAGAAAGTGTCCAAAGTGGAGGAGAGATGGGTGACACACAGCTGATAAAAACTCATGGCAGCCATAGCACCAGACAGGGCAGTGTGGGGACAATGGAAAGTCCTTTCTGAGTTACCCAGGAAAAAGCGATTTCTTTTTATGGAACCCTAATATGGAAAAGACTAGTATGGAAAAAAAAATGGCTAAAATACTTAATTCTGGCAAGGGAAGGGGCAAACCCCATCTACATGGAAAACTATCACCCCATATGTCAGGGGCTCTCATGCTGAAGTTTCAGGCTGACAGAGCCCAAATGTTTCTTGGCCACTACTGTGCTGTCTAGCCATACACCACAAACAATTTCCACTTACTCATCATTTGACTCATTCATGGTGACAAGGGGGCAAGAACAAGGTATACAAAATTGGCAGCATTAAACAGGGTACTGTGGAGGTTTTCATGGTGGTATGGGCTGCAGACCTCATTCTGGATAGGCAAATGAACAAAGGCTTTACAAAAATACATCGAAGGGTGGGCCTAGGCTGCTTTAGGGTGGGGCTCACACCAACAGATCCTATTGCTTAAGGACCAAATAAGTACTTCCCCAACTACTTGGGTCAAATCAGTGAGCTTTAGTCAGCAGTGCTATGCAACCCAAGACTTAAGTATCCAATGATGCGTTGGCCTGAAAATTCCAACCTTAACTTCTGCTGGAGGAGAGAGGGTATACAGCAGCTCTGGGGAAAGACATTATGGGCCCAAATCTCTATCCATGTAACCCTGGAAAACATTTTTAAGCCACTTCATGTTGTATAAATTATAACTTTTGACTCACAATTGGTGTGAAGGTTGCATTTTTAAAAATACAGTGCCTGACACATAATAATGGGTGATTCGGCTTTAAAATCTCAAATATTTGTTGCATTAAATATATGGCCTCAGTTAAAAATCTAAACTGGCCACTGGAATAGTAACCATGAAGTTACAAATAGGTAGTAAAAAGCCACTAAAAAAATCCTAAACTGGGCATGGTAAGGCATGCCTATAGCCTCAGCTACTAGGAAAGATTGCCTGAGCCCAAAAGTTTGAGTCCAGCCTGGGCAAAATAGTGAGACTTTACCTCTTAAAAAAAGAAAAATTCTAATTTGCCTTTAATTCATCAACAAGTTTTTACTGAGCTCCTACTATGTGTCAGGGACTATGGGTATTAGAGGTAGTTCACTGAACAGAAGAAACACAAATCAGTTTCTTCATGGAATCTAGTCAAAGTTTATTCACACTTAACATTGAAGCAACTGATTTAAAATAAGGGCTGATTTTTTTCCAACTTCCAAAAAAAATTGAGGTAAAATTCACACGACTAAAATAATCAATTCAATGGCATTTACTACGTTCGCAATGCCGTGCAACCACCACTTACATCTAGTTCCAAAATGTTTGTCACTCCAAAATAAAACTCTATACCCATTACGCAGTTTCTTCCTAGAATATGGGTAAATCTTAATTACTGATATTTTCAGATCAATTTACATCAAATTAAGTACAAGTCTGTCTTCTTAAAGTAACACATTCTCTTGTAAAAGTATTGCCTTTAAACAGAGACATCTGTGAATCCAAAGAAAATGTAAATCCTCCCAAAACAATCAGTTTTCCAAAAAAAAAAAAAAAAGAAGAAATAAAAAAAGAAAGCTTGCAGCTTTCCCTTAGTGTAATAATTGGTGGTTTTCAAAAGAGATGATACTGTACTCAGGGCATTAGGAAATATGTAGGAGTGTGTTTGAGGTGTCACAACGACTGGGGAAGGATATTATAAGCAAAGTGGGAGGGACTAGATTTGCAAAACATCCTGTCACGGATAGGCAGCACCACTCTAAATTCCAACAGTGACCCTGCTGAGAAATATGCCTGTTAACTACCCCAAAAGGTTTATAAAAAGCATCAGGATCGCTGCTCATTCTACGTTAACCTTGCATTTCTTATTTGGAAAATCCTTCCACATATAGAAAAGTGAAAGAGGATGAGAATTGCTCACAATTGTGACCTAAATTTTGTGTCACGAGTTGGCTCAAGAAATCGTAACAATGAAGAACTTGTTCCGGGCTTGGGGTGTGGGTGACTGAAGTGACATTTTTGCTTAGATATCGCTATGCAGCTGCGGATCATTTGCTGGGTTTCCCCTAACAGGGCTGCCAAAAAAACCAAAGTGAAATGACAATAAACAGTATTATTTGGAAATGAAGATAAGCATATTGCATATTTTTGCTGCCTGTCTTCAAACTTTAACATCTGAAATGATGACATTTTCTTTTTGACAGCAAAACACAGCTTCGATAATTCATTCAAATAATAAAAAGCAGAAGAATCCTTATATTTTAAAAAATACATATTAAAATATTTATGACCATATATCTGAGATTTCCTTCAAAATAATAGGGGTGGAAAGAAGAAGTAAGGGCTAGGATGAAACAAGACTGATCACGAGCTGGTAATTGTTGAAGGTGGGTGATGAACCCCTGGGAATTCATTATCTTATCTTATGTATTTGAAAATCCTAATAAAAAATTTACAAAACAAAAAATTACAAATATACTATAAACATATATTTCAAAAATAACATTTATTTTTCAATCCTAATAGGTATTCTTAAAAACTCAGGGCATTTACTGATCTTTCAGAACTCCTAAAAAAGAAGTTACACAAACATTCAGCAATTCAGAAAAGTATTTTTAAGATTTGGCAACTTCTCTCTCATTCCATGTCCAGGTGTCCTGTTTCTTGAATTGCGGCTACTTAAAATGCCAGACCTTGAATATTTCTTCAAAAATCAATGGTGTTAAATTAAATTAAATTTGGCCTAAAGGTGCCTCCATACATAGTGACCTGCAACCTTAGTATGTGAACAAATGGCAACCTAAGAGTATTCTTGTAAAAAAAAATGGCTGAGTCTCAGCCAATCACAGCAGCCAAGCTTCAGCCAATCACAGGCTGCCAATTGTTCAGACCACTTCTACATAAGGCAAATGCCTCATCACAGGATGCCTGGATAAGGCAAATGCCAACCCGTAGGTAATCAAGCTGTTTCTGCAGGGCAATTCCCTTTTCTGCCTATAAATACTGCCAGCCCTCATTGCTGGGTGAAGCTCTCTGAACCTCTCCTGGTTCAGGGTGCTGCCAGATTCGTAAATCATTGTTCGTGCAGATCAACTCTGCTAAATGTAATTTGCCCTAAGTTTTTCTTTTAACAATGGGGTGACTGGTTTTGAAAACTGAAGGCAGACTTTACATAGTTGTTGAAATGATATGGTAAAGATGTCCTTAAGGACAGGTCAGAAGGCAACAGATTGCAGCAACTGAAACTCCGAACAGTTAAGTGACCTGCCCCAAATCAAACAGCTGGTCCACAGTGCAGGGAGGCTCTTGACCCTCACACTCTCCTTAGCCACGATCTTAAACTGCCCCTTAGAAAAAAAACCCAAGCGTACAGGTTTCAAATCAGAGGATTTTCAACTAAGAGGAGTTCCAAGACAGGCTAACTAGAAACAACAGGTTCATTAAATGATGTCTTTTACTAAAAACAAATATTATAAACTTTTAGTAAGAGCAGAGGCCCACAGTGAAGCTCAAAGTGACTACTTTTGAAAGGAAATTGCCATTGCTCTATCCACAGAAATACATCACACCTGTTACCACTGCACACTCTTGGCTAGAGATCAGGCATACTCCAGCATAATAAGATAAAAAAAAATCCTTTTGCTTTAAGCTGTGTTCTCTTATTTAGATTAGAACATAATGGTACTCACAATATTAAGAATTTAATGACTTAAAAGTCACTATACTACATATCACTGAGCAATGCAACGTGAAAAGATAATTTTCTATCCTCTCTTGCCCTTAGAAATTAAGTTCAGCAGGGTGAAGTAAAGTTCATGAATCCAGAAGATGGACTGACAAAACCTTTCCAACCAGTTGGTTCCCATTCCCCTCCACCATCCGACCCTAAGGCTACAGATCAACTATATACAACATGTATGTATAGTTCCCATATACATGTGATTCTGAGACACCATTTAGAGCCCTATTTAAAATAAAATAATCTGCAGAGAATGGACTTACGTAATTGCAACATTGCTCCCATCTATAACAATGTGTTTCAAATCCGTTCTCCCTGGTTCATTTTTTAATTCCAGCTTGTAGGGTATTTTTAGAGTATCTCGAAACCTTTGAACCCCAGTAACTGAGGAATCAATATGATCAGAAGGTCCTGCCGACCTTGCATCAGTAACCGAAGGTAACAGCTGGGGCAGTGGCATTGGTGGAGAAAGGGTTGAGCAATTTGGCTTAGAATGAGGAGAACTACAACATCCTAAACGTTTTTCACAGGCAGATTTCATATTATTTGGAAGCAAGGGTTCTGGCTGCTGGTGTAAACCATTTTCAGGAAAAAGTGGAACTCTGGGCTGGTGACTTGAAGCTCCCCTTGAAACAAAATTGACTTCTTTGGGACTTGGAGAGGCAACAGAAGGTGAAAGGCCATCAGTTTCAGGGTCTGTGTTACAAATGTAGTTCTGGTTTGAACCCCAGACTTCATGTTTCTGTTCTATTGGCACTGTTCTGAAAGTATTAATTCTACAATTTGAGGTACATGGTTTAGCTTCCACTTTGAATGGTAACTGAGAAAATTTTTCTACCATATTTTGCTGTGTGTGAGCCTGTGTTTTCTTTGGAGTGGAATCAGTTGTAAGCTCATTTGTGCTGCTATAAACACCTTTATTTTTGGTTTTGTTGGTCTCTGGATACACTGTACCAGCTGAAAATTCTCTGTCTTCTTGGAATCTTTTATTTTCTTTTTCAATTTCCTCTAAGAGCAATAATGGTTCAGTAGATGGTCCATACACCTTAATGACCTTTTCAACAATTTCTTGGGAGTAGCCCATGGTTTTAAAAAAGTTTACGAGGATGTTGTATTCCATTTCCTCAGTAGTTTCTTTTATATCTGGACTTAAATTTTCAGAATCAGCAGAAGAATCAGATAGGTCAGCTATTACATTTCCAGCCAATGTCTTAGCATCGTGTAAAATCTCCCCCTCCTGAACATTTTCCAAAGAAAACTGCTTCTTCGTATGCCTTTCTTCAGAATCAGAAAATCTCCTTTTCTGACAAATTCTCTCATTGGAAAGTGCCTCTTCATCTGGGGTTAGACCATTTATTGGATCAAAAAGCACATCTGGTGAGCTAGAAAGGACTGTGTCCATTTGTTTTGTAAGCTCAGAAACAGGAGTCCCAGCTTTATTTCTTGCCTCTTCCTGCAAAACAGTTTCATCTCTAGAAATATTCAGCCCTGTGGCAGCATTCTGTGTAAACTCTGTTTGTTGAGAATCTCTCATTTCAATAACCTCATCATCTCCTGTTTCAAAGAGATTCTCCTCACCTTGTGTGAGTGTCAAAAGTTCTTTTTTCAAGGAAGTGGGCAAAATCAACAAATCCATTGTGTAATTGTCTGCATGGGCTTCAACAAATTGTTTGAATTCCCTTTTCACCTCTGATTCTTTCTGACTACTGGGTAGGTTCTCTTTATTTTCAAAGAGCTTTACAAATTGTTGAATGTGACTCCTAGCCATGACCACAGCCTCAGCACTTCCTCTGATGCCAAGAAGGCCAATGTCCAGAATGCAGAGGTCAGCACAAGTATCCTGAATCAAGCTTTTCAGAAACAGGCTCTCTGCCCCAACAAAAATGCAGTGCATGTCCTTGGGGTAACATTCTCTTTCTTCTAGTTCAGGTTCACAGATTCCTTTAATATATTCCTGTAAAGAGAAAATAAGAAATTAGGTCAATTTACAAAAGTTCCTTATAGCACATAATAAATTACCATGTAACTACAAATGTCAGGCCGATTTTATAAAAATCACAAGCATGTTTGTAATTTTGAACAAAATGTCATGTTTTAAATAAAACATTGAAAATAACAGATATAACTTGCTTAAACCATCTTTAGAGGAACTGAAAACTCTGCATCCAAATCTAAAAGGTGGGTATTTTGTAACATTTTATGCAATGTGATCTTAGGGATTTGCTGAGCTACACAGTGAATAATCCCAAGGCTGGATTTATTTACATCTCTAATGAAAAGACATCTTTGCTTGCTACCAGTAATTTATTACTTCCATGACATAATCAAGAGATAAGATAATCAAATCAAGTGATTGACTACAGAACAAATCTTGACTTTTGCTACTATTACCCTTGGTTTCCAGATTTCTTGAAGGTATAAAAGAATAACATTAATTTTTTTTTTCAAAGCAAAAGCAAGTTTATTAAGAAGCAAGAATAACATTAATAAAAAATTTTTTTCCAGCTGGTTGAAACAATCTATATCCTGTATGATTTTCTGTCTGTTTTCTAAAGAAAACCAGACTGTTAAATTAAATGCAGATCTAACAGAACAAGTGAATGCTGGACAGTATTGGTGTTCTCAGATGTTGGTATTGAAATAAAAAATTTAAAAAAAAAAGTTTTCTTTTAATTTAGCCTGGGCAACATGGTGAAACCCCATTTCTACAAAAAATAAGCTGGGAATGGTGGTGTGTGCCTATAGTTCCAGCTACTTGGGAGGCTGAGATGGGAGGATCGCTTCAGCCCAGGAGACTGAGGCTGCAGTAAGCTGAGATCATGTCACTGCATTCCAGCCTGGGCCAAAGAGCGGGACCCTATCTCTAAAAAAAAATTTTTTAAATTTTTAATTGACAAATAATGATTGTATATATATATATAATTTTTTTTTTTTGAGATGGAGTTTTGTTCTAGTCACCCAGGCTGGAGTGGAATGGCGCGATCTCCCAGGTTCAAGCGACTCTTCTGCCTCAGCCTCCCAAGTAGCTGGGATTACAGGCATGTGCCACGACACCTGGCTAATTTTGTACGCTAGATGGGGTTTCACCATGTTGGCCAAGCTGGTCTTGAACTCCTGACCTCAGGTGATCCCCCTGCCTCCACCTCCCAAATTGCTGGGATTACAATTAGTTGCTACTGATTGAAACAGTCTATATCCTATGATTTTTTTGTCTGTTTTCTAAAGAAAATCAGACTGTTAAATTAAATGCAGATCTAATAGAACAAGTGAATGCTGGCGTGAGCCACTGTGCCTGGCTGATTGTATATATTCATGGGTTACACAGGGAAGTCTCAATACATATAATAATGTATAGTGATCAGAACAGGGTAATTAGCATATCCATTTCAAACATTTAGCATTTCTCTGTGTTGGGAGCACTCTATATCCTCCTTCTAGCTATTTGAAACTATATATTATTGTTAACTGTAGTCATTCTACAGTGATATGGAACACTAGAATTTATTCTCCCCAGGGAGCTGTAATTTTGTATCTATTAACAAATCTCTCCCTATCCTTCCTAGTCTCTAGTAGCCTTCTATTTTCTAATTGTTTTTTTACTGTTGAGTTTTGAGAGCTCTTTATATATCCTAAGAGTCTTTTGTCAAATATGTGGCTTGCAGATATTTTCTCCTGGTCTGTAGTTTGTCTTCCCATCCTCTTAACAGGGTGTTTTGTGACAGCAAGTTTTTACTTTTAAGGAAGTTCGGTTTTTAGATTTTATTCTTCACCAAGCCTGGGGTACTGAAGACCTCTCCAATGTTATCGTCTAAGTTTTACATTTAAACCTATGATCCATTTTTAGTACATTTTAAAAGAAGGTGTGAGGGTTAGCTTGAGCTTCACATTTTTGCCTATAGGTATAATATTGCTCTAGCACCATTTCTTGAAAAGGCTATTCTTTCACTACTGAATTGCACTTTTGTCAAAAAATCACTTTGCCATACTTGTGTGGAACTACTTGTGAGTTCCCTATTCTGTTCCAATCTGTGTAAATCTATCCCTTCATCAAGACCACACCGTTTTGATTACTGTAACTCTATAATTTCTTAAAATTGGGTAATGATTTGCTCCCTCTTTATAATTTTTAAAATTGCTTTAATTATTCCAGTTCCTTTGTCTTCCCATACACATTTTAGAATAATTTTGTCTGTGTCTGCAAAATATCTTGCTGGAATTTTATCAGCAATTGTGCTGACAATTATGTGTCAGCAAGTGACATGAATCTGAGCATAACTGACATCTGCTGAGTCTCCTGATCCATGAACCTGGTATTTCTCTCCATTTATTTAGATTTCATTTGCTTTCTTTCATTAGCCTTTTGAGTTTTGAGAATACAAATCCTGTACATGTTTTGCTAGATTTCACGTTTTAAGAATTTTATTTTTCTGAGTGATTGTACAGTGTTGTACTTTAAATTTTGGTTTCTATGTGTCCACTGTTAGTATATACAAATATAATTGATTTCTGTATGTTAATCATGTATCTTGAAACCTTCCTGAACTCACTTATTCCTATTGAAAGTTCAAGGATCTGTGTGTATGTGTAGTTTCCTGGGGAATTCCTACACAGACAATTGTATCATCTACAAATATTTCTTCTTTTCTGATTTATATGCCGTTTATTTTCTTGCCTTATTGCAGTGGCTAGAAGTACAGCACTATGTTGGCGAGCAGTGGTGAGACTGGGTATGCTTGCCTTGTTAATGATCTACAGGGAAGCACTCAATCTTTCTCACCATTAAGAATGATGTAACAGGGAAAGTTTTTACCAACGTTCTTTATCACATTGAGGAAGTTACCTATTCTCTAGGATCATGAATATGGATGGGTGTTGAAATTTGTCAAATGCTTTACTCCATCAATTGATATAATCCTGTGATTATTTTTCTTCCTAAGCCTGTTAATATGGTTGGTTACATTGACTTCTGAATACTGAACCAGCCTTGCATCCCTGGAATAACCCCTACATGATTATGGTGTATAATTCTTTCACATATTGCTGAATTATATTTGCAAATATTTTGTTAAGAATCTATACGGACTCTGGTCTACAGTTTTCCTTTTTGGTACTGTTTTTGTCTGCGTTTACCATCAGAGTAATACAGGCTATACATGAGTTAGAAAGTGTTCTCTCCTCTTGCAGTTCTTGGAAGAGACTGTGTAGAATTGATGTTCATTCTTTTTTAGACATTTTGTAGAATTCTCCAGTGAAACAACCTGGGCCTGGAGATTTCTTTTATAGGGGTTCAAAAATTATCAATTCGATTTCCTTAATAGACAATTTTGAATAGCCTTATAGCTATTTCATATGAAGTGAGTCATGGCAGTTTGTGCCTTTTGAGGAATTGGTCCATTTCAACTAAGTCATCAAATTTATGTATGTAGAGTTGTTTGTAGTTTTCTTATCTTTTTGATGTCTGCAAAGACACCCTGGTTTCATTCCTGATATTAGTAGTTTGCAGCTTCTCTCATCTTTGTTAGTGTTGCTAAGAGACTTGTTGATTTTATTGATCTTTTCAAAGAACAAGCTTTCATTTCACTGATTTTCTCTATTGTCAGTGTTTTCAACTTCATTAATTTCTGCTCTTTATTATATTTTCCTTCTGCTTGCTTTGGGCTTATTCTGCTCTTCTTTTTCTAGTTCCTTGAACCTTAAATTATCAAGACTTTTCTTTTCTTTCTTTTATTATTATTATAGAGGCAAGATCTTGCTATGTTGTCAAGGTTAGTCTCAAACTCTGGGGCTCCAGCAATCCTCCCACCTTGGCCTCCCAAAGTGTTGGGATTTCAGGCATGAGCCACTGGGCCCAGCCTCTTCTTTTCTAATGTAAGCATTTAAGTGGCAGAAGTTTCCCTTTCAGCACCGCTTTAGTGGCATCCTGAAACTTTGATATGCTGCATTTTCATTTAGTTCAATATATTTTTCAAAATTTCCCTTTGACTCGTAAATTTAGAAGTGTTACTTAGTTTTTAAGTTTTTGAAGATTTCCTGCTATCCTTCTGTTGGTGATTTTTAGTTGGATCTCTTTGTGGTCAAAACACTGTATGATTTCAATTATTTTAAATTTATTGAGCACTGTTTTGTAGCCCAGGATAAGGTCTATCTTGATAGTTCTATGGGTGCTCATAAAGAATGTGTACTCTGATGTTGTTGAGTGGGATGTTTTATAGATGTGTATTAGAACCTGGCTGGTTGATGGTGGTGCTGAGTTCCTCTAGATCCTCATTTATTTTCTGTTTAATGGTTCCATCAACTGTTGAGAGAAGGGTGTTGAAGTCTCCAACTGTAACTGTGGATTTATCAAGTTCTCCTTTCAGTTCTGCCAGTTTTTGGTTCACATATTTTGCAGCTCTACTGATAGGAATATAAAGATTTAGCACTGTTACATAATGTCTTCTTGAATTGACCCTCTTGCCATTATGTAGTGTCTCTCTTAATCTCTGGTAACTTTCTTTGCTCTGAAGGCTACTGATAGTAATATTGACAATCCAGCTTTCTTTTAAATAATGTTTGCATGGCACATGTCTTTCCTCCTCCTTTTACATTTTACTTACCTGTAATATTTGAATTCAGTTTCTTGAAGACACCAGATAATTTCATTATATGTTTTTAATCCACTGACGGTGCCTGTCTTTTAATTGGAGTGTTGATTTACATTTAATGTAATTATTGGCAAATCTGTCTACCATTTTACTTGTTTTCTGCTTGCTTCCTATATTTGATTCCTGTTCTATCTTGCCTTCTTTTGCATTATACAAACACTTAGTATAATAATTTACCTACTGCATTTTTTTCTTTGTGAGACAGAGTCTTGCTCTGTTGCCCAGGCTTGAGTGCAGTGGCACGCAGATCTTGGCTCACTGCAACCTCCATCTCCTAGGTTCAAGCGATTCTTGTACCTCAGCCTCCTGAGTAGCTGGGATTACAGGTGCACACCACCACACCTGGTTAATTTTTTGTATTTTTAGTAGAAACGGGGTTTTGCTATGTTTGCCAGGCTGGTCTCGAACTTCTGGGCTCAACTGATCCACCCACCTCAGCCTCCCAAAGTGCTGGGATTACAGGTGAGAGCCACCATGCTCGGCCCCTACTGCATTTTTATCTATATCTCTTCATATAGTTTTTAAGTGGTGATGCCACTGATTACAACATTCTTTTCACAGCCTACTTATCATCAATATTCTATCATTTCATAAAACTATACCACTTATATTAATCATGTTTCTTATTTTCTATATGATGTTTTGACATCTTGGGGGACCTTTCAGACCATGAGAGAGGCTGCCCCTTCCAGAGCCAGCTAATTCCTAGGGGTGGTCCCCAGCTTGTCTGGAGAATGCCTTTTAGGTGTAGACTGCTTGACCCAATGCTATGCTCCCTCTCATCTCTTAAACTCTCACATACCAAGCCAATATTTCCCCTGCACTAAATCAACCTAAGGCCAGGTACCAGACAACCAGAGACAGTCCCTACAGAGCCTATGAGAATTATTCAAACTATCTAATCCTAAACTGTTTACCTCACCCTGCCTTCCCTTTCCCACAGAAGCCCCAATAAAGTCTCTGGCTTAGGCTTTCCTCTGGCCTGCTTCTGCCTCCTGACCAAACCCTGATGCTTTCCCTGTGGTCCTGCATGGCATGGCATGTCCCCTTCTCTCAGCAAATGTAAGTAGTAAATTCTTTCACTGGCACTGACCCGTGTTGTCACCTCCATAAATTCAAATCCCGTTGGTAAAAATTTTAGGACACCAGCATACTAGTTTCTTTATTCCTGGGTTCCTTTCCTCTCTCCCAATGTTAGGTTACAGTGATCTCATACATTATATTTACATGCATTTGAAACCCCATCAGACAACATTATAATTTTTCTTTCAATGTATGAAACTCATTTTAAAGAAATCAAGAGGAGAAAGTAACCTATTACATTTACCCAGATATTTACCATTTATATCTGAAGAACTTTCCTTAGGAGAATACCTAAGGAATAGACTGTTCAGTGTAGACTATGGGCAATAATTTATCTTTAGTTTTTCTTCAACTGAGAATGCTTTATTTCATTTTCATTCTTGAAGGATAATTTCACTGGATAGAGAATTCTGGGTTAACATTTTTTTCTTCCCCAGCAAACTGAGAATAGAAGAAAATGGGTTAACATTTCTTGTCTTTCATCACTTAAAAAATATTGTGCCACTTTCTTCTGTCCTTCGCAGTTTCTGATAAGTCACAGTCATTTGAATTGTTGTTCCTCCACATGTGGTATGCTTTTCTCTGGATGCTTGCATGATTTTTACGTTCTCAGTTTTCAGCAGTGTGCTTTCGATGTGTCTGGGTGTGCAAATCTTTGGGTTTATTCTGGTTGTGTTCCGTGAGCTTCTTGAATCATCATGTTTATATCTTTTGCCAAACTTGAAATGTCTTCAGCAGTTATTTCTTCAAATACTTTTTCAGCATCACATGCTTTTGCCATTTGGTTCCTCTATCTTCTATTTCTTTGCTGAAACTTACTTTTTCTAATGGTTTTAAGAGTATTTGGGATTGCCTGTGGAGTGTTTTCAGTTGCCGGTTGAATATTTCAGTCTTTTGTCAAATAATTGCAACATCTATGTCATCTCAGCACTGCTGTCTTTTCCTATAAGAGTTGAGATTTTCCTACCCCTTTATATGCCAATTTTGAATTATATCCATTTTGAACAATGCAAAATTACGTTTTGAAACCTTCAATCTTGTTTAAATCTTACAAATACTGAAACTTTTGTTTTAGCAGATAGTTGACGTAATTAGATTCAGGCTGCAAGCTGCAACCTGTCTTCTGAGCTGTGGTTCCAATATCAGTTCAGTTTTCAAAGCCCTGCAATGCTATTATTTAATTTTTATTTTTGAGACAGGGTCTTGCTCTTGTCACCTAGGCTGGAGTGCAGTGGTGCCATCATAGCTCACTGCAGCCTCAACCTACTGGTTCAAGTGATCCACCCTCCTCAGCCTCCCAAGTAGCTGAGAACACAGGCACATGCCACCACGCCTGGCTAATTTTTGTATTTTTTGAAGAGATAGGGTTTCTCCATGTTGCCCAGGCTGGCCTTGAACTCACCGCTGGGCTCAAGCAATCCACCTGCCTTGGCCTCTCAAAGTGCTGGGATTATAGGCATGAGCCACCATGCCTGGCCTGCAATGCTATATATCTATCCCACATGTATGCCACTGTGTAGCCATTCTGGGACTTGGATGGTGGTCTTTTTGTTAATTCAATTCTCAAAAGCCTTTCTTATGCTGATGAGGAACAGATCCATGCACGTGTACCTTGGGGATGAGCCAAGGGGATCATGAACAACTTCGTGGCTCACTTTCCTGAACTCCTCCCTCTCTGCCATCTACCTGGTGCTTTCTGGTTTCCTGGGGCTCTCCCTTTGGTCCTCCACCTAGAAAGATGGGGCTTTTAATTAACCCACTGCCTTGTACCTCTGCAACTGGGCTTGGATCCAGCTAGGACACACAGAGAGAAAAATCAATGGAGACCACAACTCCAATTAGAGAGAAAGGTTCTCCTACGTTGGAATTTTGGTTCCTGCAAGCTTCGATTGCCACCACATGATTACTTGGGGCTGGGTTACATGAGAATAAAGAAGAAAAAAAAGGGGTGGGGGTGGGCTCACTCTCGGTTTTAGATGTTTCCTTTTCTGTCCCTTGGGCTGAAACCAGAAGGCTTTTCCTGGTGTGTCCTGGTGCCCATTTCCACTTCCAGGTGGAGCTGTGTTGTGTTCATGCTGGAGGATTAATGAGGGGAACAAATGGTAAACTCACTGCTGGTTTGGTGATACTTTTTCTTTTCTTTTTTGAGACGGAGTCTCACTCTGTAGCCCAAGCTGGAGTGCAGTGGCATGATCTCGGCTCACTGCAAACTCTGCCTCTGGGACTCAAGAAAATTCTCATGCCACAGCCTCCTGGGTAGCTGGGACTACAGGCACGTGCCACCATGCCCAGCTAATGTTTTGTATTTTAGTAGAGATGGGGTTTCACCATATTGCCCAGGGTGGTCTGGAACTCCTGAGCTCAGGTGATCCACCCATTTCGGCCTCCCAAAGCGCTGGGATTACAGGCATACGCCACTGCGCCCAGCTGGTGGTACTTTAAATTCTGGTCTTTGTTCTAAATCTGCCTGCTATTATTTATTTTTCAGGGCCCTCAAATAGTTGCTGTATGCATTCTGCCCGGGTTTTACTGCTGTATTCAGTAGGACTGACAGGGTGGAGTATGCTTACTCTTTTTTTTAAATTGATATAATATTCAGCAATCTTGCTAAACTTTTTTTGAGATAAGAGTCTCACTCTGTCACCCAGCCTGGAGTGCAGTGGCACTGAGTTCAAGTGATTCTCCTGTCTTGGCCTCCCGAATAGCTGGGATTACAGGTGTGTGCCACCTCACGTGGCTAATTTTTCTATTTTTAGTAGAGACAGCGTTTCACCATGTTGGCCAGGCTGGTCTAGAACTCCTGGTTTCAAGGGATCCTTCTGCCTCGGCCTCCCAAAGTGCCGGTATTAAAGGCGTGAGCCACTGTGCCTGGGCAGCTTACTCTATCTTATCCAGAACTGGAAACTTCTTGCCTGTTAATGTAAGTGATGCTGCCCATCCAACATGAGTAAGTGAATAGATGAATTCACATGGGTCAAATACTATTGAGATTACTGTGCAGACACTTGGATAAGGAAAAGTTGATCATATCTCCTCCGTGGGCCACCAGCAACAACCAGCCAAGCTGAAGAGGAGAGATTTATTCTCCAGATGAAAGACCCTCAAAACAAATGCTCCCTCAAAAGGGGCTATTGCTATATCTGACCCAAGATAGAGCCCACCTAATGACAGATTCTGCCCAGATACAGAGCTTCCATTTCAGATTTAGTGTCAAACATCAAAAGCACCCACGCTGGAACAAAGGCCTGAATACAAAAGATGGAAACCAATTAAGCAGATCACATGGAGAACTGCAGGAAACTAGGTAATGCAGGTCACAAAAGAAAACCTTCACAAAATTTTAGTAAGTGGTTTCAAACAGATATAAGATGAGACTGAACCCACAGAACAGGAATCAGGATGCTAAAAGAAGGGAAAGGAAGGAAGAAAAAGAAGAGGAAAAGGAAAGAAATCAGAATAGAAATGTGGGCAAATTAAGAATATGATGGCAAAAATAAGAATCAATAGAAAAACTGAAAGACAAAGGGGAAGAAACCTTTCTAAAAGTACCATGAAAACAAAGAAACGGGAAAAATAAGGAAAGAGGCCTTAAAGGTCCACCTAGGATATCCCAAATCCAAATAACTAGCATTTCAAAAAGAGAATGGCAATTAATACAGAAGTAACATAAAATCATTTCCCAGAACCAGAATACACAGGAAGCCTGGGTGAGGTCACGAGCCTCTAATCCCATCACTTTTGGAGGCTGAGGTAGGTGGATCACTTGAGGCCAGGAGTTTTGAGACCAGCCTGGGCAACATGGAGAAACCCCATCTCTATAAAAAACACAAAAATTAGCCAGGCATGGTGGCATGTGCCTGTAGTCCCAGCCACCCGGAGACTGAGGTGAGTGGGTCACTTGAGCCCAGGAAGTCGAGGCTGCAGTGAGCCATGTTTGCACCACTGCACCCCAGCCAAGGTGATAGGGTGAGACCCTGTCTCTAAATAAATAAATAAAATACATAAGAACTCAAGCATAATTAGTGGAACAATTACAACTTTCTTGGAACGAAAGGACAGAAACATCTTGAAAGGGAAAACAAAATACCTAGGCATGATTATTTTCAAAAGTCCCACAAGAAAAATCCTGGGAGCAGGGTGGGAACAGGACATACAAAAGAATGACAGTAAGAATGTCACAAATTATCAAAAGCAATTCTGGATGATGGGGGAGGGGGGACAGGCAGGCAGTAATGTATCCAAAATTCTAAGGGAAGATGATTTTCAATCTATAATTCTATACCTATCCACATTACATATCGCATACAATATAGAATAAAGACCCATAAAATTACTCCTATGGATTCTTTTCTTAGCAAACAGGTATCTGACAATGAAATTCACCAAAATAAGGGAGATGAAATAATTAGTTATACAATCCAAGAGTGGCAACTAGAAGTCCAAACATCATAGCTATGCAGCAGACAAGCCGAGGAACCAGTGGATTGGAGGAGGGAAGAGGATTTTAGAGTTGTTCTCCTCAAAAGGATGCTAAATAGAGATATAAATAAATACTTATAAAGTATTAAGGGTAGATATAAAACACATTTCACAAGTGGATGAAAACAGGGCAGATACAAATTTCAGGAAAGGCTTGGGCGTGGTGGCTCACATCTATAATTCCAGCACTTTGGGAGGCTGAGGTGGGAGAATCACTTGAGCTCAGGAGTTTGAGGCCAGCCTGGGCAATACAAAAAGTTAAAAAATTAGCCGAGCATGGTGGTGCATGTCTGTAGTAGCAGCTACTCAGGAAGCTGAGGTGGGAGGACTTGCCTGAGCCTGGGTACAGGCTGCAGTGACCCGAGATGTGCCACTGCACTCTAGCCTGGGCAACAGAGCAAGACCTTGTCTCAAAAAAAAAAAAAAAGAAAAAAGAAAATTCAGGAAAAAATTAAAAGTTGTACCAAAAAACCCCCATAAATGTAGTACAGTACTTGGCGCTGCACTGGGTAACTAAAAAACATAACTATATTGGAAAAACTGGGATAGTTTTTGTCTCATTTATCTTAAAGAAAGTGAATAATGCCTACAATTGATAAGAAATAGCAGTACAGGCTGGGCACAGTGGCTCACACCTATAAAACCAGCACTTTGGGAGGCCAAGGCAGGCGGATTGTTTGAGGTCAGGAGTTCAAGACCAGCCTGGCCAACATGGTGAAACCCCATCTCTACTAAAAAATACAAAAATTAGTCGGGCATTGTGGCACACAACTGTAGTCCCAGCTACTCAGGAGGCTGAGGCAGGAGAATCACTTGAACCTGGGAGGCGGAGGTTGCAGTGAGCTGAGATCATGCAACTGAACTCCAGCCTGGGTAACAGAGTGAGACTTTGTCTCAAAACAAAAAACAAACAAACAAAAAAAACCCCAGCAATATAGTTGACCCCCAAACAATACAGATAAGGGGTACCGACACTCCCCCAACACAATTGAAAATTCATGTATAACTTTTCGACTCCCTCAAAATTAACTACAAATAGCTTACTGTTGATTAGAGGCCTCACCAATAACAGAAACAGTCAATTAATATAATTTTGTATGTTGAATGTATTATATACTGTATTCATAATAAAGTAAGCTAGAGAAAAGAAAATGTCATTAAGAAATTCATAAGGAAGAGAAAATGTGTTTACTATTCATTAAGTGGAAGTGGATCTTCATGAAGGCCTTCATCCTTACCTTCACTTTGAATAAGCTGAGGAGGAGGGGGATTGGTCTTGCTATTTCAGAGGTGGAAAAAAATCTGCATATAAGCAGACCAGTGCAGTTCAAACCCACGTTGTTCAAGGGTCAACTGCTTATGATTTATAATTCTTTAGGTAACCATCAGAACAAACAGCTAAAAACAATAAAAAATAGTTGCCTCTAGGAAGTTAGGGAGGCTTAGAAGCAAGGAACTGCTGCTGTACACATAAATCTTTTAGTACTACTTGATTTTCTGTTTTAAACCATGCGTATATATTATTTTGGTACACTTCCCACCTTCTACTTTTAATAAAAAAATTTTCAAGTGGATGCATAACATGCTATGATGTGTCGCTGATAGTTTTGGCCCTAATTTTAAGTTTTGCTTGTTTCTTATCTGACATTTGAGATAAGGAATGTCAGCAGTTATGAAATATTGAGTAATTCATCCACAAAACAAACATTTTCTATTACCTCCCTGTTACTTTTCTGGATTAGTTTAATTGAATATTATTATGCAAGAATAGCTGCTTGAAAATGTTAAATCTATAACTAATTGTATGACTTCAAATGTTCTCCATACTATACAACCAAAATAAAACGTAAAATTAAACTGGAGGTTGAGACAGATAACTGCAGAAAGACCAGTGAACAACCTTAATTTTTTGTCATTTTTTAAATGACAATCACAAAACTCCCGACATTTTAATCAACTTAAGTCAGTATTATATATTTGAACTTACAGAAATTTCATACTAGAAAATACTCAATCTGAGGTATTATTTACCAACAAATCCATTGATTTCTCATAGCATATACAACAATCTTTTCACAGAAAGTGATATTCAGGGGAATATGTTCAGACATTGTTTGGGTTACAAAATTAAGTAAGAGTCAGATCCTCTGAAAGCATCACAGAGGGCCAGAGGAGAGCTCCTGGGTCTCCTGTGCTGGAAGTGTGGAAGTACTGGCAAGACTGGCAGAGAAAGGCTGACCACAGACAGAGTTGTCTGACAGTATTCCTCATATAACTAAAACTAGTATTACAAGATGAACTGCATAGTTTTGGGAAAGAGCTGTGCAAAATGCTTATGACTGCTTCACATGCACAAACCCATTTTTTTTGGTGTCCCCAAAACAATTATCCCCTAAGATTCAGATTTCAATAACAACTTACTCTTCTGAAGTACTGAGTAGCAACAACGGATTATTATATTCGAGTTCAGAAGTGAACAATAAAGTATACAGCATTATTAAGTTTGAGATGTTTGGCCACTACTTACACTCATAAGAAAGATAATGCAGTCCAAATATCCATCATTTGAATTGGCTGTACTTGGTATCTGGACATTTTTAATGTTAGTTAAAAATATCTCCCCCATCCTACAATGTTCTTATTCTGTTTTACTTTACTCAGGCTTTTAAGAAAAAAGGGGGAGGGGCATGATATACATGATATATAAGTTAACTTTCTTTTATGTGGTACATGGAATTTGTATTATTCTACCTTTTATAAACTCAGTTTTTCTCAACTCTATCATAACATTTCACAAATCCAGAGAGGAGTTCCCGGCAACTTCTACCATTCAAAACACAGCTAAAACCAGAAATGACCAAAGCAGGGGCTCAAGAGTATGCAGGTTTGACCTGGGGAAATGTTTCTTCACACCACTACTCAGCATCTTGTACTTTTTAGTATTGGCATACACTAAAGGGGCTCGGCCAGCTTCACCCAGGCTGCATATTCTCAGAAGCAGCTGACTCTTAAGTGTAGAAGGGGCAGCACTGAGTGCTACCTGAAGAGCACACGAGAGCAAATGGCAATGGACAAACAGAGCGAAAAACAAATTCAAGGCAGACACAACGGTTAAAAACCACAGCAGCCCAAGACCAGCTACCATGGGGGTAGGTATGACATACTTGCCAGCTGCAAGGAGCATCACTCCACCATGGCACAACATAAGATGTTCAAGTCAACCACAAGTCACTGGGAAAAGAGAAACTACACATGCAAGGAAACTCAAAATATTAAGGAGGGATTTCTAAAATGGTTCAGACCAGTAGTTCTCAATGCTGGATGCACACTTTAGTATGCTATTTTTTTTTTTTAGGAGACTCTTTCATAAGAGGTGTTCTGTATTATCTCTAAGAGAAAAGGAGAATATGACTTTCAGACATTAACGTGAGTCCTACAGCATAAACATGAATTAGAAGTACCACAAAAGCCTCAGAAAAAAAACAAATTTTTAATCATTAATCTGTAAGTCTATAACAGGTCTATTTTAGGTCTCTAGCCATCTATATTAGTAAGATTGCTATCAAATTAATAATGCCTTTATTAGCCATTTTCCCCCAATATAATTTCAACATTTGCTGTCTGTTCCATCTTTTTCTTTAACCTCATCTCTAAAATGTCTATGAAGTTCATTCCTGGAAGGGTGCTTATCTGCCCCATAGGAAAGGACTTCCCTGCATGGTCATACTGAGTGTACTCCTAGAGACAGGACCAGCTGCCATACTGTGTCTACTCTAGACGCTATCCCTACTACATCTGTAAATCTCCACAATTTGACAGCTTCAAAAACTTCCAGCTCTCCTGATTTTTTCTTCACTCTTATCCAAAGAACCTCTTCAAGTTCCCAAATCTCATGTCTGTTGTCATTCTTCTCATTCTTAATAAAAAGTATATTTGATCAGAGCCCAGAAGTCAGTATGTGTGAATCCCTTTGACTTCTCCTCCATTTCATCTAAAAATTCTACCTTTCATGACTTCCTTCTCCTTCCTACTTTTTCAAAGTCATGTCTTTGCATTCTGCCTTATCTCAGGCTTCATCACTTCTCTGTTTACCCACTGCTGCCCCTCTGCCTACAAACACGCTTGGATTTCCCACATCCTACAGAAAGCTTCCTTCAAATCCACTGCTGATGCGTGGAACTACCCCATTTCTGTCCTTTCATCTTCACACTTTTATTTTAGAGACAGGGTTTTGCTCTGCTGACCAGGTTAGAGTGCAGAGGTGTGATCACAGCTCACTGCAGCCTCAAACTCCTGGCCTCAAGCAATCCTCCTGCCTCAGCCTCTCAAAGTGCTATGATTAAAGGTGTAAGCCACTAGGCCTGGCTTCACACTTTTTGAAAAAGGTAGCCCAAGCCCCATTTCACTGGCAATCCCTTGCCTTCCTCATCTGCCCCCATTCAAACCAAAACCACTTTGTTGAATGCCAACAATGATGACTAATGCCAAGCCCAAAGTCTCCTCCTTTGTATTCATTCTGCTTGGACTGTATGTAACATGACCAACTTCCCCATGACAAGTTCTTTCCTCTCCACTCTTCTGAGATACTTCCTACCTTTGACTAGTGCCCCCAGTTTTTGTTTTTTTTGTGTTTTTTGCTTTCTTTCTCTATTGCTCCTTAAATTTCCCAAAATTCTTTCCTGGTCCTCTCCCTCAACTATACTTTCATAGACTCTTCAAGCTGCAATCCTAAATTTTACTGTTCTGGTGATAACTCCAAATCTCCACCTTTAACCTCTAACATTTCTTAACAGGCATAATTCACTTTATTTTTCTTGTATAAAACCCCTATGTTGCAGCCACAGCTGCAGCCTGGGTCCTTTGCATGGAGACTCTGGTGTGGGTCTTGACGAGGTGGTCAGTGAATTCCTCATAGGGAGACTTGGTGAACACAGTCTTCTTCCAGAGGTCGGGGGTCAGGCAGCTGTAGGTCTTGGAGATGGCATCAAAGGTGGTCTTGGCAAAGTTGCCCAGGGTGGCAGTGCAGCTCCTGGCTGAGGTGTAGCAATCATCAATACCAGCCACCAGCAGCAGCTTCTTGGGTACCGGGGCCGAGATGACACCAGTGCCCCTGGGCGCAGGGATGAGGCGCACAAGCACAGAGCTGCAGTGGCCTGTCACCTTGCAAGGGATGGTGTGGGGCTTGCTGATCTTGTTCCCCCAGTAACCTCTGTGCACGGGAACAATGAAAAGCTTGGCCAGAATGATGGCCCCTCGGACGGCATCTCCTTGGAACACTTAACACCCACACTAGACGTGACCGTTCTAGTCCCTGAAGGCAACAAATGCCTTGAACCTGATGTGCTGGCTGATGCACGTGTGCTTCTGCATTGGCATAATCTTCAAAACCTCATCCTTGAGAGAGCCCCCAGTTAAAAGTCAATGATCTTAGACTCCTTGATGGGCAGGGAGAAGAGATGGATTTCCTCCAGGGACTTGATCTTCATGTTCTTGACCAGGTGGCCCAGCTTGGTAATGGGCATATATTTCTTGTCCTTGGCTGAGGCCCTAGCCCCAGATGCCAATGCGGAAGCCTCTGCAGTTCCTCATCCCAGGACCCCCAGGGGCTCTGGGTCGCACTCCTGCACCCCTTGCCCCCTCACCAGCCCTAGCTACACTGGCGTCATCCGCCATTTGATGTTTTCTCAAAGAAGAAGCAACTATTAACATTTTTTTAGGCTGCAAGACTACTCCCTGAGCACTTCCGCCTGGTTATCCCACACGTGCCTCAAACTTAACAGTTCTGAATCAGAGCTCACAGCTCTCTTCCACTCCATCCTTGGCCCAAGTTGCCTTTCAGTGATGTGGGCACTGAGTCTTGTGAACATGGCAACTAATTCTAAACTCTTCTTCCTACTGTCAGTTTTACCACACTCCACTCCTCTGTTACAGTACCAAAGTTCTGAAAACGTACCAATTTCACTTCCTTGCTCAAAAACTTTCTAAAGCTCTTCATCGTGTAGGATTAATGTTCAAGATTCTGAGAACAATATTCAAAGTCCCTGCAGTCTAGACTTTAATGTGCTTATTTCTATAACCTAGTTTAAACTTTTCTTCCTTCCACTCTAATCCAAAAGTACCTTCTAAGAAATCCAAAGTGTATTAATCTCTGCTTTCTATACGTAACAGTATCTTATTATTTAAACTATAGCATTTATCACAGCTCTATTAGATTGTAAATGTATTATATTAAGAGTGGGGACTGGCCTTGGTCATTTAACTATGGTTCTCAGCTAGGTGAGATTTTGCCCTTCCTTGGGGCATTTGACAATGCCAAGAGACATTTGACAATGCCAAGAGACATTGCTGGTTGTCACAACCAAGAGGATGCTCTTGGCAACTAGAGGGTAGAGGCCAGAAAAGCTACTAAATATCCTACAATACACAGTACAGCCCCCACAACAATGATCTGTCCAAAATGTCAGATGAGAAACCCTGAACTAATCAATAAATGTCTAACAAGAACATGTCAGAACAGGAATTAGGAGGTTCAGGAACACAGGCTGACATCCAGCCTAGTTATCAATGATGTGGTTAACATTGTTTAAGAGGGAAAGAATGGCCAAAAAGGGGGGAAGGGAGTTTCATTTTAGTAGTTTGAATAAAGTTAAATAAAATTATCAAATACTTCTAAATAAGGGAAAAGAATGGCCTTTCAAATATAAGGGAGTACTCTCTTAGGCCTACTCAAAGATTATTTAATTCTCTAGGAAATACACCTTTGCCTAACACATTATTCATTATTGGTTAGGGTCTAGACTGTGAAGCTATGCATTCAAATGTAGATTTCTGTCCAGTAGAGATGCCAACTATCTCAGTCTGCTAGAAAAATAACCCAAAAGGTTACAATGTTGTTGCTCTGTAAGATATTAGCCAATCTGTATCTAACCAAGCAACTGTATTCCAATAATAACCTTGAATATAAATAGAAAAAGAAAAATGACAAAAAAAAAAAAAGATCCAAGTATATGCTGCCTGCAAGAGACTCACTTCACCAGTAGGGTCACACAGACTGAAGGTGAAGGGATGGAAAAAGGTATTTCATGTGAATGGAAAACCAAAAGAAAGCAGGCGTAGCTATACTTATATCAGATAAAATAAACTGTAAGTCAAAAACTATTAGAAGAAACAAAGTCATTATAAAATATTAAAGGGGTCAATTCAGCATGACAGTATAACAACTATACATACATATATATATATATGTACACACTCAAATACATAAGGCAAATATTAATAGATTTGAAGGGATAGACTATAATACAATAACTGTAAGGAACATCAACACACCACTTTCAGTTCAAGACCAGCCTGGGCAACATGGCAAAATCCAGATGGAAATTAAGATTAGATTAGAAATAAATGAAAGATTAGAGCAGAAATAAATGAAACAGAGACTATAAAAATAGAAAATATTAATAAAATGAGTTGTTTATGAAAAGGTTTTAAAAATTCATAACCCTTTAGCTAGACTAAGAAAAAAGAGGAGACAAAATCAGAAATGAAAAAGTAGATATGACAACTGATACTGCAGATTTACAGAAGATCACAAAAAACTATTATGAACAATTATACACGAACAAATTGGATAACTCAGAAGAAATGGATAAATTCCTTGACACATACAACCTACCAAGATTGAATTAGGAATAGAAAACCTGAAGAGACTAATAATGAGTGAGACTAAATCAGTAATAAGAAGTCTCCTATCAAAGAAAAGCCCAGGAACTGATGGCTTGCTTCACTGCTGAATTCTACCAAACATTTAAAGAAGAACTAATGTCAATTCTTCTCAAACTCTTCCAAAAAACTGAAGAGGAGGAAATACTTCCAAATTCATTTTTGAGGCCAGCATTACCCTGGTACCAAAACCAGATGAGGATAAAACAAAAAAAGAAAACTGCAGGCCAATATCCCTGATGAACACAGATACAAAAACCTTCAACAAAATATAGTTGGCCTTCTCTATCTGTGGTTTCCGCATCCATGGATTCAACCAACCACAGATTGAAAATACTCAGAAAAAAAATTACATTTGTCCTGGACATGTACAGACTTTTTTCCTGTCATTATTCCCTAAAGAATACAATATAACTATTTATATCACATTTACATTGTATAAGGCATTATAAGTAGGTCAAGGAGGTCAAATCATCTCAAGATGATTTAAGTATACAGGAAAATATACATAGATTATACGCAAACACTATACCATTTTATACCAGGGACCTGAGTAGCTGCAGATTTTCATATCCGTGAGAGATCCTGGAACCAATCACCCACAAATGACAAGAGACTACTGTAATAGCAAAGAGAATTCAATAACACATTAAAAAGATCATTCACTATAATCAAGTAGGATTCATCCAAGGAATGCAAGGATGGCTGAACAAATACAAATGCAAATGAAAAAACAGGATACATTACATTAACAGAATGAAAAACAAAAGCCATATGATCAGTTCAATGAATGCCAAAAAAGCATTTGATAAAATCCCATGCCTTTTCATGATAAAAAAAAAAAAATCCCAACACTTCAACACAATAAATGCCACATATGATAAATCTGCAACTCATAACATACTCAGTGAAGAAAAATTTAAGGCTCTTCCTGTAAGATCTGGAACAAGACAAAGAAGCCCGCTCTTTCAATATGGTATTCAAAGTTTTAGAGCAATTAGGCAAGAGAAATATAAGACATCCACACTAGAAAGAAAAAAGTTAAACTGTTCCCAGATGACATGATTTTACTATATAGGAAACCCCTAACAGTCCACCAAAAAAACCCCCAGAATTATTGAATTCCATAAAGTTGCAGAATACAAAATCAACACAAAAATCAGTAGTGTTTCTAAACTAACAGTGAACTACTTAGGAATAAATTTAACCAAGGAGTTCAAAAATCTTTACACAGAAAACGAAAACACTGACAAAAGAAATTGAAGACACAAATAAATGGAATGATATCCCAGGACAATCTCTTCAATAAATATATTGGGAAAAGTATACAACCACATGCAAAAGAATGATATTAGATCCTTATCTCGCATCATATACAATAATCAACTAAAGATGGATTAAAGACTTAAAGGTTAAGACTCCAAACTATGAAACTACTAGATGAAAACATAGAGGAAAAGCTTCACGACATTGGTCTGGACAATGATTTTTTTAAAATACAACCACAAAAGCAGAGGCTACAAAAACAAAAATAGACTAACAGAATTACATCAAATAAAAACCTCTGGACAAGCAAGAAGCCAATCAACAGAGATTACCTACAGAATGAGAGAAAATATTTGCAAACTATACACATAAGAGGTTAATATCCAAAAATATAAAAGGAACTCAAAACAACAAGAGCAAGACAACAATCCAATTAAAAAATGAGCAAAAGATTTGAATAGACACATTTATCAAAAGAAGATATACAAATGGCCAACAGGTACAGTAGTGAGTCCCCCCTTATGTGTGGTTTCAGTTACCCTTGGTCAAGCATGTTATGAAAATATTAAATAGAAAACTCCAGAAATAAGCAATTCATAAAAATTTTTAATTGTGCCCTCTAAGCAGTGCAGTGAAATCTTCCGCTATCCAGTATTGGAATCATTCCTCTGTCTGGTATATCCACGCTGTATATACTACCTGCCCAACAGACAGTAGCTGCCTTGGTTATCAGATCGACTGTAGCAGTATCTAGGTGGCCATCTTCAAGTTGCCCTTATTTTACTTAATAACGATCCCAAAATACAAGAGTAGTAACGTTGGCAATTTGGACACGCCAAAGAGAAGCAATAAATTGCTTCCTTTAAATGCATAGATGAAAGTTCTCCACTTAATAAGAAACTAACTTTTATTAGAGTATACTGTTATAATTTTTCTATTATTAGTAATTGTCGTTAATCCTTTATTGTGCCTAATGTATAATTTAATCTTTATCATGGGTATCTACGTATAGGAAAAAAAACGTTGTATATATAGGACTCGGTACCATCCAAGGTTTTAGGTATCTACTGGGGGTCTTGGAACGTATCCCCAGCAGATAAGGGGGACCACTGTACATGAAAAAAATTACTGGCTGAGGGCAGTGGCTCATGCCTGTAATCCTAGCACTTGGGGAGGCCAGGAGTTTGAGCTCAGGAATTTGAGAACAGGCTGAGCAACATAGGGAGACCTCATCTCTATAACCAATTTAAAAAGTAGGTGGGCATGATGGTAAACTCGCCTGTGGTCCCATCTACTCAGGAAGCTGAGGTGGGGGAACTGCTTGAGCCCAGTAATTTGAGGCTGCAGTTAACTATGACCACATCACTGCACTCTAGCCTGGGCGACAGAGTGAGGCCCTGTCTCAATAAATAAATAAATAAATAAAATAATAAAAGAGAAAATGTTATATATAGTCATCCCTTGGTGTCCGCAGGGGATTGATTCCAGGACCCTTTTGCAAATACCAAAATATGGTAAATATAAACAATGGAATGCTTATCAGCCATAAAAAATAAAAAAAGGAAATCCTGGTATTTGCAACATCATAGATAAACCTGAAAACATGAGGTTAAGTGAAATAAGCCAGGCATGGAAAGACAAATGATGTATGTGGAATCTAAAAAAGTTGGTCTCCTACAAACAGAGAGAAGAATGGTGGTTATCCAAGGCTGGCACAGTTTGGGGAAGGGATTCTGGAGATGTTGGTCAAAGGACACAAGATTACAGTTAGATAGGAGGAATAAATTCAAGAGAACTATTGTACAGCATGGTGACTATAGTTAATGACAATATATTGTGGTCATGAAAAATACTAACAGAATAGATATGTGTCCTCACCACAAAAATCACATCTATGTGAGGCATGTTAATTAGCTAGCTTTAACCATTCCACATTGTTATGTACTTCAAAACATCATGGATACATAATAAATACAATTTTATCTGTCAATTTAAAAAATAAATAAATTTGAAAACTTCAAGTGCTCTCTGAACCATTTCTACATTCCTGCTGGTCCCTCATTTATGAGTTACCTGTCTGAAAGTCATGCTTACATAACTTCAAAAAAATTTTTACACTTTGGCAGTAGAGTAGTACCCACTCAGATGCCCGAAGGGACTCTCATCTGCTTGAGCTACTAAACTGAGTGTCCCCAGAAGGGCACTTCATCAGCTCCTTAAACCCAAGCATGTCTCATTTTGGCTCCCAGAGTACCAAGAGAATACCAAGCAGCCAGAGAATGTTACTTCTGCTGTTTCTCTGTTGTCTCCTTTTCTTCTGATAATGTGTTTTCGTTTGATGATTCTTAGCCACATGTCCCTGTCCACACTGGCCCAGAGACCAGTGGATACAAATCACTAGGCCAGTTTCAACTGCACCCTCTGTATACATGAATCTGGTCTATGCATGGCTGATAACTGATCTTGGCTAGGAATCTGATTTTATGGTCTGACCATATGGTGATCTGTCCGGTAGACAATAGGGATCTATTTTCTGTCAGATGAGACACCTCAAGAAAATCTGGTTTTAGTCTTTTCTGTGTTGTTGTTAGTGCAAGATCACGTTTCGGGACCAATGAAAGAACTGTCTTTTTGAAATCTGGACCAGTTATGTGTTTCTCAATTATTTTTACCTGTGATTCAGACTGTTGAAGCTGAAAGTTCTTGTGCACTTGTGACTATAAGAAAAGCCTCATTTTTCACGGTATGAATGAGAAATATCCCCAGGGCTATTAATACATTAGATTATAAAGTTTCTCAAACAATCTCTACTCTAGTTGGTTGACAGATAATTACAAGAACTTCCTTAACTCTATCTATATTTCTAGAATTCCTCCAACATAATGAAACTAAACATGTAATACTTTAAACATGTTAGCCTTTTAAGGACAAAAAAAAACAAACCCAGGCTGGGTGTAGTGATACATGCCTGTATTCCCAGCGACTTGGGAGGGTGAGGCAGGAGGATCATTTGAGCCCAGGAGTTCTGAGTCCAGCTAATAACACACTGCGAGATTACCATCTCTTAAAAAATAACAACAAATAGAAAAACTCCAAAACTCAAAGAAACCAATAGGTCAAAAACACTGTTAAGAATCCAAATTTGTGTAATCAAAATAATTCTCACGCAAATCAGTATTATTTTATTATTTTAATACTAATTTAAAAATAGATGTCCTTTCCCTGATTTTACCAGTGTAGAATATAATAAATCTATACTTTTTTCTTTGAGATAGAGTCTCGCTTTGTCACTTAGGCTGGAGTGAAGTGGCATGATTTCGGCTCACTGCAACCTCTGCCTCCTGGGTTAAAGTGATTCTCCTGCCTCAGCCTCCCAAGTAGCTGAGATTACAGGCACCTGCCACCATGCCTGGCTAATTTTTTTGTACTTTTAGTAGAGATGGGGTTTCACCATGTTGGTCAGGCTGGTCTTGAACTCCTGACCTCATATGATCCACCCACTCAGCCTCCCAAAGTGCTAGGATTACAGGCGTGAGTCACGTCACTCGGCCTACACATTTTTTTTTTAAATGTTTTTCTCACAGAGATTAAACTTCCTATACTTTACTGGCTTACTGATTAGGTAAGCTAATATTACTCATATATATTTATGATTATGAAAAATATAAAATTTGGCCCAGTGTGGTGGCTCACATCTGTAATCCCAGCAATTTGGGAGGCTAAGGCAGGAGGATTGCTTGAGCCCAGGAGCTCAAGACCAGCCTGGGCAACATGGTGAGACCCTGTCTCTATTTAAAAAAAAAATAAATGATTATATAAAATTATATGTTCAACTAAATAAAATTATAATAGTAACGAACTTTTTTTTTTTTTTTGAGATGGAGTCTCACTCTGTTGCCCAGACTGGAGTGCAGTGGTGTGATCTCGGCTCACTGCAACCTCCACCTCCTGGGTTCAAGTGATTCTCCAGCCCTATCCTCCCAAGTAGCTGGGATTACAGGCATGTGCCATCATGCCTGGCTTTTTTTTTTTGAGACAAAGTCTCACCCTGTTGCCCAAGCTGGCGTGCAGTGGCATGATCTTGGCTCACTGCAACCTCCAACTCCTGGGTTCAAGCAATTATCCTGCCTCAGCCTCCAGAGTAGCTGGGACTACAGGCAGACACCACCATGCCCAGCTAATTTTTGTATTTTTAGTAGAGATGAGGTTTCATCACGTTGGCCAGGCTGGTCTCCAACTCCTGATCTCAAGTGATCCGCCCGCCTCGGCCTCCCAAAGTGCTGGGATTACGGGTGTGAGCCACTGCGCCCGGCCAAACTTTTTGATACCAGAAGTTGGATGTTGCTCAGTTGTCAGTATAAGCATAACTTCCAAGATCATTAATTAACTTCAAGACTTTGGCTAGACTGATATTAATTAATGGTTACTCTTTAGAATATGTGATTAATTTCCAAGTAAGACAGACACAGAATTTTTCACTTTTGTTTAGAGATGGGTCTATGTTGTCCAGGTGGTGTGCATTCATAGGTGTGAACACAGTACACTGCAGCCTCAGAATGCTGGCCTCAAACCATCTTCACACCTCAACCTTCCAAGCAGCTGGCACCACAGGTGCACACCACCATGCTTAACTACCGAGTATATAATTTTACCACATACATACACATGCTCTTTTTAATATAACCACAATGTCATTACTGCACCCAGCAAAACACTTTCTTAATCTAATACCCAGTCTGTGTTTAATGTCTTTTTCCAGTTGTTTTCTCCTAATTACTCTGATTTTTTTTTCACCGTAACTACACGATTAGTTTACCCTTGTCTATAACGTAACAAGAGCAGAATTACAACAGTATATATACTCTTTTAGTAAGGCTCTTAAATGCAGCATAATAGTTTTGAGATTAATCCACATCGTTACATGTATCAGCCAGTAATTTATCCTTTTCCATTGCTAAGTAGTATGCAACTCTGTTTTTTACATCTAAACTATCTCTGGAGGTTCCTAAAGGTCCCTGGGAAATCACAAAGATTTGTTTTTATCACCTTATAACAAGAAGGATGTTAAAACTAATTTCTTTGGAGTATTCTGTGTTTCTTAAATAGCTCAACATGATTAGTTTCTGTCAAATCAAAGAGGAAGCATGGTCTTCTCTGGATACTTTTGTACAGATAAAAACTTTTAACATTTTTTTTTTTAGAGACTACACACTTTACAAGATAGAATGGAAGGCCTTAGCGCCTTGTCAATGCCCACAATATGTTCTTAGCTTTCAAATAAACACTGCTCCAATCTTAAGAAACAGTTATGTACTGTACCTCAATAGATTTTAACTCTCCTCCATCCTGATTTTGTTGGTTACTGTATAAACTGACCATGGTTATCCAGTCTTGTCATTAACAAGTGGTTTCTTCTTTCCTCTCTTCCTTGTGCTATACCTCTGCTACTGACTACAGCATAGAAAGTGGGTCTACAACAAAGGATGACAGTCCGAGAGTCTTGCAGAAGAGACTATGCCAGACACTCTTGACTACTGATACCTCAAGAAACTGACTCATGGACACAAACTTTGGAGTATAAGCGACATCCCTTAAGCAACAGGCTAGACTACACCAAAGGATTCAGTCGAGATTTCTGGGACCCTTTGTGAAGCAGACAACCCAAGATCTAGTGGAACACAATGTAATGACTGAATGAATTAATGAAAGAAATCTAACTCTAGTTATATGAAATATAGTTGATTTTTTACAATGTTCTATTTTCTCTCAGGTATAGGAAGAAGCCCCTTTTCATTAATTTTTAACCTTCTACTTAGCAAGCTATGCTTTTACAAATGGAAAGAAAACACTTTCAAAATGTTATCTTGTTTTCCTTGACACTCAAAATTCAGGAATTAAAAATACTTTCACTGGCTCTCTTCACTTTTCATGATATGCAGCTGCTTGCATAAGATCATTAAGAATTTGGCCCCCTTTTTACCAGAAGAGAATCAGACAAACTGATTGTGCAACCCAGGCCATATCTGGAATTACATAAGAATTTTATTTAATAAGGTATAGAATGGCCACTATTAAAGAACAAGAACTGTAGTTCATGTGTTGAACTCATGCTCAGGAAACTGGCCTGGTGCCTATCCTATGGTGCAGGATCTCAGCCTTCTGTTCTGTATTAAGGTCAATTCCTGGAAAGTCAGAAATTTTAGCAGATTTTGGGAATTCTGAAGAGAGAGGAATTCATCTAGATGTACAGACACTACAGGTGAAATATGTAGAGATAGTTTTCTTGATTTTTTTTTTTTGAGGTTGGTTTCCAAGCTTTAGAAGAGCCAATAAGAACAGATAAAAACAAAAAATAAGCAAAAATCTCACCTGGCTATTTAAAATGCAATATAAGATTTCTTATGAAATTTCCTGAGGATAATTCTCTACCCTCACTAGCTACTAATACATCTTACCATCACCCAAATACAAAGACGCTACTGTGTGGGTGTGATATCAAGAATAATCTCCAGATGTTATATAGAAGGGGACGCAATGAACAAAAATTACAAAAATCCTGAAAATAAGGTAAAAAAAATGGCAGCATGTTCTTTCAATGTCATACTATGTTTTCTTTTTTTTTTTTTTTTGGAGATGAAGTTTCATTCTTGTCGCCCAGGCTGGGGTGCAATGGCAGGATCTTGGCTCATGGCAACCTTCGCCTCTCAGGTTCAAGTGATTCTCCTGCCTCAGCCTCCCAAGTAGTTGGGATTACAGGCACCCGCCACCATGCCTGGCTAATTTTTGTATTTTTAGTAGAGACGGGGTTTCACCATATTGGCCAGGCTGGTCTCGAACTCCTGACCTCAAGTGATCCACCTGCCTCGACCTCCCAATGTGTTGGGATTGCAGGTGTGAGTCACTGTGCCCAGCCTCAATATCACACTATTCTCTAGCAGGCCCAATCAAGGATTACTTAATACTTTAGGGCAGCACTGTCCAAAAGAACTTCTGCAATGATGGAAATGTCCTACAGCTGTACTATCCAAATTGGTGGCCACTAGTTACATGTGACCACTAGCACTTAATTTCACTGAAGCAATTTAGACAGCCACATGGGGTAGTGGCTACCATACTGGTTTGTGCAAATCCAGCCCTTGGACCATTTTGTATATACAACCCCTGAGGTAAAAATAGTTTTTACATTTTTAAAGGGCTGTAAAAACCAAAACAAAAAGGAATATAAAACAAAGACTTTGTGGTCCACAAAGTCTACAATATTTATCATTTGGCTCTTTAGAGAAAAAGTTTGCCAATGTACATCCTAGGAGAATGTATTTTTTTGCTTGACATATTTACATTAAATAACATCCAGAATCTGTGAAATTACATTATAACTTGTAGATTTTTGTCCAGTATAGATACAGATGATTTCTGTCTGGCATAAAAGACAATCCCAAAGATCATGGTTTCATTATCTTGTAAGACTGTAATACTGTGAAATATGTATTTCCTGGCATACAACTTTTAAAATTTTTAGAATTTGAAAGTGATAGTCTTTTCATATCCTAATGAGTTCAACTATGACTGGCATCCATAGGTAGTAGCTTCAGGATGGGGTTGGTCAGCAGAGACCAAAGTAGGATGACAGGGTCTCAACCCTACTTCCAACCTCTCGGGAAGGGAGAGGGGCTGAAGGTTAGTTTGATCATCAGTGCCAATGATTTAATCAATCACGCCTATGTAATGAGGCTTCCATAAAAACCCAAATGGACTGGCTTTGGAGAGTTTCAGGATAGCTAATACCTATCCTGAAGGGTGTTGTTCCTGGAGAGGGTATGGAAGCTCTAAGCCCTTTCCCTCATACCTTGCCCTATGCATCGCTTCATCTATAACCTTTGTAACAGCCTTTACAATTAACCAGTAAGTGTCTTGCCCAGAGTTCTCTGAGCTGCTTAGCTAATTAACAAAACCCATGGAGTGAGTTGTGAGAAAATCGATTTATAGCCCATCAGTCATAATCACAAAACAACCTGGGAAACTTTTCCCTAGATCCCTACAAGGGTATAGAACCTGCCAAAGGAATTCACTTTGTAGACTGGTGAAACCACCTTTGCAAAAATTATAACTGAGGAAATTATGACAGTGAAAGAGATCAGACCTAATTGACTCCATCTTGTATCTAACCTTTGGGCTGTTCTTGTTCATTGCTGGGTGTAGGTCGAAATAACCTTGGGAAGGAATTCAGTTTACGGTTTGACTCTGAAACAAAACTGGTAACAGCCCTTTCTCGGAAAGACCCCCTTCTTGCTTGGGGACCAGTCTGCCTTTGAAGGACTAACAAATTAGCTACAAGATTAGAAATGATGGTTTAGGAGTCATATAGCTTCTGGCTCCAAGAGTCTGAACCTCCCCAAATTGCTCCTGGGGATAACATCACTATTGTAAAACCTAAAATTAGTGGTTGAAATATTTTGCAGACTCTGCACTCAATGAATCAGCTGACACCACCCAGATCCATATTCTGGCTCAACCAATTCTGCCATCCCACCCAGGAACAGAAGACAGCAAGAAAACCTCACTTTGACCCCCATGATTCCATCTCCAACCTGACCAATCAGCACTCCCCACTTCCCAAGCCCCTACCTGCCAAATTATCTTTAAAAACTGATCCCTGAACGCTGGGGGAGAGGGTTTTGAGTAATAATAAAACTCTAGTCTCCCACACAGCCAGCTGTGTGTGAATTACTCTTTCTCCACTGCAGTTCCCCTGTCTTGATAAATTGGCTCTGTCTAGGCAGAGGGCAAGGTGAACCTGTTGGTTGGTTACAAATTTGGAGGCTTGTCCAGGATTGCTCTTGTGGCTACCTGCCTGTGGTTTGGTAGCACCCCTCTGGCAATGGATCCAGAGGCCAGCCCAAGCGGCTGCCTAGTTCTCTTGGATTGGTGGCTGACTCTGACACTGTCTCTACCGACAGGGCACTGCCAACCCAATGTGCATGAATTTAATTGCAATGGAGAAACAATCCTGGGCAGATGTCCAATAACTGTTCCCCTATCACAGGGTGTCTGGCTCAGTGAGTATCCTAGGCGCTGCCACAGCTCCTTCCTTCTCCCAAATGGTTCCATAGCCCCATGGTGTGGTATGTGTCTGCAGCTCCATCACCGAGTGTCTGTCTTGGTTCGGCTCCTTTGGGGTCTCAGTTGGCTCTCCTTAATTAGTAGGAAGAGTCTTAGTTAGGAAGACTTCTCCTCAATCCAGAAGATTTAGGGGAGATTTCTCAGGCAGAGAATAGGAGGATAGTTTGGAAGGGGTACTCTGAAATTATTGGTTAGGGATCTTGATTTGGAAGCTCTTCTGTCTGTCTTGTCTTTGTGTGTTTCTGTATATGGTGGGGATCTCTGAAGGAACTGCTGACAAAAGTCAAAAATTATCTTGAGCAATTAAAAGCCTTTGCAAGCTTGAAATTGGCTCCTCTAAGCACCTTCTGGGAAGAGCAATAGAACCTGCTGAATGTTGTAACTCAGTAGACAAGGCTTTTTGTCTTTTGACAGTGGCAGCCCAGGTTGAATTCTTGGCTTCGGAAATGATTCCTTTCTGGTTTGTTACTTAACTTTCCCACTTTTTGAGGGTCCCACCCCCACCCCAATGGCTAGCTTCCGATTTCCTGTCTTGAATTTTTCTTTCTCCAAACTGCCCTTGGGAAGATTCTAAATCTTGTAAAAAGAAGCTGCTTACCATCTCTTTGAAACACCTTATGGGTCCATGGTTAAGCTGTAACCTTAGCTAAAACTTATTAATTTCACATGGGAAGTTACCTGTGGCAAAGTTCAAAAGCCAGAAATATTGACTGTCCTGGCTAGAGTCTGATAATAAGAGATTTTTAAAAAAAAATTTAAAAAGAGCTCTATGGTTAAAATCAACTTAATTAAAAATGGATATCCAAGCTCTATTATTTTAAAAGGCCTTGGTTTTTTTTTTTTTTTTCTTCTTGGATATTGGTTGTTTTTGTGAAAAAGTTTTTGTTTTTCTTCTCAGTCAACTGAATTATTTCTCTACTTTGCCCTCCTGATGCCCACATGAGAGAACTTAAGATAATTTCTAACAGCTTCCACTTTGGAAAAAAAAAAAACCTGTTTTCCTCATGGAACCCCAGGAGTTGAAAGTGGATAGATCGCTCTCAAAATCTAAGGCTCTGTTCAGCTTTACATTATGTTACCTGACGTTTTTTTTTTTTTCCAAGTTTTGGGGGTATCAGAAATTACTCTGCATTATGGGAGAGCTGTTAGCCTTGGTGTGCAAAAATTAGGTACAAAATGTACTTTAAGGGATGGCTAATAACAGTTACAGAGGGATACTTGGCTCACTGCACGCTTTAATCAAAGAAGCATGCTCTTGGCCACCTGGAAGGTAAGGAGGAAAAATCCCCACACTCTACTGAGAGATGAGATTCCCATGGGGGATGGGCTAATTACAAAATGGGCTGATTGCCAGGAGGTGGAGGTTGCAATGAGCCAAGGTCACACCACTGCAATCTAGCCTGGGTGACAGGGCAAGATTCCATCCCCCCAGAACAGAAACAAAAACAAAATCGGCTGACTGGGTTTGGGTTGCCAGGCAATTAAATGCATGGTAAAAGCATTGCACCGTTTTCTCCAACAGCATTTCCCTTTTGAAAATCCAGGATGCAATATAAAAATGGGACCCTTAATTTTGAGAATGTCTTTGCTTTCCAGCTGTGCCTGCTTTTTAGGCCCTAGTAACTGCATGCTTTCCTAGCCTTGTTTCGTGAAGGGCTCTGCCCTGAAGCCAGTAATCCAACTTAAGAAACTGGCAAATGAAAAATGTTACAACTACTGGATATTCTGTCTGTGTATGTGTTGTGTGTGATGTTTATATAAAAGAGCTCTAATTAACTAGCTTAAAGAAAAATAAGCACTTAAATCAGATATTTTGTCAGAAAAACTAAAACTAATGAGCTAGTTTAGTTCATATAACTTTCGTAATCTTTTGGTAATAAACAGTTTTAAAGATTACTGGTAAATAAAAATATCTTCCAAATTTAGACATTTCATCTAAATTAGGTCAAATATTAGGTTTGCTAAATGCTCTAAGGTCATAAACTGCTTCTTTAACTTTTGAAAATTCTTCAATATACCTCCCTTGGAGCCATTACATTCTAGGTAAGGTCTGGGGACATGTGAAATTAGCCCCCATAAAGAAAATATTTTATACAAAAGAATCTTGTATGGTAAATTCTTGTCCTAAAGTAAAAAGACTGGTTGTTTAAAGAGAGGGGTGGTTAGGACAAGTCAGAAAGTCCAAGCATGTCATAGATGGTCTAAGTCATGAAAGGATTCATGAAAGGAAATTTATGCAAGAAATGTTATACAATTTAAAGATTATTAGGTCCCCTAAATATTTCATAAACTGCCACTATGACTTCACAACCTGCCTGCTTTACAGCTAGGTAAGGCCTGGGGACATGTGGAGTCAGCCAAGTCCCCTGGCTATGCTGGAAAGTCAGACCTTATCTGCACTTCTGACTGGTGTCTGTTCTAGGCTCCACACCTGGTACATAATTACAATTGCTTACTAACCAGGTTTTTCACCGAAAGTAAAAGTTGCTAAGAGTTAACAGTGTAACATGTATTTGAGACTACTGAAGAAACAGTTCTACACACAAAGTGTGTAAGGAAAGCAGAATGTACTTTTGGTAAAAGATTTTAAGAAGGCATGGGAATATGAATTTCTCACCTAAGTTTAGAGGGTTAAAGGATTGTGTTAAGTGAGGAAGGAAAAAATCTAAAGGTTTAAACAAGTTGTGAAAGGTTTATAAAAAATTAATGTGTGCAAACATATTGGCTAAAGTTAAAGAGGTATTATTCTGTTTTTCCATAAATTGAACATTGGAATAAAAGTGCAACAGAGTTTTCCTAAATCATTGTTCTGCTCTTTAACAAAAAAAATATTGTAAAGGGTTATAAAAGGTTTATAAGAATCTTACCTTATGGTCAAACTAACTAAAACTGAATAGATTTGTAAAATGCTATTAAACTAAATTTAGGCTGGACGTGGTGGCTCACACCTGTAATTCCAGCACTTTGGGAAGCCGAGGCAGGCGGATCACCTGAGGTTAGGAGTTTGAGACTAGCCTGACCAATATGGTGAAATAGTGTCTCTACTAAAAATTAGCCGGGTGTGTTGGCGGGTGCCTGTAGTGCCAGCTACTCAGGAGGCTGAGACAAAAGAGTTGCTTGAAACCAGTAGGCGGAGGTTGCAGTGAGCCGAGATCATGCCACTGCACTCCAGCCTGGGTGCCAGAGCAAGACTCCGTCTCAAAAAAAAAAAAAAAAACAAAAAAAAAACCACCTAGCTTTAGCATTTTAAAGATGCACTAATGCAAACATTAAATTTGGTTTTCTCTTTTGAAAAGAATTTTCATGTAATATTAAAAGATAACGAAAGGTTTTCATTTGCCTTTTAAGTAAACTACAAAAAAGGTGGCGGAGGGGGTGGTGTTGAGAGAAAAGACAAATCAGTTGGCATCATGCTATCTTCACTGGATCTTGTTGTTTGGAAAGCTGAGTCTCCTTTCTACCACAGTAAAGGTTTTTCCTGTTTTAAAATTTGTGGGTTATCATTTTGGTTAAATGAATGACTTATGGTGACCTGGGATTCTACTTTGTGAATATCCAGTGTTGCTTTTTTGAGACAAGGTCTTGCTCTGTTGCCCAGGCTGGAGTGCAGTGGCACAATCTTGGCTCACTGCAACCTCTGCCTCATGAGTTCAAGCAAGTCTCATGCCTCAGCTTCCCAAGTGGCTGGGATTATAGGTGTACGCCACTACACCCAGCTAATTTTTGTATTTTTTGGTAGAGACGGGGTTTCACCATGTTGGCCAGCCTGGTCTTGAACTCCTGGCCTCAAGTGATCTGCCCACCTCGACCTCCCAAAGTGCTGGGATTATAGGTGTGAGCCACTGTGCCCGTCTGATATCCAGTGTTTTCAACAAAGGAAACACTGTCAAATATAAAATGGTATTTAATTCTCTTTCGGTTACATTCATATAAATAGGTTATTAGTATGTGTTACAAAATTGTATGAGATTCCTATAATTCTAATATGCCTCACTATATGTTATCAATAATAATTGTTATGTTAAATTATTGTGTGCCACAGAGGTAACAAATTTTCTTGTCAATTGTGTCTTTGACTGTGGCTGCCCTAAAATGTTTTTTCATCCACAGACAACTGTCTTGTTTTGATCCTCTTTAGAAGATGGTTTTATAATTAGCTATAAAACTTTGACAGGTGCTCCTGAATGCAAGTTTCTAATAACACTGGAGATTGTGGCATTAGAATAAAAAAAACTTTCAGGACTCCCAGGGATAGCTAAAATGTTCATGAATATCAAGCAGAACAGGAGTTAACTGAATGGACCGAACAGAAAACTGAAGTAATCTTTTTCTTTACTTTTTTTGCTTAAAATGTTGCTGATCCTTTTCGTTTTTTCAAAGCCAAATGTGGTGGCTCACGCCTGTAATCCCAGCACTTTGGGAGGCTGAGGCGGGTGGATCATTTGAGGCCAGGAGTTCGAGACCAGCCTGGCCAACATGGCAAAAACCCCATCTCTACTAAAGGTTCAAAAATTAGCCAGGCATGGTAGCGCACACCTGTAATTCCAGCTACTAGGGAGGCAGGAGAATTGCTTGAACCCAGGGGGCAGAGGTTGTAGTGAGCCGAGATCACACCACTGCACTCAAGCCTGGGCAATAGAGTGAGACTCTGTCTCAAAAAAAAAAAAAAAAAAAAAAAGAAAGAAAACTTTCTTTTGCACTATTTACAGCTTTTAACAACTCAGTAAAGTACATTCTTGTAAACAAAATTTGAAGCATATTTGTTTCTACCTGGTTTCTCCAGAATTTGGAAACTATTTGTATTTTTAACTTATGGTGATATAGTTATTTACATAAGTGCAATAAGAATGTTTTCTTTTCTAACAGGACACAATTGGAGAAACTGGTTATTTTACCAAGGCTTTGACTGGAATGGCGTGCTTTCCTTTAAGGAATCAAACTTGACTTATAGAGCCAACCAATAAAAGCCCCTTGGGAAAAGTGACCTCACACCTTGTCTATGCAGTACCTGTACAGGGTTCCTGACCTGTGGTAAGTAAAGAATGTCACTTTCTGACAGGCCCAGGAGCCCCAAGTTATCTTGGGACCTCAAGAGGAGAGGAATTTACCCAACTCATAGCTATCTGAGGGTATAAACCCATGGCTGGGCTTGGCTTTAAAAAAGTCTTAACTGAGGTTCCTTATGGAACTGAATTCCATCAAAGCCAATTTACAAAGCCTACGTGAGAAATAATTATTCTTGCTGTGCTCTATGGAAGAAATCAGGCCAAGTATAATAAAGTTTATTTTGCAAACAAATCAGTCCTATCATGATTTGTTTTTAATAAAAATAAGGACTAGGAGAGAAACGTGTTTCAAAAACTATAGTATGCCTGTTATTGTTGTTTTTGAGTTTTTATTTTATTTTTTTTCCTCTGCAATTTAGATTTTGGTGAGCCACAATGCCCCAAATTAATGCTTAACTGGAATTTGCACTCCTTATCCTAGAACTCAGTATTTAAATGTCCACTTAAATGCTGTACTAAAACCATAGATGAGAATACTAACACCTTTGTCATGAAGCCTTGGAACCTCAGCCTGGCTTGCGTGAGTACACTCAGACAGCTGCAAAGCAGTTCCACTCCTCTCACTTTGTGGTCAACACCTTCCCCCACTACGCCCAGTTAGGAGAAAGCAGCCAGAGTGACTGACGGCCCTTTCCCAACTTCATAGCCCACACCTTAAGAATAAGGTGCTGTTAAACCCAAAGGGAAGGACTGAAACCACCTTTGCAAAAACTGTAACTGAGGAAATTATGACAGTGAAAGAGATCAGACTTGACTGACTCCATCTTGCTTCTAACCTTTCAGCTGTCCTTGCTCAGTCCTGGAAGTAGGCTGGAACTAACCTTGGCAAGGAATTCAGTTTATGGTTTGACTCTGAAACAAAACTGATAATAGCCCTTTCCTGAAAAGACTCCCTTCTTGTCTGGGGACCAGTCTGCCTTTACAGGACTAACAAATTAGCTACAAGATTAGAAATGATGGCTTAGGGGTCATGCAGCTTTTGGCTCCAAGAGTTTGAACCTCCCCAAATTGCTCCTGGGGATAACAGTACTAAGATCAGTAGTTGAGATATTTTGCAGACCCTGCAGTCAATGGATCAGCTGACACCACCCAGTCCCATAATCTGACTCAACCAGTTCTGCCATCCCACCCAGGAACAGAAGACAACAAGAACATCTCACTTCAACCCCCAGTGTTTCCATCTCCAACCTGACCAATCAGCACTCCCCACTTCCCAAGCCCCTACCTGCCAAATTATCTTTAAAACTCTGATCCCCGAATATGGGGAAATTGATTTGAGTAATAATAGAACTCCAGTCTCCCACACAGCCAGCTCTGTGTGAATTACTCTTTCTCCATTGCAATTCCCATCTTGATAAATCAGCTTTGTCTAGGCAGAGGACAAGGTGAACCCGTTGGGCGGTTACATTGGTATCAACTTCCTGAAAAACCATTACTAAGACAGATTCTGAATTTAGGGTATATGAAGCTGTCCTCACAGGGTTAACAAGAATTCTGGGCAGAAAGATAGTTATAATTAAGTATTAATGAAGCTGAACTTAGACCTACTTCCTTGTAACCGAAAGTCATGTAGCAGTAGACACCGAAAATTTGCATCCCTATTTTCCTGTAGATAAAATTTCTGACCTTAGAACCATAAGGCTTTTAAGAATTGCTTCGGATGTTTTTCAGATGTCAAATTCCAGCAGAACAGCTGATGCTAACCAGTTTGAAGACCCCCAGAGAGGAACAGAATCAGCATGAGAATACAGCTTCTTCTTCAACCTGTCCCATGACTTCACCCTGCACTCTAACCAATGAATGATATCTACACTTTGGCCCACTTCAAAACCTTTAAACGCCCTAACCCCACAAATCCCTTAGGGAGTCAGATTTGAGGTTTCCTCATGTCTCGTCATCTAGTGGCCCTACAAATAAACCTCTTTCTCTACTGCAACCCAGTGTCTGTGCATATTGACTTGCTGTGGACATGAGGCAATAAACCTATGACGGCTGCATGCATAAGCTTCTGTATAATGCTGCAAAATGAAGAAAAAGTTTTGGTGGATGCAGAATGCATGGCTCACAATGGAACAATCACATGGCTATACATGATCCAGACAAAGGTGGTTATTCCTGAGCAAACAGCCAGGCTGGTGGACTAGATAAAAGGCTCCCCTGAGAAGGGGGACTACCCAACTCCCTCTATAAATGCCAAGTGGAACATCCCAGACAAAGCAACTGATGTGCATGCCATATGAGACTGGCTTTAAAATGACTGGGACACTCGTTCAGCAAATATGCCTGCTTCCCAGGTCTTTTAAGAATTGCTTAAGATGTTTTTCTTAGGAAATTGGTAAGTGCTGTGCTTAAGGGTGTCCTTTAGGGTGGAAGCCCTCACATAACCTTACTGCTGCAAAACCACAAAATTCAGGAAGCCATATCATGTTTCCTTCCTCAGCTTCATTAGGTCTTACAGACACTAATAAAAACATTAATTAACAAAATAATGGCAAAAGGCAGGGAGGAGAGTCAAAGGACTCCTTCCAGGAAAATTTTTAAGGGATCATTAATAAGGTGAGTAAAAAAATCATTGATAGGGGTGATACAAAAAAGGAAAAGAAGGTGGAGAGTCACAGGACTCCTCTCAGCAGGGTGGTTATTAAGATACGGCATGAATAAAATGAAATTAATGAGACTAAAAGATTTTAATACAACACCACTGAAAAATAAGGTATGTCTAAGGGATCCCCTCTTGGTCCCTCAATTTGCCCCACATTGGAGAAATTTAAAGTCAGAAGGCAAAGATTACAATGAGAAATCTGACCTGAAATTGCCTAGGGAGATTAATCAAGGCAAAATTGATAAAGCACAAGTGTCCCTTTGCTTACCCTCTGGCTGGGGACTCAGAGCCTCTGTACACAAGTGGGTAAAACCTTCTGGGGTGGTGAAGATAAATCCCTGAAACTCCTTGATATAGGAGTCCTATGATCCATTGGCAAAGAAAGCCCCGACTAGGGCTACTAGATTGGGAGAATATGAAAAGGTAAGGGTTGACAGGATTATATAAACTGGAATGGTAATAAACACACTTTAAGTTAAAAAGTTGTATCTCCTTTACTTGAATGTTTTATGGAAATGGATGTTATGTCTGGTAGGGAAACACTTCCCCTACCTAGTACTGTAAAACCAAAACCGGTTCATAAAGTCCTAACAGAGGCTAAAGTTAGGAAAGTAAGGTTGATGGAATTAGGGTACAAGCTTGGAGAACTGGTATATCTGAGTCGTATACTGGTATAATAACTATAATTTTTTCTTTCTTTCCAGTAACACCTCGATTCCCACTGCCCCCGCCCCTCATCCCCATCTGATACAGTGGTCACAGGACCAGGGCTGCAACTACAGTTGCACTAAGCAGGGATGATTCCTAAGCAAGTTAACTGCAACTGTTTTTAAACCCTATGTCAGAATTCCTAAGGAGCTAATGGGGGCATGGTTGTTCTTTCACAAATTCTGGCAAAATAGAGGGTAAGAGGAAAACTCCCACACATCTTGTGTTAGAAGCATGTTAGAGTCCACATAAGCAGGAGAAACTGTGTCAGTTATTCCTACATTCTCACAAGGACATTCACCAGTTTTGTACCCAAATCTAGCAATCTTATTCTAACACTGTTTTTTCAGCACCTGTACTCATTTCCTCCAATGCTCCTTGAACCAGTTTTCCAATCCAGCTGGTTCCCTCACAAATGAGTTAAATGAATGCTTGCTATATGCTCACTTTTTAGGAATTATAATTTTTAAAACACATGGAAAATAATGTAATCCATATTTTGTTTAGGGTAGCGATGTGCCTAGGTAAAACTGAACATTTCATAGCTTGCTTTACTACTAGTGGTCACATGATATAGTTCTAGCCAATTAGAGGTAAGCAGAAACCTGCTAGGGTTTTCTGGAAAACTGTTACCTCTTCTTCCATCCTTCCTTCTTAAAGGCCTGATGGCTGGAGCTGCAGTGGTCATTTTGTGACCATAAGGGTACAGTTTGTAATCATTACTCACCCTTGGACTGCTGCTTATCTTTTGACTTTTTAAATGAAAGAAAACCCTTATTTTGTATAGGTTTCTATTATTGCAGGCAAATTCATTACCTAATAGAGATACATCAACCTTCATTAACCTACCTATTATAACAAAGTAACAATTTCATTTTCTTAATTTAAAAAATACCAGGGTCAAGAATGAAACATACTGTGAATTAAATATGCTGATTCTTCTCAAGCTTGGCATTTGGTTGGTGGTGACCCATGCAGGTTTAACATGTGTACTGTGAAGTGTTATTTCTGTTTGGGCCCATCTACCCTGGCCACGGCATGATGTTCATCCGCAACGACTGAAAGGTGTTCAGATTTTGTAAATCTAAATGTCATAAAAACTTTAAAAAGAAGCACAATCCTTGCAAAGTTAGGTGGACCAAAGCATTCCGGAAAGCAGGTGGCAAAGAGCTTACACTGGATAATTCATTTGAATATGAAAAACATAGAAATGAAACCATCAAATACCAGTGAGAGCTATGGAATAAAACTACTGAAGCAATGAAGACAGTTGAAGAGATCAAACAGAAACGCCAAGCTAAATTTATAATGAACAGATTGAAGAAAAATAAGAGCTACAGAAAGTTCAGGATATCAAACAGGTCAAGCAAAACATCCATCTTATCTGAGTTCCTCTTGCAGGCAAAGGGAAGCAGTTGGAAGAGAAAACAGTACAGCAGTTACAAGAGAATGTGGACATGGAAGATGCTTCTTAAAAATCTCTGTAACCATTTCTTTTATGTACATTTGAAAATGCCCTTTGGAGACTTGGAACTGCTAAATTATTTTTTACATAAGGTCACTTAAATGAAAAGTGATTAAAATATATCTTTCCTACACTGCCATCTACAAAACATCAGATATTACAGATGTTAGATTGCATCTCAGTGTTAAATCTTCACTGATAGATATGTAAATCACGAAAATTCTACTTATAACTATAGAAGTGAATTGTGGATGTAAAATGGTTATGCCAATTGGATAATGGCACTAGGTGGCATTTGTATAATAAGTAATGGCAAAAAATCATGGCTAGTGATATATAAAATAAAATATTATTTGCAGCCAAATATTCCCTTTATTAATGTTATGGAAAGGGGGATACAACAAGGAACTAACAATTTGTATGACAATGTCAAATATTGTTTTGATTTTAGTATTTCCTGTTTTGGTTTATTTGCATCTTGGAAGAGCATAATGGCATTGTTTGATGAAGCTTAATTATGCTGGACTGTTTTGACCTGGTTTAATCATTCTGATAGGCAGTCGTGGATGTTGGGAATTAGAACTGAATAATCTTTGCATGGACTGTCGCTACACTCTGGAATTTCCACTTTGGAGAATACTCAGTTCTAACTAGTTATTCCTGGTAGAACAAACTTTATTTTTCTAGTCTGGCAATGATCTAGAAGCAGAGGAATCCCAGTGCCTTTTAAAAGTTATTATGTAGTTTTCCTTTAAAAAGCTCCTGTTTTTGGAAAGTAGAATTTATGGGTACAACATCTGTTCATTATTTGCACATAAAATAAAACCATTTAAAAAGTTAAAAAAAAAAAGTGTTGATTCAAGAATGGATAAAGATCCCAGAAGACTGGTAGGTAGGTAATTTCAATCAAAAGATGCCATAATCACAAATGACTTTCATACTTTCAGACGTGGATTTATTCCTACAGCTCTTATTTATCAAGTAATGTAAATTACTAATTCTATCAGCACTAAGACTGAACAAAACCTTTCTAAGTTAGGAATCTTTCTAAAAAAAGGTTTTTTGTGGTTTTTTTTGGTCTTTAAGAGACAAGATCTTGCTCTGTTACCCAGGCTGGAGTGCAGGGGTACAATCAGGGCGCACTACAGACTTGGAACTACTGGACTCAAGCAATCTTAATGCCTCAGCCTCCTAAGTAGCTAGGACTACGGGGCACATGCCACCACGCCCAGCTAAATTCAGTTTCTTTAAGCCAAAAAAACTCCTTTATGTTGTTTCCATATGAAAAACTGATTTTTGGCCAGGTGCAGTGGCTCATGCCTGTAATCCTACCACTTTGGGAGGCCAAGGCAGGCAGATCACTCGAGGTCAGGAGTTCAAGACCAGCCCGGCCAACATGGTGAAACCCTGTCTCTACCAAAAAATACAAAAATTAGCTGGGCATGGTGGCGCAAGCCTGAACTCCCAACTAACCAGGAGTCTGAGGTGGGAGAATCACTTGAACCCAAAAGGCAGAGGTTGCAGTGAGCCGAGATCATGCCACTGCACTCCAGCCTGGGCGACACAGTGAGACCCTGTCTCAAAAAACAAACAACAACAACAACCAACAAAAAACACAACAACAAAAAACTGATGTTTAAAAAAGTTTTTTAATTAATTACTGTAAGGATTTCCCCCCTACAATTTTGTTCTTGAAACTCAAGACTGCTAATCTTCTATGATTATATCAATTTCATAAAAAGCCAACATAGATCAAAATGTGGTCCTTGATTTAATTACAATCCTACAATACTGGCTGGGAAATGGACAAGAAAGAGGAAACTACAGGCAATCACTTCTGACCCCAGCATAAGCAATACCAGTATCCCTTATTTCAACATTCTGGTATAACCCCAAAATGTCAGCCATAAGAAGAGACTGAACAAACCACTGTTTCTTAAGAAGATGATTTTCACAACCATAGTGAGTAAAAAATATTCTGGGAAGTGCAAAAAAGGCCACCAACCTTCTTCCTGGTAAAATCAAAACAAAAACTCCATGTCACTACCCAGTATTACATCTATGAATTCTTTCCTTCATGAACAAATCAATTGTTCAAGAATTCATGAAACCTACCTGGGCAACATGAGGAAACCCCATCTCTATAAAAAATAAAAATAAATAAATAAATAAATAAATAAATAAATAAATAAAAGCCCAGCATGGTGGCACATGCCTATAGTCCCAGCTACTCAGGAGGCTGAGGTGGGAGGATCACTTGAGCCTGGGAGGGCAAGGCTGCAGTGAGCTGAGATCACACCACTGCACTCCAGCCTGGTGACAGAGCCAAACCCTATCTCACACACACACACGCACGCACACGCATAGAAAAATTCATGAAACCAGGTACCAGGCTCTTCTAACTGAAAAGGTAGTAAAACAGTACCTGGTCAACTTGAACCCTCTGAAGTCAGTACTGTAATAGGCCACTTCTACTTTAATTACATTTTTTTTTCATTCTTACCTTACTCCATAAATACATAAGTAAAAACTGGGAAAAGGTCAATTACTAGCTGTTCTTAAACACCCTTTTTCTCACAAATTAAAAATGGACTGGGTGGTAGCCTGCCTGAGTTTCATGGGTGCACTGTAACGTCAATGTTTTAAGACTGAGTAGTCCTTCCCAGGACTCTGCTTGAAGTCCTCCAGGCTGGTACTGTTTAGGGCACTGGCTAGGCCTCTCGGTGGCTACTCACTGCCATCAAGTAATGCCTGAAGCTAAGCATCAACTGATGGGCAGCTGTGGTCAGTGAACTCCACACCTTAAAGGTTCATGGAGACGCCAAACAAGTAGCTGTGCCATTTACTTCCAATTACTTCTTTTATTTGTTAACCAGCCAGGCTTCACTGACTGTTAGCACCCAGTTTCTTGCTATGGACTTTGGTGACCCCAGCATAGCACTAGCTCCAGATACTTCACATTGCCATCTCCTCTACTTTCTCACTTCTCTAAGATGTATGGAACACTTGTAGCTCACCCACAACTACTGAGGCACCCCTTGGCCCTCAGAGTCATCCTCAGAATTCCTTTACATCCAAGATTCTAAGCTCCGAAATTACTCTGATTACAACCTCCAGAATTCTCCAATACTTAACTTCCCTGTGTACATGACCCCCTGGGTTTCAGAGGGCACAGGGTCAAAGGTCTTGTCCCTCCCTTAATCCTTGCAGCTCACTCCGCCCTTTCTGCTCTCATCTGTTTCCCTGTCCTAGCTTGAACAAGGCTGACCTCTTCAGAAATATTTCCTAAGCCCCACTGTGCCTTGCTCTATTGCACTTCAGACCCCCTTACCTCCAATCCTTGTGTCCTGGCTTCACAAACCTCTTGAGTGGAGGAAAACATTACCTACTTGAGAGTTTCTGGCTCAAGTGACACTGTAAGTTCATACTATCTAACCTTCCTTGGCCCTTACTTCATCCCAGTCCTTTTAAGTTCTTAAGTTTTCAGTCTGCAGCAGTTCCACTGCACCTAACACATCCCACTATTTTGGAGCTCTTGCGCTCCCTCTGGGGATGAACTAGCACTGAGACTGTACTGTACGCCACTGGGGCCTTCAAATGCCCTCTTCAAGTATTAGAAACATATGGGCTAGGCATGGTGGCTCATGCCTGTAATCCTAGCACTTTGGGATGCTGAGGTGGGAGGATCATTTGAGCTCGGGAATTCAAGATTAGCCAGGGCAGCATAGTGAGATGCCATCTCTACCAAAAATACAAAAATACACCATGGGCATGGTGGCACATGCCTGTAGTCCCAGCTACTCAGGAGGCCAAGAGGATCGCTTGAGCCTGGGAGGCAGAGGTTTCAGTAAGCTGAGATCATACCACTGCACTCCAACCTAGGGACCCTGTCTCAAAAAGGCAGTCCAAAGCTCAGGTCAAAAAAACAAAACAAACAAACAAAAAAAAACAAAAAAAGGTAAAAAAAAAAACAAAAACAAAAACTAAATTAAAACAAAACGAAACAAAGCTCAGGTCCACTGACATGTTTTGTTTAGCACATATAACTGTTTTTTTAAAATATGTAGTTTAAAAATATTTTATTCATATAATTCGATGAATTCGATGTGTATGATTTTTAAAATGTAAATTAGTGACCACTTAAATACAATATTTTATATAATTAAATCTGGATTCCTTGCTTCTCTTAGATAATAAGACTGGACATCACTGAGCCCTACCATGTAACTGACTAATGCGATACGCATGGGAAGCTGCCCTCTCCAAAAGGGCCACACGGCTTCATTCACCACAGTCCCTCTTCCCGACCACCCCACTTCCCTACACAGGTTCCCTGCCTGGTCCCAGGAAGCATTCTGAGTTTGTGGTTCTTTGATCTAAAAGAAGGGTTCTTTTTTTTTTTTTCTCAAGACAGAGTTTTGCTCTCGTTGCCCAGGCTGGAGTGCAATAGCGTGATCTTGGTTCACCGCAACCTCCGCTTCCCTGGTTCAAGCAATTCTCCTGCCTCAGCCTCCTGAGTAGCTGGGATTACATGCATGCGCCACCCCACCTGGCTAATTTTGTAATTTTAGTAGAGACAGGGTTTCTCCATGTTGGTGGGCTGGTCTCGAACTCCCGACCTCAGGTGATCAGACCACTCGGCATCCCAAAGTGTTGGGATTACACAGGCGTGAGCCACTGCGCCCGGCCTAAAAGAAGAATTCTAACTCGTCTCACCCCCACGGCTGAGATCCCCTCAACCTCATCCCTTTCCACCACTGCTTCACAGGGAGGGTCCCACCTCTGCTTCTTCACTTTAATCTCTATTTGCGAATGAGGCAACAGCTAGCCAGTACCTCCCTTTTGTCTCTGAAATTCAATCCTCACAATCCTTTGCTCCCAAGATGTCTTCCAGCACTGACTTCTTTCCCCTCTCTCTGGGCCCCCTATGGACAATGCCCTCTTATAAGGACTTCTCACTCTTAGACATTGCCTCTCTAGCCCCTGTATTAATGCCAAATTGCATAAAAGTTACTCAACCCTTATTTTCAATTTCTGTACTCTTACTATTGAAAACCAGCAACAGACCACACTGAGCAGCCCCAGCCCAGAGGTGTAAACACTGAGGCATTTGTGGAAATGTAAATTTCTCATGTCCCCCTAACTCTTCCACGACTCTCCACTGACTACTTGCAGGTAAAATCCATGTTCTTCAGCAGGCCCCAAGCACTTTGTGATCCACTGGAGGAATCTGTGATGCAACTGCCCTCTTCCATGCCCCTGTGATTGCACACAGCTTCTTCCCTCTGCCAGGACCTCCCTGCTACCTAGGAAACCGGCTGGCAGAGCAACCCTTCCATTCCTGTGTTACAGAAACACCTTGCACACATTGCAGTTGTTGTATGTATCACACTTTACTGTATCTTCCCCATGTCTGTCTCCCCTAAGAGGCAACGTGATTCTTGAGGTCAAGGGGCAACCGTCAATACACTCCCTGGCACCAGAGAAGTCTTCCTTAAATGTTGATGAGCTGGTGGCCCCACCAGTCAATAGGTCAAACAACTTAACCATCCCTCCTGCCACCTGGCTTAAAACCGACCCCTAAATCCCTACATCCACCACACAGCTGCCCTGTCCCTGTAAAAACCTTACCACCCCCTACCCCCTCATGCCCAAGGCTAACTTGCAACAATGTTCATTTCACTGTTGGTCTTCTGTTTCAGGAAGATTCCATGCTTCTCAAAATCCTCACTGACTATTAAATAAGGTCCAATGACCTTAGCCTGGCATTTTGGTACCTCAGCCTTCATCTTTCCCAGGAGCACCTGGACACCTTTTACCATGACACTCCATGTTTTCTGGGCCTTTGCTCCACAACCACCTCTGTCTGGAAGGTCAGGTACCTGGGAATATTTGGCTCTTCAAAAGCCAGCTGAAGTACTGCTTTCTACGACAAATCTTCCCTTTAACAAAAGTGGTCACTGGTACAGAGTCAGTGCCTGTTTTTCAACCTGCATGCGCACTATCACTGTCTACTAGTAGTTTCCATTTCGCCCCTCTGCAGTCATTGGAGGCCCACCTAACTAAGCTCCACATTCTTCTCTACTCTAGCATTTGCAAAAGGCAGTGAATTCACATTTTAAAGGCAAAACACAAGCAAACCACTTGGTGGGACACAAGACAGTTCATCTTATCTTATTTTGAGCAGAGACACTATAGTTGAAAAACTCTTCTTTGCTCTAAATCTTCCTTCCTCTAAATCTGCTGCTCTTCCACAGCCTAACTTAAAATATTATAGATGTTGGATCAAATTTGCTTTCCTGTTCTTAGTTTTTAAAATCAAAATAATGGTTTTCTCCTCCTTCAAGAAAGTAAAACAAACTCCAAAACAAATTCAGAACAAAAAAGCCCTGATTGTGGCATTCAACTCTTACCTATGAGTCTCAAGGGGAGAAAAAAAAGAATTTCTTACAAGTGGGAGGGTTGACTTATGAGTAATACATATCACAAAGATCAACAAGCAGGAGCACATACTAGCAAGAAACTGTAAGACACACCTTTCCCAAACAGCTTGGCTAAACTGTGTGGCAAGGACAGCCAAGAAAACAGGCATTGGGCAGGTCTGGCAGGACCAGCAGGGCTCTTCTGCATAGCAAAGGAGTCATTCTCCATGCTTGCGATGAGTCTTGAGCAAAAGCAGAACCCAGAGGAGGCAGAACGCACAGCAAAGGCAGAGACTACTACAGTGGAGATTTAAGCTGAAAGGTGCTAAACCAGAACATTGGAAAAATAAAGTGGGGTTGGATTAATCGTTTTGTAAGTCAGAGGAGGAGTTTAGGCTGAATGAGACAGGTGACAGGAGGCTCTAGTAGGTTCCAGGGCAGGAGAATGACTTTTTGCAGGAGGATTACTCTAACACAAGTTGAACCAGGGAGGGAGGGAGCAATGAATGAGTAAAGGCAATGGAGCAAGGGAGGGGACACACAGGAATGAAAGTCTTAACCGCAGCAAAGGCAATAGAAAGGAAAGGAATGAATGCACGTAAGAGATTTTCAGAAGAAAAAGCAGGACTTAATCATGTCAAGCTTTTAAGCCCTGAGAAGTGCAGAAGATTGGATAGCTGGGGAGAATGGACGAAGGGGAATGCGCCTTAGACCAGCTGTCTGCAATCCAACTGACTAAAAAAGTTAAGCCCAGGAAAGCAAACTTGGTTCTATATCTACAATGCTGGCTTTCTGATTTGTTTTGTTTTGTTTTGTTGAGACGGAGTCTCGTGCTGTCGCCCAGGCTGGAGTGCAGTGGCGCGATCTCAGCTCACTGCAACCTGCCTTCCGGGTTCAAGCGATTATCCTGCCTCAGCCTCCCGAGTAGCTGGGCCTACAGGCGCGTACCACCACGCCGGGCTAATTTTTTGTATTTTTAGTAGAGATGCCACTGCACTCCAGTGTGGGTGACAGAGTGAGACCCTGTCTCAAACAGAAAAAAATAGGTAAATAAACATACATCCTTTCTTTCTGACATTCTCCGAGCGTTTTATTACTATTAATGGTTTTTTTCCGATTCTCAAGAACACGGTTTTCACCGTGTGACACAGGACAGTCTCAATCTCCTGATCTCGTGATCCTTCCACCTCGGCCTCCCAAAGTGCTAGGATTACAGGCGTGAGCCACCGCGCCCGGCCTACAATGTTTTAAGTTAAGCTTTGAAGAACTACACAGCTGAGTGCCCCGTCTCCTTTAAGGATGTGAAATGCAAACACTCACGATTTTTTGTTAAATCTAAGAACATCAGGAGATACGACTACTCAGATTCAAGGACACTGACATTACTTGACAAAGCAGGATGCAAAAAGAGGGCCCTTCCTGCCCACCCCGCAGACAGGGCTCATCATATGAGAGGCAAGTATCAAGAACGAAGGCTCTGGAAACAAACTCCCTAGGTCTGAATCCTGCTGCCCTACTTAGGAGATGGAAAAACCTAGAGAAACTTGGTTACCTAGGAGGAGCAACATACTGTGTTGCTTTTTGGTTTGGAAAGGGGGGGAAGTAGATAGAGGTGCTGAAGAGGTCTGAAATGCTGATTTAGGCAGAAGGTGAGTCACCACTTTGAGTTTCAGTTTCCCCAGCTGTTAATTAAAAAAAAAAAAAAAGGCGGGGTGGTGGTGGGGAGGATAAAATCTACCTTATTAGAAGCCATAAGGGCTGCACATTCCTTCTGAAGCAACCTGTGATGTTCTTAAGCGTTATGTAAATGTTAGTTGTAGGTAATATCAATACAAAGAATAACGCTATTTTTTGTTAACATATTAAATATCCGGCCGGGGTGGCTCCCGCGTGTAGTCCCAGCACTTTGGGTGACCGAGATGGGAGGATGACTTGAGTCCAAGAGTTCGAGACCTGCCCGGGCAACATAGTGAAATCCCCTACCAAAAAAAAAAAAAAAAATGAGCCGGGCGTGGTGGCGCGCTCCTATAGTACTAGCTACTCGGGAGGCTGAGGTGGGAGGATCACTTGAGCCCGGGAAGTCGAGGCTGCAGTGAACTGAGACCGCGCCACACTGCACTCCACTGTGGGTGACAGAGTGAGACCCTGTCTCAAATAGAAAAAAATAGGTAAACATAAATCCTTTCTTTCTGACATTCTCCGAGCGTTTTATTACTATTAATAGTTTTTTTCCGATTCTCAAGAGGAACTGAGATCCCAAAAAGGCTCAGAACTGCAGTAGTGGAGGCCCGGGACTGGGGGATAAAGGCTTAGGTGGTGGACGAGGCTGCGGGCCCAGCAACAGGCCTTGCGTACCATCCTGGGGGCCGGGGAACTGACAACAACAGGCGACATGCGCAGCGCACCCGATCCGTGCCACACGCTGTGCCTGCGCTTCATACACATCCCCCACTTTCATCCTCGCGACAGCCCTCTGAGGTAGGTACTTTCGTCAGCGCCACTTTACAAATGGGGAAACTGAGGCTCCGGGGATCAAGCCGCTATCCAAGGTCACATGGCTCGCGAGCCGAAAAGGCACGTTCGCTGGCTCCCGAGACTGCGTTCCCAACCCAGGCGCATCGCGGCGGACGGCGGGGGCGGGGAGGAGCGGGAGCCCGGAGACCCGGACCGATCGAGGCCGCGGGCGCGCGGGGGCGGCGGCCGGACTCACCTTGGCGCTGTGCACCGCCTCCTGCGCCCCGCAGAGCTGCAGCCAGATGCGCGCGGGCAGCGGCTCCTCAGCCCCTAGCGCGCCGAGCACGGCTAGGCTCACGCCAAACAGGCCCTCGATACGGCCGCGGCTCTGCTCCAGCAGCTCCGCCTTCTCAGCTGGCGCAGTGAACTCGTCCAGCACCGCCCGGGCCGCCATGGCGGGCGCGGCCTCCCGCGGCGGCGCCGGGGGCCGGCGGCGGCGACGCCCCCTCAGCTTGCTGCCGCTGCTCCCAAGCCAGTCAGGCGGCGTCGGCCCTTCCCGGCCGCCTCGCCCCCGCCCGCGCCCCGCCGCCCGCCCTCAGGCCCGGCTATACCATCCCGCCACGACCGCAGCAGCTTGGCAATTGCTGGCAGCGAACCCCTCCGCCCCTTTGCCGCCGCCGCGGGCCGGGCCCCGCCGCCGCGCATGCGCCCCGGCCGCAGCCGTCATTGAGGCTCGCCGCCCCCTAGGGGAAGGGAGTAGGGTGAAGGCGACGGAAGTTGACGTCACCCTCAGTCGCCATGTTGGTTGAGAATAAAGGGATGGTTTTGGAGGCCTGGGCGGACTTCTTTGATGAGGGGAAACCGCTTTCGCGGGATCTGGTGGATGTAGATATATGGGTTTATAGTTGGGGAAACTTAATTGCCAGGAGGCGAGACTGAGAGTGTCACAGGGATTGGACTTGACCTCAGACATCTTGACGCTCAAACCAGGATTCTAGCAGTTGAGTTATTCAGTTTCACGTTAATCCACAGGCAGACGGGACTTTTCTTTCTCTGTTTCTTCCCTTCCTCCCTACCCTTTTACCTTCTTAGCTGCCCTTCTCACTTTTTTCTCTTTCCCTTTTTATTTCTTTCAGTAAAAATGGTAGCAAGAAGAGAAGAAAATGGGCATACTTACGGAGAATTGAAAATCAAAAAAATGATTAAGATAAATTCAAGAAGGCCGGGCGCGGTGGCTCACGCCTGTAATCCCAGCAGTCTGTGGGGGCAGAGGCGGGTGGATCACTCGAGGTCCGGAGTTCGAGACCAGCCTGACCAAAATGGAGAAACCCCCGTCTCTGCTAAAAAAAAAAAAAAAAAAAAAAAAAAAAAAAAAAAAAAAAAAAAAAATTAGCGCGGCGTGGTGGCACATGCCTGTAATCCCAGCTACTAGGGAGGCTGAGGCAGGAGAATCGCTTGAACCCTGGAGGCAGAGGTTGCGTGCGGTGAGCCGAGATTGCGCCATTGCACTCCAGCCTGGGCAAGAAGAGCGAAACTCCGTCTCAAAAAAAAAAAAAAAGATAAATTCAGGAGAGTGATTTCTTCTGTGAGGGAAGAAAGGGGATATGTTATGGGAGAAGCCCGAAAAGTGGGAGTTTGGGGGCTCACTCATGATCTTCCCTGGGACTGGAGCAAATAAACCCTAACCCCTCTCCAGGTCTGTTTTCTGATCTGTAAAATAAAAGAGTACACTCAGTTATCTCTAAGGCCTTTTCCAGGCCTTTATATTCTCTGAGTCCATGAAAACAGATTGTGGAAGATAAAGTGTTGGATTCCTTTCCTTCAGCTAAATATTGTGGCTATAGTAGATAGGGGCTCTGGGAATATTACCTCTCTCTGTTTTAATTTTTCATCTATAAAATGTAGATAATAATAGTACTTCCTATTGTGAATATTAATACAGCACCCAACACTGTAAGTGCTCACTGAACATTATTATTGCTAACTTAAGCAATATATTTAAGGCCTAATTTTCAGGGAAAATCTTTGTGTGGATTATGCAACCACAGTGAACTTGTGGGCCCAGGAGTCTGTGCCATCTGTGTACATCCCTGCTAGAGGAAAAAGAGGAGGAGCTAAAGATGCTGTAGTTGGAAATACCAAGGGGGAATGGTCTCTGTAGGAGGATTTACCCAAGGTAAAACCTATGAGAGATCCAGGCTTCTGGGGGTTTCCATATGTCTCAGAAACTCAGGTGTGGTCTCCCAGTGCCCCACCAAGAAGTGATTCAGCACAGGGAAGAGAACCACTAGGCTCACAGATCAACAGATTCCTGCTCCCCTGGGCTTTTCCCTTGATGTCCACACAACCAGCAGCCTTGCTCCATCAGGTAGATGACGTGGGATTGGCTGAGGCAGGTCAGGTGGCGAGTGTGGCATTGCTGATGCATTGCTTGCAGAACCGCAGTCTATCAGTAAGGCATGTTGTCAACACAGCATGTTATTTCCTGCCTTATTGCACTCACCTTAAACGGAATTGCTATTGTTCAGTGATTAGACAGGGCTTTCCCCAGGGCTGGTTCCTGTTTGCTCCCAGTGACTTCCCTGCTTGCGATTCTTAATTGCTTAATTGTAAGAGGTGAAGAGGGAGGCTGCCTTGAAAAACACACCACAGTGCCTTCCTCTCCCCACTTCCCTCCAAAAAAATCCCACCCAAAACCAACAGAAGCAGTGCATACACACACCCTTAAAAAATGCTGGGCCAAGAAGCTGTGCTAATAAGTCACTGGGTTGGTGTATAATTGAAGATACATAGTTTTGGGAGGTTTTTCCTCCAGTTTTAATTTAAGACTTGCCAGGCTGGGTGTGGTGGCTCACACCCGTAATCCCAGCACTTTGGGAGGCCAAGGAGGGCGGATCACTTGAGCCCAGGAGTTGGAGACCAGCCTGGCCAACGTAGTGAAACCCCGTCTCTATTCAAAATATAAAAAATTAGCTGGGTGTGGTGGCACATGCCTGTAATCCTAGCTACTCGGGAGGCTGAGGCAGGAGAATTGCTTGGACCCCGGAGGCGGAGGTTGCAGTGAGCCAAGATCGCGCCACTGCACTCCAGCCTGGGTAACAAGAGCAAGATTCCATCTCAGAAAAAAAAAAAAAAAAAAGACTTGCCAGTTCATATTTGATCAGCATTTCCCTTTAGGGAACTCTCAAGGTTTCCTGAGTGTAAGGAACAAGGAGAAAGAGAGAGAGAAAAAAAAAATCCCCTTTCAAGAACTTCCTTGCTTCATGCTGTTTCTCACTCAACCACAACTTCCCTCGGTTAACCAGCCTTGCCTATCTGGCTGGCCTGACCAGCCAGGACAGTCGATGCCAGAGATGAAACCTTATGAATTCTGTATTCTAGATACTTTAGCTGTGTTTTTCCTTAATCTCATAACAACCTCAAGAGCCCATAAAATGGTATTGAGAGAATCACTTATTTTTGCTTCTCATATTTTCAAGGACAGGAGGAGATTCCTATTCCATTCCCCAGCGGGGCCAAGTGTGGAGGAACATGTCTATCTAGCTTTCATTCTCCTTTTCCCCAGAGCAGGAGGAGGATTTCTCTGACTGATAACTTTCTGAGAAGGTGGGGTGCTGGGTTGGACCGCCCTGTACCCTGGTAATGGGCTGTCTGCAGTTGCTGTGTTAGTGACTGGGGGTAAAGTATTTTCACTTCAACCACATCCTCCAGTCTAGCTCTTGTCAGCAATGATGATGACATTTTGATCTCTACCTGCTTTTCTTCCTTAGTTCTGAACTCAGAAGGGGCAGAAAGAGTGTTTATTGGTCTCCTAAAACTCCAACAGTGGTTGCTATTGTTTTTCTTCCTGTTTCAAAGATGAGGAAACCAGCCGGGGGTGGTGGCAGGTGCCTGTAGTCTCAGCTACTTGGAAGCCTGGGGTGGGAGGATTGTTTAAGCCCAGGAGTTCAAGGTGTGCCTGGGCAACATAGCGATATCCTGTCTCTTACCTGCCCCCCCACAAAAAATGTAAATTAAGGGGGAAAAAAGAGGAAACAGAAGAATAGAGAAATTCTGGAATGTTCCACAGAGCTAGTCAGTGAAGTGGTAGAAATAGCCATTTGAATCCAGGCAGTCTGACTGTAAGCAGGCAGCTTGGCTTCAAACTGCATTTTAAAACCTTGTTTTCTTTCCTTCTTTCTCCCCAGTCTCAAGATACAACTTTGAGACAAGCTGCATATGTGTTTCCTGTCATCTTGACATACAGCCTTGGAATGGACTGTGAACCTCCACTCCCTATCCTTCCCCATTCCATTCTCCCATGCCATATGCTCATTTATTTACCCAAACACTCGTCAAGCACATACCATGCTCACTTATCTGGTCATGTATTTCCTTAGAAGCCTCAGGGGCTGGATTTTTTTTTTTTTTTTTTTTTTTGCGATGGAGTCTTGCTCTGTCTCCCAGGCTGGAGTGCAGTGGTGCCATCTCAGCTCACTGCAACCTCTGCCTCCCGGGTTCAAGCAATTCTCCTATCTCAGCCTCCCGAGCAGCTGAGATTACAGGCATGCACCACCACATCCAGCTAATTTTTTTTTTTTTTGAGACGGAGTCTCGCTCTGTCGCCCAGGCTGGAGTGCAGTGGCGGGATCTCGGCTCACTGCAAGCTCTGCCTCCCGGGTTCACGCCATTCTCCTGCCTCAGCCTCCCAAGTAGCTGGGACTACAGGCGCCCGCCACTACGCCTGGCTAATTTTTGTATATTTAGTATAGACAGGGTTTTGCCATGTTGGCCGGGCTGGTCTCAAACTCCTGACCTTGGGCGATCTGCCCACTTCGGCCTCTCAAAGTGCTGGGATTACAGGCCTGAGCCATTGCGCCCATCCAGGGGCTGGATCTTGACATGGACCGTATGCCTCCAGAATTCTCTCCCCGGTCAAGGCTGAAATTTACTCCTGGCTACACTCACTCACGTTTACTCATGCTCACGCACTAGAAATTAACTGCAAGATTGGCTGAAGTTCATTTGTAACCTGGTCAGGCCCAGGATGGCACTGGCCCCTTCACCAAAGGGAACAATAATTCAAGATAAGCTGTTGGAGTGGATTGCACCACTGACCCCTCCTAGCCCCCTTCCTCTCCATTCCAAACCCCTCTCTCTTTAAAAACCCCTGCATTCCCCCCACAAATTGAAGGGTGGAAATTTTTGGAAAGAATCTCACCCACTCCTTCCCTTATTAGCATGGATAATAAAATCTCCTTATCACACTTTGCTCTTGTTATTCTGTCATTTTTGTACCAGTGGCGAGCAGACGGACCCTTTGCTGGTTACATGACTCTGCTGACTGGCCTTATGTGCTATGCCATAATGACAGCAGCAGCAAGCTTGGATATGCAGCCAGCCCCTTCTTCTGCCCTTGTGCAAAGGTAAGCAAGAGGAGAGCACATGGTCTCATGACCAACCCCTTAGTCTTGGACCTTCCTTGCCGTAGGATGCTGTCAAAACCAGACAGATGTGCACGTGGAATGTTGCTCGGCACACCCAACCAATCAGATCAGCAGACAAAGATGCTCTCTGGCCAGCAGTGTCCTGGGTTCCGTGTTTTTGGTACAATCACATGTAGGGCCTTCGAGTAAGAAACGGTTATATCATCATTCTTCAACTACACACACAAGGTTTTAATAAATTTGCAAACTGTTGAACGTCTCTCATCCCCTGTCAACAATCCAAGCCACCATCATCTCTCTGACAACCATGAGGTCTCCCCATAGCCTTTTTGGCCTGTCTGTAAGTGTCAAGAGCTACAACCAGTAGGAGATTCGGATAAATTATTTACAAATATCGATGCTGCAGCCAGAGTGATCTTCTCAAATTGCAAATCTCATCTGTCAGACCATTACTTAGGATCCTCCAAGAGCTTTCCCTCAGGGTCAGAATAAAATCCAAAGCCCTTGCCTTGAGTGGCAGCCCTTACCAGACCTGTCTCCTGCCTGCCCCACCTCTGCTCCTCTCTGCACTGGGCCCAGCTCACACCATGGCAGGGCATTTGCACTCACTGTTCCTTCCTCCTGTTTCCTTTTTTAAATTATTATTTTATTTATTTATTTATTGAAGTGGAGTCTCACTCTGTCTCCCAGGCTGAAGCGCAGTGGTGCGATCTTGGCTCACTGCAATCTCTGCCTCCTGGCTTCAAGCAATTCTCCTGCCTCAGCCTCCTGAGTAGCTGGGATCACAGGCGTGTGCTACCACTCCCAGCTAATTTTTTGTATTTTTAGTAGAAATGGGGTTTCACCATGTTGGCTAGGCTGGTCTCAAACTCCTGACCTCAGGTGATCCACCTGCCTTGGCCTCCCAAAGTGCTGGGATTATAGGCATGAGCCACCACACCTGACCACTTCCTCCTATTTTCTTTTTTCTTTCTTTTTTTTTTTTTTTTGAGACGGAGTCTCGCTCTGTCACCCAGGCTGGAGTGCACTGGTGCAATCTCAGCTCACTACAACCTCCGCCTCCTGGATTCAAGCAATTCTCCTGCCTCAGCCTCCCAAGTAAGTAGCTGGGATTACAGGTGTGAGCCACTGTGCCTGGCCAAGCCCTATTTTCATTTAGTTAACTCCTCACCCTCCAAAGCTCCACTGAAGAGTGATTTTGTCAAGAATTCATTCACTGGTCTCTCTGATGAGCCAAGTCTCCTGCTGTAGGCTCTTGGCACTGTGGTCCTGTCACTTGTGGCACCAGGGCCAGTTTTTTGTGTGCTTGAGTGATGGGATTGACTCAGGTCCACCTCCACCATCAGACTGTCAACTCTATGGGGGCAGTGATCTGAGGCCGAACTGAGCTCGACATATTCCAGGAACAGGGGACAGGGCAGGATGCAGCCCTCCAGAAACACCCAGAGACAGGATAAGGCCAGACCCTCCAGAATGCATGTGGTGGGCCTGTTACAGATTTTGTATTTTATTTTAGTATAATGAGGAAAAAAAGTCTTCCCGGGTTTTGTTTTGTTTTGAGACAGGGACTTGCTCTGTTGCCCAGGCTGGAGTGCAGTGATGCCATCGTAGCTCATTGCAGCCTCAAACTCCTGGGCTCAAGTGATCCTCCTGCCTCAGCCTCTCAGTCTGAATACCTAGGACTACAGACGAGCATCACCACACCTGACTAATTTTTAAATTTTTTGTAGAAACGGGGTCCCACTATGTTGCCCAGGCTGGTCTGGACTCCTAGCCTCAAGCAACCCTTCTGCTTTGGCCTCCCACAGTTCTGGGATTGTAGGAGTGAGCTGCTGCCCCTGGTGTTCCCAGGTTAAGCAGTGAATGCATCATCTAATTTATGCTGTAAGATCTGTCTCCCTTCTCTGGGGAAAAAGCGTGGAGGAGGCCAGAGTAGACTGGGAAGAACATAGGTATATATGTGTTTATATAGAATATCTTCCATACCACAGCAATTCCATCCAATCCCCTTTCTCAAACATGAAGGGGGGTGGATCACGAGGTCAGGAGATCAAGATCATCCTGGCTAACACGGTGAAACCCCATCTTTACTGAAAATACAAAAACAAAATTAGCCGGGCGTGGTGGCGGGCGCCTATAGTCCCAGCTACCAGGGAGGCTGAGGCAGGAGAATGGCGTGAACCCAAGAGGCGGAGCTTGCAGTGAGCCAAGATCGCACCAGTGCACTCCAGCCTAGGTGACAGAGCGAGACTCCGTCTCAGAAAAAAAAAAAAAAAACCACGAAGGGGCTGGGCTTCTCTCGGCATGGTAGCCAGGTTCCAAGTAAGAAAGTAAGACTATTTCACCAGCAAGTGTTCTTGCTGGAAGTAGAAGGAAGCCTCCACTTCCTTTTTCATGGAACACTTGCTGGTGAAATAGTCTTACTTGGAACCTGGCTACCATGCCAAGAGGAAACCCAGCCCCTTCATGTTTGAGAAAGGGGATTGGATGGAATATATATATATATAATATATATATATATATTTTTTCTTTTTTCTTCCCAGTGGCAGTATTGGTCTAGGTGCCAGAGGATGGGGGCTTGGACCAGGGAAGTTGCAGTGGGGAGGGAGTGGAGGAATCTGAGAGCTATTTTGGAGGAAGAATCTCTGCATTCAAGCGTGGAGGGCGTGCTTCTCCTTAGCTGCAGGAAAACCTCAATGCGTCTGCTGCTTCTAGTCTCTTATTCTCTCCCTTTATATATTTCCTTTGCATTTTTATTATCCATGTATTGAAACTCCTCTGACATTGATTCAAACTGCTACAACTGCCACAATACCGAGAGGAGCTATTTATAACACGCAGTCCTTAGGTGGGAATGCAGCTCTCTGCCAAGTGCTACTACAGAGATTGTCGGCAGTCTGCCAGCTCCCAAATGTTTCTAATTCAAAGCATTTTCCCATCACCCTCTACAGCTAGGATTTCTCAACAGGGGCACAATTGACATTTTGGGTGAGATAATTCTTTGTTGTAGGGACCTGTCTTGTGAATTGTAGGATGTTTAGCAGAATCCCTATCCTCTACTCACTAGATGCCAATAACAACCACTCCCCTACACCCGGTGTGACAAGAAAACCTCACCAGACATTGTCTAATGTCAAAACTGTCCCCAGTTGAAAATGATTGTTCTACAGAGATAATTCAGAGAAAGCCCTGCCCCTAGGGCTGAGCTAATAATTCAGCATTCAGCCAGGTGCAGTGGCTCATGCCTGTAATCCTAGCACTTTGGGAAGCTGAGGTGGGTGGACTGCTTGAGCCCAGAAGTTCAAGACCAGCATGGGGCACATAGCAAGACCCTCCCCCGCCCATCTCTGCAAAAGATCATAAAAAATTAGGCTGGGGACAGTGGCTCATGGCTGTAATCCCAGCACTTCGGGAGGCTGAGGCGGGCGGATCACCTGAGGTCAGGAGTTCGAGACCAACCCAGCCAACATGGTGAAACCCTGTCTTTTTTTTTTTTTCTTTTTTTTTGAGACAGTGTCTCTCTCTGTCACCCAGGTTGGAGTGCAGTGGCCCAATCTCGGCTCACTGCAAGCTCCGCCTCCCAGGTTCACGCCATTCTCCTGCCTCAGCCTCCTGAGTAGCTGGGACTACAGGCGCCCGCCACCACACCCAGCTAATTTTTTGTATTTTTAGTAGAGACAAGGTTTCACCCTGTTAGCCAGGATGGTCTCGATTTCCTGACCTCATGATCTGCCCGCCTCGGCCTCCCAAAGTGCTGGGATTACAGGCGTGAGCCACCGAGCCCGGCCTAAACCCTGTCTTTACTAAAAATACAAAAATTAGCCAAGTGCAGTGGTGTGCACCTGTAATCCCAGCTACTCAGAAGGCTGAGGCAGGAGAATAACTTGAACCTAGGAGGTGGAGGCAGCAGTGAGCCAAGATTGTACCACTGCACTCCAGCCTGGGTGAGAGTACAAGACTCTGTCTCAAAAAAAAGAAAAAAGAAAAAAAAAAAGCCAGGCAGAGTGGTCTTAGCTACTTGGGAGGCTGTGGTGGGAGGATGGATTGAGCTTGGAAGGTTGAGATTGCAGTGAGCCATGATTGTACCACTGCACTCTAGCCTGGGTAATAGAGTAAAACCCTATCTCAAAAAAAAAAAAAAAAAAATTTGGCATCCTCTTTCTACATACTCCATGGGACACACACATCAAATCTAATGAAGGCTTCTCAGCTCCCTGTATGGGGTGTGAAAGAACAATTAGTTAAGGGTTTGTGGTTGGTTGTGTGTCCACCAAAGTGACTGGGGCATCAGCCCACTATCTCTCACTGCTTCTCATTGGCTCATCAATAGAACACATTCTTGCCAGGCCTACCTGTCTTTAAAGCCCAGCCCAATTCTCACTTCTTCCATGAAACCTTCTTGTCCTACTCAACTTCCTGTGGCTGGTTAGGACAATTGAATAATTGATTACTTAATTGATTGATTCATTCATTCAACAAATATTTACTGAGCACCTACTAAGTGCCAAGCATTCTAAGTGCTGGGAATATAACACTAAACAAAGCAATGTCTGTTCTCATCAGCTTACATATGAGAGGGGAAGGCAGGCAATGAATGAATGAACAAATGAATAAATGTTACAGTGTCAGTGAGCAACTGCTGGCAATTCTTCCCTCTAACAGCCCCAAGTCTCAGGCTGGAGAGGCGCTTGGAGGTGACTCTTCACTATAAGGCCCTGTCTGACCCACCCTCTTTAATTTACAGAAGACGAAACCAGGAGCAAGAGGGGAAGTGCCTTGCCCACAGTTCCATGGTTATCTTTCCCTACAGCATAACCCAATGCAGATACCTCTTCAATCACAGGCTCACTGAGGGTGTGTCTAGGGAAGGGCCACTCTACCTCCTCTATCTTCCTTGCATTCACTTGCCTGGCCAGCTGCCCTGGGTCCTGCCTCCCTGCAGCTGCCTCCACAGCAGCAATGCACTGGGGCAGAGGCAGGAAGACCCCTCAGGAAGGAAGCGGGACAGGTGATCGGTCACCAGATATGGGAGGCCAGCCAGGTGACCTCTTGAGACCACCTGACCCTGTGATGCCATCAGCTTGGCATCAGACGTCAGGTCAGGGGTGGGGCGGGCTCACAGGAAACCAGGCCTTTTCTATTCCTTGTCTGTGTTAGGTAGTTTCCAAAGATGGTCCTCAGAAATTCCTTCCTTCCTGCATGTGCGTACTTCCCTTTAAAAATCTGGACTGGTCTTGTGACTTCATTGACTAATAGAATTCAGTGGAAGTGATGTTCCAGAACTTCCAAGATCAATGCTTAGGAAGATGAAAGCTTCTACTTCCTTTTTCTTGGAACACTTGCTGGTGAAACAGTCTTGCTTGGAACCTGGCTACCATGCCAAGAGGAAGCCCAGCCCCTTCATGTTTGAAAGAGGGGATTGAATGGAATTGCTGTGGTATGGAAGATATTCTATATAAACATATACATATATATATATACACACACACACATATATACACGTATATTCATTGCTTTTCCAAAACTCCCTGCATGCCTAATCCTGTACAAGGAACTAGGCTATGCACCAAGCACTTAGAACAGTAGGTGTTCAGCAAATACTGATTGACCGACTCTACATGAATGATCTCATTTAGCCGCAACAAACAATTCTATGAAGTAGGCGTTATGCCCATTTTACAGATTAAGAAACTGAGGCTTAGAGAGATTAATTAACTTGACTGCAGTCCCCACCACTAGGAAGGGACTGAGCCAGGACTGTCACAGCGGGTGTGCAATATTGAAGACTTCCCGGCAGAACTAGAGGGGCAGAGGCATGCCTTGGCTCCCCTTGAACTCTCCCACTCCCAAACTCATACCAGGCTAGTTTAGGGACTGCCCAGGATCAATAATTGGGATTTCTTGACTTAAAGAGCTCCAGGACAAGGTGGCACAAATGGCCTTTCCATATTCCAGGATTGCAGGACACACACAGTGGGGAGGGTGCTCCTTCTACTTGACCATGGGCTCTTGGTTCTCTGAAATAATAGGAGAGACCATTTGCACACTTTGTTACAAAACTCTTGCATACCAGACTGGGCACCACAGCAAGGCCCTATCTCTGTAAACCATAAAATAACTACCTGGGCATGGTGGTGGGTGCCTGTAGTCCCAGCTACTTGGGAGGCTGAGGTGGGAGGATCACTTGAGCCCAGGATTTCGAGGCTGCAGTGAGCCATGATCAGGCCACTGCATTCCAGCCTGGGCAACAGAGCAAGACCCTGTCTTTAAAAGAAAAAAAAAACCAACTGCATGCACTGAAAGACACGGTTGGCCAGGCAATTCCTCCCTCTAACAGCCCCAAGTCTCAGGCTGGAGAGGTGCTTGGAGACGACTCTTCACTACAAGGTCCTGTTTGACCCACCTTCTTTAATTTACAGAAGAGGAAGCCAAGAGCAAGAGGGGAAGTGCCTTGCCCACAGTCCCATGGTTATCTTTCCCTACAGCGTAACCCAGTGCAGACACCTCTTCAATCACAGGCTCACTGAAGCTGTGTCTGGGGAAGGGCCACTCCACCTCCTCTATCTTCCCTGCACTCACTTGTCTGGCCAGCTGCCCTGGGTCCTGCCTCCCTGCAGCTGCCTCCACAGCAGCAATGCACTGGGGCAGAGGGAGGAAGACCCCTCAAGAAGGTTGTGGGACAGGTGATTGGTCACCAGATATGGGAGGCCAGCCAGGTGACCTCTTGGGACTACCTGACCCTGTGATGCCATCAGCTTGGCATCAGACCTCAGGGGTGGGGTGGGCTCACAGGAAACTGGGCCTCTACCCTTCCCCTCCAGCTTACCAGTCAAAAATAACTTGCAGTTTCCGGAAGAACGTGCATCTTGCAAGAAGCCCTGGAATCTGCTGCCCGGCACAGAATGTCGGTCAGGGTTGAACCCCTCTCTCTCCGGCTTTGCTTGGCTTTCCTTTCACCACCTGTTACCTCATTTCATTCAGAATTCCTGTTGGTTTCTGCGCTGGAATCCCTGATTTTCCTCAAGTGTGGAAAACACAGCACTGATGAGATACCAGTTGCTTTTCAGCGGTAAACTGACAGACTTGTAAGAAATCATGACTGTTGTGTATTTATTTTTATAGTTCTCTTATGTTTTGGTGAGAAATACTGGGCTTCTAGTTAGTATAGCAATAAACTATTTCCCTTATATTTAGCTCTACTTATTTACTTTTTTTTTTTTAATACAGATAACTCTTGTTTGTTTATTTTAGAGACAGAGTCTTGCTCTGTCGCCCAGGCTGGAGTGCAATGGTATGATCTCGGCTCACTGCAGCCTTGAACTAACTCCTAAGCTCAAGCGATTCTCCTACCTCAGCCTCCTGAGTAGCTGGGACTACAGGTGTGCACCACTGCACCTGGCTAATTAAAAAAAAATGGGCATTTGATGTCGGTGCCTGCTTGGGTCTCTTCCAAGCATACTTTCCTTTCCTTTCTTTCCTGTTCTAAAGCCTTTTAAATAAACTTACACTCCTGCTCTGAATTTTTTCTTTTTTTTTTGAGAAATGAGGTCTTGCTATGTTGCCCAGGTTGCTCTCAAATTTCTGACCTCAAGAGATCCTCCAGCCTGGGCTTCCCAAACTGTTGGGATTGCAGGCATGAGCCACTGTACCTGGCCTACATTTAACTTTAAACAGTTGAGTTGAAGAAAAAAATAACTGAGTCATATTTCAGGTGACATGTAGGTACGTCCAAAATCATCAAGGGGATGTAAATGACTCAGAGTGGGAAATTCTCAGTTGGTGCCCCAGGACCGAGGACTCTGTCCCTGGGGTGGGGGTTGCTAGCAGCCGCAGGTCTTTGGGGAAGCCCGTGTAGGGTCTAAGACCACCGAGCTGGCGACCGAGTCCTGGCCCCTCCGCTCCTGGTGCTGCGCGGCCTTCCCTGCTCCCGGGCCAGGCTTCCCCATTTCTGCAAGGCGGAGGGTCCGCCCGCCCTTCCTGCGGAGACACTCGCTTTTTTTTTTTTAATTTTAATTTTAATTTTTATTTGACTTTAAGTTCTGGGATACATGTACAGAACGTGCAGGCTCGTTACATAGGTATACATGTGCCATGGTGGTTTGCTGCACCTATCAACCCGTCATCTAGGTTTTAAACCCCGCATGCATTAGGTACTTGTCCTAATGCTCCCCCTCCGCTTGCCCCCCACCCACCGATAGGACCCGGTGTGTGATGTTCCTCTCCCTGTGTCCAGGTGTGTTCCCATTGTTCAACTCCCACCCCTGGACACTCGCTTTTTCACCCTCCTGCCAGCTTTTCTGCTTAGACCTGGACACAGAGTGCAGCGGGAAACTTTCAGCTCTCACACATACCTATCAAGCATTTATTGAGCTCCTGTGAACACAGACACTCCTGCTCTCTCCAGGAAGCGCTCCCGGCTCAGGGCGCCTTGGGTCCGTGGCGCCACCTGCTGTTCTCGCGGCGCCAGCGCAGTCTGCGAGGCCGTCCCAGCTCTTTCCACCCGAGCGCGAGGTAGACGCCGGGGCCACCCGCAGCACGCAGAGCTTCTGGGAGCCGGTGGCAAGGCCGAATTGGGATGCAAACCAAATGGACGTGGGTGACTGGCAGAAAACGCCTCCCACAAATGGGAGGGATTTCGGAGGGAACCGAAAGAAAGTTGGTAAGCACCCACAGCCCCGAGCTTGGCTTTTGTTTTTTCTCTCTGACAAAAAAGCTTGGAAGGGCACTTCCAGGCAACCAGGGGCGACTGGGTCAGCTGCTACCCGCGCTGCTTCCTCGAATGTGGAGAGAGCAGCTGGGGAGGTGGGGGAGTGCATCAGAAGCTCAGTAAAATGCAACGGGGACTTTGCACCCTCTTTTTGCTGCTTCAAGTGGACAGAAGGTGATCAGATGTCAGAGCGGGGAGGGCGACTTCCTCCATCCCTACCCCCGCCCTCAGGTCACATGAGGGAAATTACTCCCCAAAGCTCTCTTTCTTAACACTGTCTGGTGATGACTCCAGAACTTCTCAGCATCTAGAACGACAACCTTAGCACGTCAGTCTGCCTGGGCCTGCCACCTCCGGAGGCCCAGAAGTGACACCGAAGGACACAGGGCATCTCCATCTAGCTGTTCTCAGCTTTGATGTGCCCGAATTAAAGGGGTAGGGTGGGCTGGGAGCGGTGGCTCACGCCTGTAATCCCCGCACTTTGGGAGGCCTTGGGCGGGGGGGGGGGGGGGCGCGGATCACGAGGTCAGGAGTTCGAGACCAGCCTGGCCAACATAGTGAAACCCCGTCTCTACTAAAAATACAAAAATTAGCAGGGCATGGTGGCGCGTGCCTGTAGTCCCAGCTACCCGGGAGACTGAGGAAAGAGAATCGCTTGAACCCGGGAGGCGGAGGTTGTGGTGAGCAGAGATCCGCCACTGCACTCCAGCCTGGGTGATAGAACGAGACTCGACCTCAAAAAAAAAAAAAAAAAAAAGAGGGGCAGGGTGTTAAAATACAGTAGCAGTAGCTTAGGTTCCATCCACCTCTATTAGATTCTGGCTCAGTGGGTTTGGGGTGGGACTCTTGGCATGGATATTTTTAACAGGAACCCCAGGTGTTCCTGGTGCTCCATAGGTTGAGAACTCCTGCCCTGGCTTCCAAGGCACGCGCTTTGTCCAACATTCTTCCAAGTGCAGTGCAAAATAAAGAGTCACTGTGAACTCGCAGCGCTCTTGGGCTAGATTATGTGCTCCTTGCTTTACAAGAATTCTCATTTAATGCTCCCGGGAATGCTTTGATGGACATCATTTTCATGTGCATTTTGAAGAACGGGGAAGCCTGGGTAACATGGCGAAACCTTGTCTCTACCAAAAGTACAAAAACTAGCCAGACATGGCGCATGCCTGTAGTCCCAGTTACTCGGGAGGCTGAGATGGGAAGATTGCTGGAGCCGGGGAGGTCAAGGCTGCAGTGACCCGAGATTGAGCCACTGCACTATTCAGCCTGGGCGACAGAGCAAGACCCTGTCTTGAAAAAAAAAAAAAAAAAAAAGAATGGGGAGACAAAGACTTAGAGAACTTACTTGACTTTTCCAATGCCAGTAAATGGCAGGGACAGGATTTGAATTCAGTTCAGTATGATTTCAAGGTACATGTTCCCCTTTTTTTCTCTTTCCCAGTATAACAAGTCTCCTTACTCAACTGAAATAGACATCAATGATGTATTTGGGCATAATGATTTTTTTTTTCTTCTTTTTTTTCTAATTTGACTTTAAGTTCTGGGATACATGTGCAGAACGTGAAGGTTTGTTACACAGGTATACATGTGCCATGGTGGTTTGCTGCACCTATCAACCTGTCATCTAGGTTTTAAGCCCCACATGCATTAAGTATTTGTCCTAATACTCTCCCTCCCCTTACCCCCCATCCTCTGACACGCCCCGGTGTGTGATGTTCCCCTCCCTGTGTCCATGTGTTCTCATTGTTCAACTCTCACTTATGAGTGAGAACATGCAGTGTTTGGTTTTCTGTTCCTGTGTTAGTTTGCTGAGAATGATGGTTTCCAACTTTATCCATGTCCCTACAAAGGACATGATCACACTCTTTTTTATGGCTGCATAGTATTACATGCTGTATATATGCCACGTTTTCTTTATCCAGTCTATCATTGATGGGTATTTGGGTTGGTTCCAAGTTTTTGCTATTGTAAATAGTGCTGCAATAAACGTACGTGTGCATGTGTCTTTATGACAGAATGATTTATAATCCTTTGGGTGTATACCCGGTAATGGGATTGCTGGGTCAAATGGTATTTCTGGTTCTAGATCTTTGAGGAATCGCCACACTGTCTTCCACAATGGTTGAGCTAATTTACACCGTCACCAACAGTGTAAAAGCATTCCTATTTCTCCACATCCTCTCCAGCATCTGTTGTTTCCTGACTTTTTAATGATCACCGTTCTAACTGGCGTGAGATGGTATCTCATTGTGGTTTTGATTTGCATTTCTCTAATGACCAGTGATGATGAGCTTTTTTTCATATGTTTGTTGGCCACATAAATGTCTTCTTTTGAGAAGTGTCTGTTCATATCCTTCATCCAATTTTTAATGGGGTTGTTTGTTTTTTTCTCGTAAATTTGTTTCAGTTCCTTGTAGATTATGGATATTAGACCTTTGTCAGATGGATAGATTGCAAAAATTTTCTCCCATGCTGTAGGTTACCTGTTCATTCTGATGATAGTTTCTTTTGCTGTGCAGAAGCTCTTTAGTTTAATTAGCTCCCATTTGTCAATTTTGGCTTTTGTTGCCATTGCTTTTGGTGTTTTAGTCATGAAGTCTTTGCCCATGCCTATGTCCTGAATGGTATTGCCTAGGTTTTCTTCTAGGGTTTTTATGGTTTTAGGTTTTACATGTAAGTCTTTAATCCATCTTGAGTTAATTTTTGTATAAGGTGTAAGGAAGGGGTCCAGTTTCAGTTTTCTGCATATGGCTAGCCAGCTTTCCCAGCACCATTTATTAAATAGGGAATCCTTTCCCCATTGCTTGTTTTTGTTAGGTTTGTTGAAGATTAGATGGCTGTAGATGTGTGGTGTTATTTCTGAGGCCTCTGTTCTGTTCCATTGGTCTATATATCTGTTTTGGTATCAGTAGCCTTGTAGTATAGTTTGAAGTCAGGTAGCATGAGGGCATAATGATTTTTAAATTGATTTCTTAAATAGGCAACACAGGGCTGGGCGTGGTGGCTCACGCCTGTAATCCTAGTACTTTGGGAGGCTGAGGTGGGTGGATCACAAGGTCAGGAGATCGAGACCATCCTGGCCAACATGGTGAAACCCTGTCTCGACTAAAAGTACAAAAAAAATTAGCTTGGTGTGGTGGCCAGGTGCCTATAATCCCAGCTACTCAGGAGGCTGAGGCACAAGAATCGCTTGAACCTGGGAGGTGGAGGTTGCAGTGAGCTGAAATTGTGCCACTGCACTCCGGCCTGGTGACAGAGTAAGACTCCATCTCAAAAAAAAAAAAAATTACATAAGTATTAAAATACATTCATAACAATGTGAATATACTTAACGTTACCAAACTGTACAGTTGAAAGTGGTAAAGATTATATATTTTATGTTGTGTTTTTTTATACCACAATTTTTAAAAAGGCATTCAGTGGAAGGGCGCCCACAGATGGGAGGGATTTTGGAGGGAACCGAAAGACAGTTGGTAAGCACCCACAGCCCCAAGCCTGACCTTTTTTTTCTCTCTAACATGAAAGCTTGCAAGGACACTCACCATGTGCCCTGCTTATTCAATTAATCACTTAATTGATCATGCTGTCATCTTTTTCTGCATTATAACTCCCTGAAGTAGGTGCCATTATTATTCCCTATTTTGAGATGAAGAAAATAATGCACAGAGAGGCTGAGCAACTCATCAGGGTCACACAGCTCCTGAATGGCAGATTGTGAGTCCGGGAGGTTTGGCTCCAGGCGTTGCCCTCCTTTCTACTCTCTGCTGCCTCTGTGGCCTTTTCTCTTTGTCTTGGGAAGTCAGGGAGGGAAAGCTGGGCCACGTTTACTTTAATTCAGCATAAAACAATAACAAGGCAACCAGGGGCAACTGGGTCTGCTCCTACCTGCACTGCTCTCTCTGTCTCTGTCCCCCGTCTTCCTAGTGGACTCCCTTAGGGATAACCACTACTGTTTGTTTTTTGTGGAACTTTCCACCTTTTTTTTTGTATGTGCGTTGGGGTTTCAATCTGTTGCCCAAGGTGGCGTGCAGTGGAACGATCAAGGGTCACTTCAGCCTCAAACTCCTGGGCTCAAGTGATTCTCCTGCCTCAGACTCCTTAGTTGCTGGGACTATCTTTCTACATTTTATTTTATTTATTTTTATTTTTATTTTTGAGATGGAGTCTCAATCTGTCACCCAGGCTGGAGTGAAGTAGTGTGATCTCTGCTCACTGCAACCTCCACCTCCTGGGTTCACACAATTCTCCTGCCTCAGCCTCCTAGTAGCTGGGATTACAGGTGCATGCCACCATGCCCAGCTAATTTTTATATTTTTAGTAGAGATGGGGTTTCGCCATGTTGGCCAAGCTGGTCTCGAACTCCTGACCTCAGGTGATGATCTGCCTGCCTCAGCTTCCCAAAGTGCTGGGATTACAGGTGTGAACCACCATGCCCAGCCGTAGCTTGTTATTTTCATAGGACGAAATCTATCTATATAAGAACATTGAGAGCCCCCACATTCTATTGCTTTTATCTGCTCAAGCAGCTTATTTTACAATTTCTTTCACTAGTTCCCTAATGATGGGCATTTATTTTATTAATTTTTAGAGATGAGGTCTCCCGATGTTGCCCAGGCTGGAGTGCAGTGGCTATTCACAGGTGCAATCATAGTGCACTATAGCCTTGAACTCCTGGGCTCAAGGGATCCTGCTACCCCAGCGTCCAGAGTAGCTGAGACTGTACCTGGTTTCCTGAAGGGCAGTTTGTTTCCAGTCTCTTGAAGACACATTGTTAACTATGACCCAGATGAGCAGGCTCAAATTACCCAGGGTTTAAACTGCAACTACAGAGTAAAGAGTGTCTAGACTCACCCTTGAAAACAGCCAGGCCCCACATTTGAGACCAGCCACCTTATCTCAGTAAATGCGAGGCTGTTTCTCCTCCGGCCTTGGAATGGATCACTGTTGAGGCACCATGTGAAGTCGCAGGTGTGCATTTAGAGGCCTGATGGTACAAATCATGTCTTTACACACTGCAGTCATTCGCGTTGTGGTCAGCTCCTGCTGCAAGAGTCTTTTGGAACAAAGGGCCTAGTGGATTCACAGCCTCCATCTCATGTCCTCTGTGGTCTCGTTGCATCCATAATGAGTGGACTCACTCAAGGTGTTAAACTTGTTTGGGGAGTGTAGGAGCAGATGAACATACAGATGAGCTTTGACAGTTCCTGTGGGGTGCTGGTGGCTGCCTTATGCTGAGCTGCGTGGTGGTGATTGCTCCCCATGGGTGCTCCGATGGGCCTTCTGCGATCACTTTCCCCACTCTCCCTCATCAGACTGTGAGCTCCCTAAAGCCCAAAGTGGAGATCATGGGTCCCTGCAGTTCTCACAGCCTTGGACATAAGCCCTCGGTGCAGACAATGACTGAGCACTCACCATGTGTCCTGCTTATTTAATTTATCACTTAATTGATCATGCTGTCATCTTTTTCTGCATAATAACTCCCCGAAGTAGGTGCCATTATTATTCCCTATTTTGAGATGAAGAAAATAAGGCACAGAGAGGCTGAGCAACTCGTCAGGGTCACACAGCTCCTGACTGGACAGACTGTGAGTCCGATAGATTTGGCTCCAGGCGCTGCCCTCCTTTCCACTCTCTGCTGCCTCCGTGATCTTTTCTCTTTGTCTTGAGAAGTCAGGGAGGGAAAGCTGGGCCACGTTTACTTTAATTCAACATAAAACAATAACATTTGATTTAGCAGAGTGTATTGTGTTTGAGTTCCGGCTCTGCTAATAATTAGCTGTTACAACCTTGGGACAGTTACTTAATGTTTTCATTTATCATCCATAAAACGGCAACAATGACACTGATTTCACAGGGCTGTTGTGCGGCTGGGTGAACCGGCATGCATAAGGAACTCGGCTCACTGCAGCCTTGACTTCCAAGAGGTCGCCAATTCCATTTGCCACAAATGGGCCAGGTCCTCAGAGTATGGGGCCCGGAACCGCAGCACAGACCTCACTCAAGAGCTTGTTAGAAATGCACAGTGCTGGCTGGGCGCGGTGGCTCACACCTGTAATGGGAGGCCGAGGCGGGCGGATCTCCTGAGCTCAGAAGTTCGGAATGACCCTGGGCAACATGGTGAAACCCCGTCTCTACTGACATACAAAAAATTAGCTGGGCGTGGTGATACGCGCCTGCAGTCCCACCTACTTGGGAGGCTGAGGCACGAGAATCGCTTGAGCCCCCGGAGGTGGAGGTTGCGGTAAGCTGAGATTGCACCACTGCACTCCAGCTTGGGCTACAGAGTGAAGAATTCGTCTCAAAGAACAAAAACAAAAACAAACAAACAAAAAAGAAATGCACAGTGCCAGGCCCCATCCCACAGCCCCAAGCCTGACCTTTTTTTTCTCTCTAACATAAAAGCTTGCAAGGACACTCGCCATGTGCCCTGCTTATTCAATTAATCACTTAACTGATCATGCTGTCATCTTTTTCTGCATAATAACTCCCTGAAGTAGGTGCCATTATTATTCCCTATTTTGAGATGAAGGAAATAAGGCACAGAGAGGCTGAGAATCGGAATCTGCATTTTCATAAGGTGCCCAGGTGAGGCGTAAGCGTGCTACAGCCCTAGAAGCCCTTCTCTACAGCAGTGGATTCAATCACCTTCCACTAGGACCCCCCGCCCAGTTATACCCGTGGTGTGGGGTTGGGGCTGGGCAGCCCAATTTTACCAGCTGCTTCAGCCTATTCTGAGGTGTGGGGATCCAGCTACAAGAAAGAGCAGAGATAAAAGACGGAAGCAGTTTCATCATTTTTGATGTGACAAGGAAGTCACGTTTTTGTCTGGAGTTCTCGGACTCTGTCATCTTTTTCTGGGTTCTCCTTCCGTCCTGACTCAACTTGGCATTTTGAGAAATGAAGCTTTAGCGACTCAGGAAGGGTGGCCAGAGACAACAGTGCCACCTTGTGGCAGCAGCCTGGCATTACAGTCCTGGAAGGCGGCTGTTTAAATGGAAAGAACTGTGATAACAGGGTAGTCATAGAGAAATCTCAGCGAGCCTTTATTATATGCCAGACGCCATGCCAAGTCTTCTTCATGGATTTGTTTATTTAAAACTCACAAGAGTAAGAAGTAGATACTATTATTATCCCAGTGTTACAGGCCTGGAGGAATGGAGCTTGAGAGAGAGGGAGCTATGCTCATGATCTCTGGGTAGTGAGGGCTGGAGCTGGGGCCAGCTTGGGCAGTCGGGCTTTAAAGTCCACGATTCCAACCCTTTTTTTCTTTTTTTTTGAGAAGGGGTCTCACTCTGTCACCCAGGCTGGAGTGCAGTGGTGCAATCTCGGCTCACTGCAACCTCTGCTTCCCAAGTTCAAGCGATTCTCTTGCCTCAGCCTACCGAGTAACTGGGATTACAGGCACTTGCCACCATTCCCCGCTAATTTTTGTATTTTTAGTAGAGATGGGGGATTCACCATGTTGGCCAGGCAAGTCTCGAACTCCTGACCTCAAGTGATCAACCTGCCTTGGCCTCCCAAAGTGTTGAGATTACAGGTGTGAGCCACCGCGCCTGGCCTGATTCTAACCTTTGGATATATTTCCTTTTTAAAAAAAGAAGGATCCCTTTCTGGTGGGGACCTCCAGATTTTAGACTCTTTAGACCTGTGCTATTTTATTGACTGGAGCCAAGCAGTGAAGCCCTGGGTGGGGAGCTGGGGACCTGGGCTCTGGTGTTAGCTCCCCTCTCTCCTACCCAGGGAGTCCCGGGCAGTCATTCAGGTTCTTTTTCTTAGTTTGTAGGTGGAGGATAATAATATTTCACCTGGGCCGGGCGCGGTGGCTCACGCCTGTAATCCCAGCACTTTGGGAGGCCGAGGCGGGCGGATCACGAGGTCAGGAGATCGAGACCATCCCGGCTAAAACGGTGAAACCCCGTCTCTACTAAAAATACAAAAAATTAGCCGGGCGTAGTGGCGGGCGCCTGTAGTCCCAGCTACTTGGGAGGCTGAGGCAGGAGAATGGCGTGAACCCGGGAGGCGGAGCTTGCAGTGAGCCGAGATCCCGCCACTGCACTCCAGCCTGGGCGACAGAGCGAGACTCCGTCTCAAAAAAAAAAAAAAATAAATAAATAAATAATATTTCACCTGTTCACCTTATAGCATCTTTGCAAGAATCTATGGAAAACAGACAATTGGAATTGAAATTGTATAGCAGTGGGAAAGGCAAGGTAGTGTCTGATATTCTTAGCAAATAGAAGGGTAAAAAGATGCGATTTTCCCTGATACCTCAAACCAACTGCACTTGAATTAACATAGAAACAGAAAACCAAATACCCCATGTTCTTACTTATAAGTGGGAGCAAAATATTGGGTATTGGGACACAAAGATGGAAACAATAGACACTGGGGACTCCTAGAGGGTAGAGGAAGAGAGCTGCAGGGGTTGGAAAACTACTTATTGGGTCCTATGCTTGTGACAGAATCAATCGTACCTTAAACTTCGGCATCATGCAATATACCCATGTAACAAACCTGCATGTATATCCTCTGCATCTAAAACAAAAGTTGAAATTAAAAAAGAAAAGAAGAGACGTGGCTGGGCAAGGTGGGTCACACCCATAATCCCAGTACTTTGGGTGGGCACCTGTAATCTCAGCTACTCAGGAGGCTGAGGCAGGAGAATCGCTGGAACCTGGGAGGTGGAGGTTGTAGTGATCTGAGATCACGCCACTGCATTCCAGCCTGAGGAACAAGAGTGAAACTCCATCTCAAAAAAAAAAAAAAAAAAGAAGAGACGTGGTTGTGCTAGGTTAATAATAAACCCTAAACTCTCAGCAGTTCAAAAGAACAGAGTGTCTTTCTCACCCCATGCTGTGTGTCCACTGCAGGTCCACCAGGGGCTCTGCTTGTCTTAGTCACTCAGGGGCCTTGTGTGACAGAGACTCCATCTCAACAAGTGCTTCTGTGACCCAGCAGGCAGTAAAAAGAGGATGGAGACCACAGACTGACCTGTCTGCTTCTGCCTAAAAGTGACACATGTCATTTTCACTCATACTTCATGGGCCAAAGCAGATCACATGGCCGTGCACGAGCTCAAGTGGGTGGAGAGGTGCAGCCCCACCATGTGCCCAGAAAGAGAGCTGAGCATTTGAGACCTTTCTTTCTTCTTTTCTGCTTTCCCTCTTCCCTTCTTCCTGCTTTCCTTCCCTTCTTATTTACTAAGTGCCTACTATTTAGATGATGTATCCTCACTGGGATTATCATTTGTTATTTAAAAAATTTAAATAATAAATTTAATTTGTTTTGTTATTTATTATTTACTTTTTTTTTTTTTCTGAGATGGGGTCTTGCTCTGTCACCCAAGCCAGAGTGCAGTGGCACGATCTCAGCTCACTGCAACCTCCGCCTCCCAGGTCCAAGCGATTCTCCAGCCTCAGCCTCCTGAGTAGCTGGGGTTACAGGCATGCGCCACCGTGCCAAGCTAATTTTTGTATTTTCAGTAGAGATGGGGTTTTGCCATGCTGGCCAAGCTGGTCTCAAACTCCTGAGCTCAGGTGATCCACCCACCTTGGCCTCCCAAAGTCCTGGGATTACCGATGTGAACCACTGTGCCTGGCCTGTTTTTATTTTCTAAAGATGGGGTCTTGCTCTGTTGCCCAACCTAGAGTGTAGTGGCTATTCACAGATATTATCATAGCTCACTGCATAGCTCACTGCAGAACCTGGGTTTACTGATGCACACCACTGCACCCAGCCTCACTGGGATTATAAAATAAGACAAAACTCCGTCCTCAAGGCTCACATGATCTCATGGCCGAGTCAGAAAAGCCGACCAAGATCAGCACAAGTTGATATGTGAACACAGATATGAGGCAGCTCACCCAGCCTGGTGTGAAGCTAAGGAAGGCTTCCTGGAGGACGTCCCCAAGGAAGGTAGGAACAAGCCTGATGAGAGGCAGGGGAACCTGAATAGCACAGCTCATGCCTGTAATCTTAGCTACCAAGAAGGCAGAGGCGGGAGGATATCTGGAATCCAGGTGTTCAAGACCAGCCCAGGCAACATAGCAAGACTCTTAAAAAAAAAAGACGCAGGGAGATCATTTTCAGCAGAAAGAGCAGAAGATGAAAATGTCTGCAGGAGAGCTCTGTGGCCAGCAGTAAGATGTTCTGCAGGCCTGAGGAATGTTGTGGGGGATGGTGTGAGGATGAGCAGGCACAGCAGGAAGTGGGTCCAGACCACTTAAGGCTTCAGGACCACTGGAGACTGGATTTCCTGAGAAGGCCATGGGGGCCATAGAGAGGCTGGTTAAATTTATTTTATTTTTTCCAATTTAGCCTTGACTTGAAACTCATAAATTTGTTTTCTCTGAGACAGGGTCTCACTATGTTGCCCAGGCTGAACTCAAACTCCTGGGCTTGAGCCATCCTCCTGCCTCAGTCTCCCGGGGTACTACAGGTGTAAGCCACCATGCCCGCCTGCCATAGAAAGGTTTTAAGCAGGACATTAACACTGTGAGGTCCTCTCTCTGTAGGGTGGGTTGGAGGGGAAAGGATTGAGAACAGAGAGACAGCACTTTGAGAGGCTGAGGCAGGTGGATCGCTTGAGGTCAGAAGTTCAAGAACAGCCTGGCCAACATGGTGAGATCCCGTCTCTACTAAAAATACAAAAATTAGCTGGGCGTGGTGGTGTGTGCCTGTAATCCCAGCTATTCAGGAGGCTGAGGCAGGAGAATTACTTGAACCTGGGAGGCGGAGGTTGCAGTGAGCCGAGATGGCACCACTGCATTCCAGCCTGTGCAACAAGAGTGAAACTCCATCTCAAAAAAAAAAAAAAAAAAAAGAAAGGAAAGATAGGATGCTGATGTCATAGCTAGAGGGAGATGACAGAGCCTCAAATGCAGGCAATGTTTGGGGACATAGAGAGGATAAAATTGATCAGAGAGGTGATATGCAGAGGCAGCCTATAGGACTTGGTTTTTATGGAAAGTGGGAGTAACGCTGAACCTTAAGAATGTCTGGGTTTCAAATGGCATGGAATGGCTGAGGTGTATTATTCATTCAGGATACTTATTAATGTCTATCATGGGTTCTTTCTGGGTGCTTGGAATACATCAGTGTTAAAAGAGACCAAAAAAAAAAAAAAGAAGACAATTCCCTGCCCTCGTGATCGTGAGGTTGATATTCCAGTGGGGGAGCAGGCAATAAATACCAAATCTAAATATGTACATTTTACAATATTAAAAAGTAGACCACATTGGGGGAAAGGCAGGGAAAGGATGGTCGGGAGAGTTGGGAAGGGAGGGGTGTCGATATTTTAAGTAGGGCAGTTAGAAAAGATCTCATTGAGGTTGGGCTGAGTGGCTCACACCTGTAATTCCAGCACTTTGGGTGGTCAAGACAGGAGGATTGCTTGAGCCTAGGAGTTCAAAACCAGCCTGGGCAACATAGTGAGATATCGTCTCTACAAATAAAAAAATTAGCCAGGTGTGGTGGTGCACACCTGTGGTCCCAGATATTCAGGAGGCTGAGGAGGAAGGATCATTTGAGCCCAGGAGTTTGAGGCTGCAGTGAGCTATGATTGTGCCACTGCACTCCATCCTGGGCAACAGAGTTCAGAAAAAGAATAAAAAGAAGAAATCTCATTGAGAGGTGATATTTGACAAGAGTCTTGAAGGAGGCAGGAGTAATGGAGAGGGTGCGTTCTCTGTTCCAGAGGCTAGACTGAGGGAGGAGGCAGGCGGCGTGCACACCAGTTCCCAGGAGAGATGTTTCCCTTAGGTGGCCTTCCATGACATCCACCACACACTTACGCTTCCATCTCATTTTCCAGGACTCACATACACGACCATCTCTGTCTCCAGGGAAGACTAGGCCATGCAGGGAGGGGAGATGGATGCCAAGCCAGGCGTCTGCCACCTCAGAAGGTGACACTTGAGCTGGGTGCTGGTGAATGAATGCACAGGCTTATTTCAGTGAGTAGAGATGATGAGGGGCATTCCAGGCAGAGGAAATGGAACGTAAAGGCAGAAAGGAGTGGAAAAGAATGTTTGGGAAAATACACGCTGGATGGAGTGACTGGAAGAGAGAGAGAGAGTGTGTGTGTGTGTGTGTGTTTGTGTGTGTATGTGTGTGTATGTGCGTGTGTATGTGCGTGTGTGTGGGTAAGGGTGAAGCACACACAGAGGTCACAGACTCAGATGCTCTCAGAGTTGAGGCAGGAAGTGAATGAGGCCAACAGAGATTAAGCAACAGGGAACAGTGGAGTCTGTGGCATCTTGGTGTGCTCAGCTCCCATCTGAAGTGGGTAGCTGTGATTTTGCTTCAAGTCGTATAATATAGGACCAAGGGGGCTGGATAGTCTAATTTCTTCTGAGCAGCCAAGAATCTAGATTTTTATATAAAATCCTCCAGTTTTAACTAATTAAACATTTTAAGCATGCTAAGTGAACATGTCGGTAGCTTGGACATGGCCCATAGACAGCTGGTTTGTGTGGGGTAATATAGAACATAAGGGGGTGGACCCACAGTTCATTGCTGGAATCAAGCTAAATAAAATATCTCAAAGGGCAACAGGGGCAAGTTGAAAAGAAGAAGGACGCTAGTTAGCCAGTTAAGACCGATCACTTTGTCTCAGGGTTTCGTTCTAAGCTTTGCTGGTTTAGAAATTCTGCCAGGCGCAGTGGCTCAGGCTGGGGGTGGTGGCTCACGCCTGTAATCCCAGCACTTTGGAAGGCTGAGGCGGGCCTATCACTTGAGGTCAGGAGTTCAAGACCAGCCTGGCCAACATGGTGAAACCCTGTCTCTACTATAAATACAAAAATTAGCCAAGTGTAGTGGCACGTGCCTGTAGTCCCAGCTACTCGGGAGGCAGAGGTTGGAGAATCGCCTGAACCCAGGAGGTGGAGGTTGCAGTGAGCTGAGATCGCACCATTGCACTCCAGCCTGGGTGACAGAATGAGACTCTGTCTCAAAACAAACAAACAAACAAACAAACAAAATAGAAATTCTGCCTTTCTTTTCTCAATACTGACATGAGCAGACTCAGTAGGACTGGCTCACACTAACTATCAGTCAGGATGGGCTAGGCTCTGCTCCAGTGACAAATAATCTCCAAACCTCAGCGGCTTCACACAACAAAACTGTATTTCTTGCTTATTCTACATGTCTAGCACAGGTCAGCAGAGGGACTCATTTCATCGTTGTGCCCCGGGATCCGGGCTGATAGAGTCTCCATTTCAACCATTACAGAGGAAGGAAAAGAACTATAGCAAATCCCTCACTGTCTCTTCAAGCTTCTCCCCGGAAGAGACCCGTGTTATTCCACTCCCTTTTCATTGAAAAAAGCAAGTCACATGGAAAGCAAGTCACATGGACTCAACTAATTTCAAAGGAGTGGAAATGCAATCCTAGCAGTTTCTTGGGAGGAGAGAAGAACTGGAATATTTGGGGTTAGCTCTAATTACTATGTTGCCAGCCATGCTTCCAGGAGGTGGATGGAGAAACCACGAGACACATAACAGATCCAGCTCAGACTCCTGTGCTCCTTGATAGGCACATTTCCTCCTGGTCAGCAGATCTTTCTGGGAGGTGCAGCCAGGTGGACCATCCTCATGGCCGGTGGCATCCCCTGAGCCTCCAGCTGTACTCTAAGGTAAGTGCCTAGGTAAGGCACTTACACCCTACACCCTCTGCTCCCTGACCCTGGACAGTGTCCAAGACCACATAGACTGCTGTGTTTCTGCCCCATCTTTCGGAGTTGCCCTACACACATTCCCTTCGGATAAAGACTGTTCTGTCAGTTGTCTATGTCTTTCTTTTAAAAAAAATTGAGAAAGGGTCTTGCTCTGTCACTCATGCTGGAGTGCAGTGGCACAAACATGGCTCACTGCAGCCTGGACCCTCCTGGGATTAAATGGTCCTCCTGCCTCAACCTCCCAAGAAGCTGGGAGTACACAGGTGCACAGCACCTGCCCAGATAATTTTTTGATTTTTTTTTTTTTTTATAAATACAGGGTCTCACCTTGTTGCCCAGGCTGGTCTGGAACTCCTGGGCTCAAGCAATCCTCCCAAAGTGCTGGGATTATAGGCATAAGCCACTGTGCCCAGCCTGTTTACATCTTTCTAGATCCATTCACAGCCAGACAACACTGTGGTTGTTTTGATTGGATTTGGGATATTCTAGAGACTCGTCAATTTTTTATATATAAGCACTTTTTTTTTTTTTGAGACAGAGTCTCGCTCTCTCACCCAGGCTGGAGTGCAGTGGCACGATCTCGGCTCACTGCAAGCTCCGCCTCCCTGGTTCATGTCATTCTCCTGCCTCAGCCTCTCGAGTAGCTGGGACTACAGGCGCCTGCCACCATGCCCAGCTAATTTTTTGTATTTTTAGTCGAGACAGGGTTTCACCGTGTTAGCCAGGATGGTCTCGATCTCCTGACCTCGTGATCCACCTGCCTCAGCCTTCCAAAGTGCTGGGATTACAGCCGTGAGCCACCGTACCCGGGCCATAAGCACTTCTTGGTCATGAGTAATATCCTCTTTTTTTCTTTTTTTTCTTTTTTTTTATCCAGTGACTTGTAAATCAGAATGAGTAATGTCTTCAGGTGTTTAAACCTGATTCTTATTTTTTGCCTTTTTTCCTCCTCATTTTACTTTCAAACTTTGACTTTTCCTTTGTAATCCCCTGCAGCCTGATTCTTCCAACCATGGCCCTCATATTGAATTCACCATCCTCTCTCATCCTGCATTTAAGCCCTGCAACGGGCTAGCTTGTGTCTTCCCAAAATCTATATGTGGAAGTCCTAACACCCAGTACCTCAAAATGGGACTGTGTTTGGACACAGGGCCTTTAAGGAGGTGATCAAGGCAAATGAGGTCATATGGGTGAGCCCTAATACGATATGACTGCTGTTCCCATAAGAAGAGATTAGGACGCCGACAAGCACAGAGGAAAGACCACATGAGGACGTGGGGAGAAGACGGCATCTACAAGCCAAGGAGAGAGGCCTCAGAAGAAACTGGTCCTGCTGATTTTGGCCTTCCAGCCCCCAGAACTGGAGGAAAATAAATTTCTGTTGCTTAAGTCACATAAATTTGTAGTAGTAATTTGTAGTAGTACAAATTACTACAGTCTGTAGTAATTTGTTGTGGCTGTCCCAGCAAACCAATATAAGCCTTCCTCCCTACCAAAAAAACGACCTTAATCCAGATTAAGTTTATATAGTGAAGGCTCCTATTGAAAAAATGGGATCTAGGTGGACAAGTGTTACTGCAATGTTGAGGCCTGGGAGGAGCACACGCCTTCCCAATGATCACCTTGGAGTGCAGTGATGAGTTCTAACGGTGTTTTCGCAAAGGGTGGTATATACACCGGTGGTACAGAAAATGAGGTTAACAGTTACACGGATGAGCATGATGTATACAGTAGGCCCTCTCTATATTCATGAATTCCGCATTTGTGGCTTCAACCAACCAGGAATTGCATTGTACAGATTTTATTTAAATTAATTAATTAATTAATTTTTGAGACAGGATCTTGCTCTGTCACCCAGGCTGGAGTGCAGTAGCATGATCTTGGCTCACTGCAACCTCCACCTCTTGGACTCAGGTAGATCTTCTCACCTCAGCTTCCTGAGTAGCTGGGACTACAGGTGGCAGTCAACACGCCTGGCTAATTTTTTGTAACTTCTTCTGGTAGAGATGGGGTTTCACCATGTTGCCCAGGCTGGTCTGTCTTTAACTCCTGGACTCAAGCAATCTGCCCGCCTTGGCCTCCCAAAGTGCTAGGATTACAAGTGTGAGCCACCATGCCCAGCCTGTACAGATTTTATATCTTGTCAGTACTGTAAAAAACACAGTATAATAGTTATTTATATAGCATTTACATTATATTAGGTATTATGAGTAATCTAGAGATGATTTAAACTATGTAGGAGGATGTGCATAGGTCATATGCAGATCCTACACCATTTTATACAGGGACTTGTGCATCTGCAGATTTTAGTGTCTGCAGGGGGTCAGGAGTGCCCTGGAACCAATACCCTCTGTGGAATGACTATGTATATTTTAAATTAGAAAAAATATATTATTAACATATCAAACCCATTCTTTTCATGGTTATTGTTTTTAATGAAGAGCTAAGTTAAAAAACAGGTAACTGATTTAAAGTTGATTTAAAAATTAGTTGGGTGGACCAGGCGTGGTGGCTCACGCCTGTAATCCTAGCACTTTGGGAGGCCGAGGCAGGCAGATCACCTAGGGTCAGGAGTTCGAGACCAGCCTGGCCAACATGGTGAAACCCTGTCTCTGCTAAAAATACAAAAAATTAGCCAAGCATGGTGGCACGTACCTGTAATCCCAGCTACCTGAGAGGCTGAGGCAGGATAATCGCTGGAACCTGGGAGACAGAGGCTGCAGTGAGCTGAGATTGCACCACTGCACTCCAGCCTGGGTGACAGAGCGAGACTCCATCTCAAAAAAAAAAATCAGTTGGGTGATAAGTGAATATAGCAAAATATTCTTACAAATAACGAAGGTATATTCAAATGACTGACATCTGGGAAATGCTGAGCTAGGGCCTGATTGTGTTTCTGGGAGGATGAGTGTGTGTTGGCAGGGGCCCTTCCACGTGTACCCTCTTAACCTGCCACATGCCTGGTTATGGGTCTGAATGAACATTAATTTCAAAATGATTTGATACAGTGTGATTGTACCTGCTCCAAACTTCTAATTCCAATATAGATTGAATTGCACAGTCCTTCACATTACAGAGGGAAAGAGGAAACAGGGCCAGGGGAAAAGGACATGGAATGTAAGAATGAGAATTACTATTTAATAAGGCAGCCCTTTGTGCAGGCACACACATGCAGAGAGAGAAAACTGTCCTGGTAAGATCACTGGGAAATTAGAGAAGAGAAAATACAGGAGAATGGGGCCAGATGCCAAGCCCTTAGGATCCCTTGGCCCTTAACAATCAGCAAAGGGCTTAGATACTTGTCCTCTTGATTACTCTGAACTACATCTTGTAATTACCAACTTCAGTCAAGAAACACTAAACAGTTTATCCTTCAGAAGCTCCCTTCAAAATCCTCTTTGGCCTGGCTCCTGCCCTCATCATGCCATTAAACTGCCCTCTCAAAAGCCACCAGGGCTCTCGGTGATTGTCTCAAGTTTGCAAAAAAGGAGACCAGCGGTAGCCAAAGAGAAGCTATATCCTTAACTACCGCTGCTCAGCTGGCTGGGGGCAAAGCTGAGGGCCTCTTGTTTCCTTAGTCTAGGGATTATTGCTACATAGAATTTATTATTATTACTATTATTATTTTAATCAAAAAATGACATATTGTGTAGATTTTTGGTATACATTGTGAAACTTTGATATATGTATACTTTGTGGAATAATTAAATCAAACTAATTAATGTATCCATCACCCCACACACTTATTTTTATGAGAACATTTAAAATTTACTCTTAGCAATTTTCAAGTATAGAATACATTATTATTTACTATAGTCATCATGCTGCACAATAGATCTCCAGAATTTATTCCTCCTGTCTAAATGAAATTTTAGGTCCTTTAACCAATATCTCTTCATTGTTTCCTCCTCATCTCCAGCCCCTGATAACCACCAATCTACTCTCTGCTTCTAAGAGTTCAATTTTTTTTTTTTATTCCACATCCTAAGTGAGATCATGCAGTATTTGCCTTTCTGTGCCTGGCTTATTTCACCTAGCATAATGTTCTCTAGGTTCATCTACGTTGTCACAAATGACAAGATAGCCTTCTCTTATAAGGATGGATAGTATTCCATTGCATATATATGCCAGATTTTCTTTAACCATTCATTAGCCGATGGATGCTTACATAGATTTTATATTTTGGCTATTGTAATAATGCTGCAATGAACACAGAAGTGCAGATATCTCTTTGATATACTGATTTCATTTTATTTGGATTTATAACTAATAGCAGGATTGCTGGATCATATAGTTGTTCTATTTTTAATTTTTCTAGGAGCCTCCATACTGTTTTCTGCTATACATTTCCACCAACAGTGTGCAGGGGTTCTCATATCTCCACATCCTCACCTATACTTGTTACCTTTTATCTTTTTGATAACAGCCACTCTGACAGGAGATGAAACATCGCTTTGCCAGTACAATCCTGAAGACAAATCACAATCAAAGCAATGGCTACTAAGAGGTGGAAGTGGCCCAGTCAAAACAAAAGCAGCCTGGTCAAGAACAAAGGTCATGGCAACAGTTTTTTGGTTGCTTGACACATTTTCCTTCTTGTCTTTCTAGGGGCAAAGAATGATAACATATGCCTATTATGAGAGTGCTTTGAGGAAGTTAGCTAGCAGAAAGATGCTTGACAAAGCCTCACCAGAGAGTCCTTCACCACGACAATGCCCCTGCTCATTCCTCTCATCCAACAAGGGCAGTTTTGTGACAGTTTCAATTGGAAATCATCAGGCATCCACCTTACAGTCCTGATTTGGTTCCTTTTGATTTTTTTGTTTCCTAATCTTAAAAAAAATCTTTCAAGAGCACACATTGTTTTCAGTTAATAATGTAAAAAAAACTGCATTGACATGGTTCAATTCCTAGGACTCTTAGTTCTTTAGGGATGGACTAAAATTTAGCTGGTATCATTGCATACAAAAGTGTCTTGAACTTGATAGAGCTTATGTTGAGAAATACAGTTTCCAGTTTAATTTTTTAGATTTACATTATTTTACATTTTAATTGACAAATAATAATTGTACATATTCATGGAGTACATAGTGTTGTTTCCATACATGTAATATATAGTGATCAGATCAGGGTAGTTAGCATATCCATCACTCAAATATATATCATTCCTTTGTGTTGGGAATGTTCAATATCTTCCTTCTAGCTGTTTGGGAAAAAAAATCTCTCTCTCTCTCTCTCTCTCTAACTAGTCATTCTACAGTGGTGTAGAACACTATAATTTATTCCTGCTGTCTAGCTGGAATTTTGTGTCCTTTAACAAATCTTTCCTTATCCTCCCTTTCTTCTACCCTTCTCAGACTCTAGTATCCTTTGTTCTACTTTTTACTTTTATGAGATCAACATTTTTGTTTTTTAGCTTCCACATATGAGTGAGAACATGTGGTGTTTAATTAACTTTCTGTTCCTGGCTTATTTCACTTAACGTAAAATCCTCCAGTTCCACCTATTTGCTGCAAATGACAGTATTTTATTCTTTTTTATAGCTGAATAGCATTTCACTGTGTATGTTATATGTACTGCATTACCTTTATCCATTCATCTGTTGTTGGACACCTATGTTGATTCCATATCTTGGCTGTTATGAATGGTGTTGTAATAAACATGAGGGTGCAAATGTCTCTACGATATAATGATTTCCTTTTCTTTGGATAAATTCCCAGTAGTGGGATTGCTGGATTATATAATACCTCTAATTGCAGTTTTTTTGACGAGCCTCCATACTGTTTTCCATAATGACTGTAGTAGTTTACATTCCCACTGGGGTGAGATGATACATCATTGTGGCTTAGATTGGGATTTCCCTGATGGTTAGTGATGTTGAGCATTTTTAAGTATATTTGTTGGCCATTTATACATTTTCCTTTGAGAGACATCTATGCAGATCATTTGTCCATTTTTTTTGTTATTTTGCTTTTGAGATATTTGAGATATTTGAAAATTTGAGATATTTGAGATTTGTATATTCTGGATATTAATATGCTGTCAGATGAGTAGTTTGCTAACATTTTCTCCTATTCTGTTGTCTTTTCACTCTGTTGATTGTTTCCTTTGCTATGCAGAAACTCTTTTAGTTTAATGTAATCTCATTTGTATATTTTGCTTTTGTTGCCTGTGCTTTGAGTCTTATCTGTAAAATATTTTCTTAGACCAATGTCCTAAAGCATTTCCCCTATGTCTTTTTTTTCTAGTAGTTTTATCATTTTGGGTCTTACATTTAGGTCTTTGAACCATTTTAAGTTTTTTTGTTTAATACGGTGAGAAGTGGGGATCTAGTTTCATTTTTCTGCATATGGATATCCAGTTTTCCCAGCAGCATTTATTGAAGAGACTGTCCTTTTCCCAATGAGTATTTAGACACCTTTGTCAAAAATCAGCTGGCTGTAGATACGTGGATTAATTTCTGAGTTCTGCATTCTGTTGCAATGGTCTATGTGTCTGTTTCTATGCCAGTACCGTGCCGTTTTGGTTGCTACAGCCTTGTACTATATTTTGAGGTCTGATAATATATCTCCAGCCTTGTTCTTTTTGTTCAGGATTGTTTTGGCTATTTTGTGTCTTTTGTGGTTCTATATGCATTTTCAGATTAAAAAAAAATTTCTGTGAAGAATGTTCCTGGTATTTTGATAGGGATTGCATTAAATCTGTAGATTGCTTTGGATAGTGTTGTCATTTTAACAATATTAATTTTTCAATCCATGAGCACGGGATGTTTTTTCATTTGTTTGTATCCTCTTCAATTTCATCAGTGTTTTGTGATTTTTCTTGTAAAGGTCTTTTACCTGTTGGTTAAATTGATTCCTAGGTATTCTAAATTTTTTGTAGCTGTTATAAATGAGATTGCCTTATTTCTTTTTCAGCTAGTTTGTTGTTTATGTATATAAATGCTGCTGATTTTTAAATATGAATTTTATATCTGCAACTTTACTGAATTTGTTGATCAGTTCTGGACTTTGGTGGTAGGGTCTAGGTTTTTCATATATAAGATCATGTTATATGCAAACAGTGACAATTTGATATCCTTTTTTCCAGTTTGGACGTCCTTTCTTTCTTTCTCTTGCCTAATTGTTCTGGGTGGGACTTCCAGTGCCAAGTTGAATAAGAATAGTGAGAGCGAGCATCCTTGTCTTGTTCCAGTTCTTAGAAGGAAAGCTTTCAGCCTTTTACCATTCAGTATTGGAATTGTCATAATGAACTTTATTATTTGTGGTACTTTCCTTCTATAACTAATTTATTACGAGTTTATTATTATAAAGAGATATTGGCCGGGTGCGGCAGCTCACGCCTGTAATCTCAGCACTTTGGGAGGCCGAGGTGAGTGGATCACAAGGTCAGGAATTCAAGACCAGCCTGGCCAACATGATAAACCCCATCTCTACTAAAAATACAAAAATTAGCCGGGCATGGTGGCATGCACCTGTAATCCCAGCTACTCAGGAGGCTGAGGCAGGAGAATTTTTTGAACCCAGGAGGAAGAGGTTGCAATGAGCCAAGATTGCATCATTGCACTCCAGCCTGGGTGACAAAGCAAGACTCCATCTACAAAAATAAATAAATAAATAAATAAAAAATAAAAAACAAACAAAAAACAAACTAAAGAGATACTGAATTTTGTCGTGAGCTTTTTCTGCATATATCGAGATGATCATATGGCTTTGCCCTTCATTCTATTGGTGTGATGTATGATGTTTATTGATTTGCATATGTTGAACCATCCTTGCTTTCCTGGGATAAATCCAAGTTGGTCATGGTGTATTATCTTTTGGATGTATTGTTGGATTTGGTTTGATAGTATTTTGTTGAGGATTTTTGTGTCTATATTTATCAGGGATGTTGGTTTGTAGTTTTTTGTTGTTGTTGTTATGTTCTTTTCTAGTTTTGGTATCAGGGTTATATTGTCCTTGTAGAATAAGTTAAGAAAAATTCTTCTACAATTTTTTGGACTAGTTTAAAAATACTTGATATTAATTCTTTTTTAAATACTTGGCAGAATTCAGTAGTGAAATCACTACTTTTTATTCCTGATTCAATATCAATACTTGCTATTGGTCTGTTCAGACTTTCTGTTTCTTCTTGGTTCAATCTTCATAGGTCATATGTGTCCCGGAATTCATCCAATTCCTCTTGGTTTTTGAATTTATTAGTATATCATTCATAGTAGTCTCTTGATACTTTGTATTTCTGTGGTATATGTTATGATGTCTCCCTTTTCATTTCTAATTTTATTTATTTGAGTGTTCTCTCTTTTTTTCTTAGTCTCCTAATGGTTTGTTGCTTTCATCTTTTCAAAAAAACAGTTTTTTGTTTAACTGATCTATTTTTTTTAGTCTCAATTTTGTTTATTTCCTCTCTTATCTTTATTATTTCCTTTCTTCTAATTTTGGTTTGGTTTGTTCTTGCTTTTTTAGCTCCTTGATGTACATGATTAGATTGTTTTTCTTCTTGTTTGTTTGTTTGTTTGTTTTTGAGACAAGGTCTTGCTCTGTTGCCCTATGTTGCCCAGGGTAGTCTCAAGCTCCTGGGCTCAAGCAATCCCTTCATTCAGCCTCCCAAAGAGCTTGGGTTATAGGCATGAGCCACTGCAGCCGGGCATTAAGTTGTTCATTTGAAATCTTTTTGGTTTTTTGATGTAGGCACTTATTGCTATAAACTTGCCTTATAATACTGCTTTTGATGTATTATGAAATTATGAATCCCATAGATTTTGTTGTTATGTTTCTATTTTTGCTTCAGGGAATTTTAAAATTTCATTCTTAATTTCTTTTTTCACCCATTGGTCATTCAGAACCATGTTATTTAATATTCATGTATATCTATAGTTTCAAATGTTCCTTTTATTATTGATGTCTAGTTTTATTCCGTTGTGGTCAGGTAAAATACTTGATATAATTTTGATTTTTTTTTTTGAGATGGAGTCTTGCTCTGTCACCCAGGCTACAGTGCAGTGGCATGATCTTGGCTCACCACACCCTCTCCCTCCTGGGTTCAAGTGATTCTCCTGCCTCAGCCTCCTGAGCAGCTGGGACTGCAGGCACATGCCACAACACCTGGCTAATTTTTTGTATTTTTAGCAGAGACGGGGTTTCACCATGTTAGCCAGGATGGTCTTGATCTCCTGATCTCATGATCTGCCTGCCTTGGCCTCTGAGAGTGCTGGGATTACAGGCATGAGCCACCGTGCCAGGTCTTGATTTTTTTAAAAAAATTTGAGACTGCTTTGTGTCCTAATATATGGTTAATCCCTGAGAATGTTCCATATATTGATAAAAAGAATGTTTATAGCTGTTGGGAGAAATGTTCTTTAAATGTCTGTTATGTCCATTTGGTCTATTGTACAGTTTAAATGTAATGTTTCCTTGTTGTTTTTCTGTGTAGATGATCTGTCTAGTGCTGAGAAAGGGGTGCTAAAGTCTCCAACTATTATTGTATTGGAATTTAATCTCTTCCTTTAGATCTAATAATATTTGCTTTATATGTGTAGGTGCTCTGCTGTTGGGTGCAGATATATCTACAATTTTTATATTCTCTAGCTGAATTGATGCCTTTATTATTATAGAATGTCTTTCCTTGTCTTTTTAAATAGCTTTTAATTTGAAGTCTGTTTTGTCTGATGTAAGCACAGCTACTTCTGCTCACTTTGGTTTCCATTTGCACAGAATATCTTTTTCCATCCCTTCATTTTTAGTCTCTGTGTGTGTCTTTACGAGTTGAGTTTCTTGTAGGCAGCATGTATTTGGGTCTCATTTTAAAATCTACTCAACCAGCCTGTATCTTATAAATGGAGAATTTTATTTGTTTATATTTAGGGTTACTATTGATAGGTGAAGAGTTACTCCTATAATTTTATTGACTGTTTTTTGATAGTCTTGTGTGTACTTTGTTCCTTACTTCCTCTCTTATTGTTTATATTTTTGGTTGGGTAATTTTCTGTAATGATAAAGTTTGATTCTTTTTTCTTTTTCTTTTCTGTATTAGGTCTACCAGTGAATTTTGTATGTTCTCATGTTTTCATGTTGGTGGTTATCATCTTTTCACTTCCAGATTTAATATTCCCTTGAACTTTTATTTCTAAGGCCAGTCTAGTGGTGATGAATTCCCTTAGTTTTTGCTTGTCTCTGAAATATTTTATTTCTCATTTTTTGAAGGAAAGCTTTGCTGGGTATAATATTCTTGAATTGCAGGTATTTTTGTTTTAGTACTTTGAATATATCATCCCATTCTCGCCTGGCTTGTAAGGTTTCAGCTGAGAAATTCACACTGTTAGTCTAATTAGGATTCCCTTATATATGACTTGACTTTTCTCTTGCTGCTTTTAGAATTCTTTCTTCATCTTTGATTTTTGACATTTTGACTATAATGTGCCTCAGAAAGGTCTTGTTTCAGTTGAAGGTATTTAGGATTCTTTTAGCTTCTGGACCTGGATATCCATCTCTCTCCCAAGACCTGGGAAGATTTCTGCTATTATTTCCTTTCTTTCCTTCCTTCCTTCCTTCCCTCACTCCTTCCCTCCTTCCCTCCTTCTTTCTTTCCTTCCTTCCTCTTTCTTTCTTTCCTTCTTTCCCTCTTTATCTCTTCTTTCTTTCTCTCTTTCTTCTTTCTTTTTTTCTTTCTCTTTCCTTCCTTCCCTCCTTCTCTTTCTTCTTTCTTTCTCTCTTTCGTTCCTTTTTTCTTTCTTTCTTCCCTCCCTCCCTTCTTTCTTTCTTTCCTTCTTACCTTCTTTCCTTCTCTCTTTCTCTTTCTTTCTTTCCTTCCTTCCTTCGTTCTTTCTTTCCTTTCTTTTCTTTCTTTTTTCTTTCCTGCTTTCTGATTCTTGCTCCACCACCCACACTGGAGTGCAGGGGGATGATCTTGGCTTACTGAAACCTTTGCCTCCTGGGCTCAAATGATCCTCTCACTTCAGCCCCAAATAGATGGGACTACAGGCATGTGCTGCCACTTCTGGCTAATTTTTGCAATTTGGAGAGACAGAATTTTGCCATGTTTCCCAGGCTGGTTTCAAACTCCGGGCCTCAATCAATCCACCTGCCTTGACCTCCCAAAGTGCTGGGATTACAGGTGTGAGCCACCACACCTGGTCCTACTATTTCATTAAACATGTTTTCCTCACTTTTTCCCTCTTCTCCCGGAATGCCCATAATATTAATACTAATATTTATTCACTTAATGATGTCTCTTAAATATTGTAGGCTTTCTTCGTTCTTTAAAATTTTTTTTTTTGGTCTGCTTATGTTATGTCAAAAGATCTATCTTCAAGTTCATAAATTCCTTCTTCTGCTTGGTCCAGTATGTTGTTTAAGCTCTCAATTGTATTTTTTATTTCATTCATTGAATTCTTCAGCTCAAGGTTTTGTTTGGTTATTTTTTATGATATCTATCTCTGTTGAATTTCTCATTAAAATCATGAATTGTTTTTCTGATTTCATTGAATTGTCTATCTGTATTCTTTTGTATCTCACTGAATTTTCTTAGGATTATTATTTTGAATTCTTTTTCTGGAATTTTATATATTTTCTTATGATTGCATTCTGTTACTGAGTTACTATTTCCCTTTGGAGGTGCCACGTTTCCTTGCTTTTTCACATTTGATGTGTCCCTATGTTGATTTCTATGCATCTGTTAGAAAAGCCACCTGTTCCAATTTTATGGAGCATGTTTTGTAGGGAAATACTTATTTGTATGAATGGGTCTTGAGGTGTCAGTTTGGTGGGGTGCATTGGTCTTTATTCTAGTTGGATGCAGTAGTGTAGTCTTTGTGTAGTTTCCTCAGCTGTAAGTCATACTAGTGGCATTTGGAGTTTCTCAGTGGCCTATACTGAGAGTTTGTGGTGACAGTGGTGTGACTTTGCCAAGGGTGGGCTCACGGGGTTTCTCAGGTTGGGGTTGTGTGCACATGGTGGGCTGGCCAAGTTGGAGCCTGGCTTCCTGGGATTAGGGCCATGGGGCTGTTATTCTGGCCAGGAATATGGGCATACAGTTGTTCAGTCGACCTGGAGGTATGCCTGCCAGGAGGGGCCTGCAGGGCTGTTTCTCAGGTCTGGAATGCAGTTGGATGGCTGCTTAGCTGGCCTGGGTGTGTGTCTGCTGAGGGAGGCCCGTAGGACTATTTCTCAGGTCCAGGACATAGGCACACAGTTGCTCAGCTGGCCTCGGAACATTTCTATGGAGAGTGGCTCATGGGGCTGTTTTGTAGGCCTGGGATATGGGTATGGGGATCCTTATTTGGGCTGAGGGCATGTCTGCCTGGTCATGGTCCACAGGGCTATTTCTCAGGTCTGGGTTGTGGGCTCTTGGAGGTTTGGTAGGCCTGGGGGTGTGCCCACCAGAGGTGGCCTGTGGGACTGTTTCTTAGGCCCTTATTGGGGGCACAGGGTATATCTGTGGGGCTTAATGGTGCTGTAGAGCTGTTTCTCAGGTCCTGGGCATGGATGTATAACCATTCCACTGGCCTGGGGTCATGTAAGCTGCTCAGAGACCCAGCGGCCTCTTCTGCTTGGGGGAGGGTGTGCAGCAGTTTGGCTGGCTCAGAGGCAGGTTCGCCCTGGGCAGGACTGGCAGTCTGTTCCTCTGGCTGGAAGTGTGGTGTTGGGAGTTGCTTTCCCTGCTGTGCAAAACCAGAGTCACAGCCAGTCTTGGGCCAAAGTTCCATGCAACTGAGGTTGTGGTGTTCAGCCATGTGAGTGGGTTTGGCATAATGAAGATGGAGCCCTAGTGCTGGAGAGGTGCAGTCTACCGGCCCCCAAGAGCAGGGTGCATTTCAGAGGAGCTCTGGTCTAGGTGCTGTGCTGCAGAAGCTTGGCTCACAGAGGATCAGTGAAGGGTGGGGAATGCACACTTTGTGCTCCTAATCTGGGGCAATGTGCTATGTGAGCTCCTGGAAGCTCTCCAAACTGGGCTCATTGCTTTCAAAGACTGTGGGATTTTCCTGTAGTAAGAACTGTAGATATTTGTGGTGGCAATGGAAGCTGCTGGGCATATTCTGTTTACTTTTTCCCTGGAACAGGAAGGTTTTCTGACTCTAGGCAGATCTGATCCACGGTGGGGAGATGGGGCTTCAGAGGCCAGGTGCCTCCACACTGCCTTTCTGGACTTCCAGCCACCACAGGTGTATCTCCACTCCCCTGCTGTACTCCAGCACTCTCTTATTGACACTCCATTGAAATCTTAATTGTTTGTTTGTTGCCTTGGGTCTTTCTTGTTGGTAGGACAAATGCCAGGCATCTCTAGTCAGCCATCTTGCTCCATACTCTTGGGACTTTGGATTGGGTTCTATTTTTATCTTTTAATTCCATTTTTTTCCACAAACCTTTTGAAGTCATCACATACATACAATAAAATGCATCTTTTTTGGGGTGTACAGATCTATGAATATTGACAGATATATTCACGTAGATGTGCACTGCCACCTCATTCAATATATAGAACACTTCCATTACTCCAAAAGGCTTCCTTATGCTCTACTCATCTGACACTAAAGATTCCTGACAATTCCTGACACTAAGGATTAGATTTGCTGTTTCTCGAGTTTTCTTTAAGTACAATCATACAGTACGTATTCTTAAGTAATTCCGTGTCTGGCTTCTTTCTCTCAGCGTAATGTTTCTGAGATTCATCTAAATCATGTGTACAATAGTTCCGCATTTTGTGCACTTTGCTTTTCACTGTTTCAATTACCTGTAGTCAACCATGGTTTAAAAATACTAAATAAAAAATTTCAGAAATAAACAATTCATAAGTTATTATTATTATATTATTTATCTATAGAGACAGGATCTCACCATGTCACCCAGGCTGGTCTTGAACTCCTGGGCTCAGGTGATTCTCATGCCCCACCCTCCCAATGTGCTGGAATTACAGGCATGAACCACCAGCCAACAATTCATAAGTTGTAAATTGCTCTCTATTCTGAGTAGCATGATGAAATATTGGACTATCTTGGCCCATTCTGCCCAGGATGTATCAGGCTGATGCAAAAATAATAGTGGTTTTTGCCACTAAAAGTAATGGCAAAAACCACAATTACTTTTGCACCAACTTAATAGATTATGCTTTTGTCTAGTGCAGCAGTCCCCAACCTTTTTGGCACCAGGGACTGGTTTCATGGCAGACAATTTTTCCACGGACAGTGTAGGGGATTGCTTTGGCAATGAAACTGTTCCACCTTAGATCATCAGGCATTAGATTTTCATAAGGTGCACACAACCTGGATCCCTTGCATACTCAGTTTACAACAGGGTTTGCGCTCCTATGAGAATCTAATGCTGCCGCTGATCTGACAGGAGGCGAAGCTCACGTGGTAATGTTCGCTAGCCCTCTGCTCATCTCCTGCTGTAAGGACTTGCTCCTAACAGGCTCCAGATGGGTGCTGGTCTGTGGCTCCGGGGCTGGGGACCCCTGGTCCAGTGTACAGTACATAAGATATTTTGTGATACATATATATATATATGTATATCACATTCACATAACTTTTATTACAGTGTATTGTTAAAGTTGTTCAATTTTATTATTACTGTTGTTAATGTCTTACTGAGGCTAATTTGTGAATTAAACTTTATCATAGGTATGCAAGTATAGAAAAAACCATAGGCTACATAGGGCAGCACTATCTGTGCTTTCAGCCATCCACTGGAGGTCTTGGAACTTATCCTCTAAGGATAAGAGGGGACTACTGTGTATAATTTGTTTTTGCTGATGAGTTTCCATTGTCTAGATATACCACAATTTGTTTATTAATTTATCTGTTGCTGAACATTTGAGTTGTTTTCAGTTTTGGGCTAATATAGGTAAAGATGCCATGAATGTTTCCTGTTCACAATCTTATGTGGACATATACTTTGATTTCTCTTAAGTATACATCTAAGAGTGGAATTGCTAGTACATAGTAGAATAAGTAAAGAAAATGCCAAACTCTTTTACAAAGTGATTTTAAATTTCACAGTCCTATTAGCAATGTATGAGGGCTCTACTTGCTCCATATCCTTACCAATACTTGATATTGTTAGTCTTTTTAGTATTAATCATTCTGCTGCATGTGTTATGGTATCTTCTCATTTGATTTTAACTTGTATTTTCCTGATGACTAATGATGTTGTGTATTTTTCATGTACTTAATGGCAATTTATACAAATCTTTTTTGGTAAAGGGTTTACATTTTTTGTTCATTTTTAATTTTTTTGTCTCTTATTATTGAGTTGTAAGAGTTTTTACTACAGCTAGACACAACCCCTTTTCAAGTATAGGTATTGTGAATGTTTTCCATCACTCTGTGGCTTTCTCTTTCATTTTGTTACTGATATCATTAGAAAAGTGAGAGTTGGCTGGGCATGGTGGCTCACATAGTGGCATGTGCCTGTAGTCTCAACTACTCAAAAGGCTGAGGTGGGAGGATTGCTTGAGCCCAGGAGTTTGAGCTATGATTGTGTCACTGCACTGCACTCTACCCTGGGTGAGAGAGTGAAACTGTGTCCTCTTCAACCACCCCATGCCCCCAAAAAAGCAGGAGTGTTTTTTTTTGAAGTCTTGAAGCCCAATTTATCAAAAATTTTTAAATGGTTTATGTCCTGTCTAAAAGATTTTTGCCTACTTCAAAATCTTCAATATTTTCTTTGATAAACTTTATAGTGCTAACTTTTACATATAGGTCTATAATCAATTTCAAGTTAATTTTTTTGTGAATCGTGTGAGGTAAGGATCAACACTCATTTCTGACCCCTATATGATATGCAGTTGTTCCAGCACCACTTATTGAAAAGAAATTACCTTGGCACCTTTGTTAAAAGTCAGTTGACATGTGTGAGAGTGTACATCTGAACTTTCTGTTTCATCTTTTTAACCTTTATGATTCTCCTGATGCCATTGTGATACCACATTGATTACTGTAGCTCCACAGTAAATCTGAGTCCTGAAACCTTTCAATTGTATCCTTTAAAAATTTGTTTTGGTTATTTTATGTCTTTCCCATTTACATGTAAATTCTAGAATATTACACATAGTTATAGTTCATATTTTTAATTTCCTTAAAAAGTTACTCGTTATAATATGGCCCAGCAATTCCACTCTTACATGAAATTTCTCTATAAAAAGTTGTCTGGACCCTTTTCTTACAAAAATTATACAAAAATTCACTCAAAATGAATCGAAGACCTAAGTGTAAGAACCAAAACTCTAAAAACGCTTGAAAAAAACATAAGATAAAAGCTTCATGATGTTAAATTTGGTAATGATTTCTCAGATATGACCCTAAATGCAGAGGTACCACCACCAACTAATATATAGACAAGTGGCACCACATCAAAACTTCTGTGCATTGAAGGATACAGTCAACAAAGTGAAAAGGCAACCTACAAACAGGAGAACATATTTGCAAATCATATATCTGATATCCAGAATGTAAAAAAAAACTTGTACAGCCCAACAGAAAACCAAATGACCCAATTAAAAAATGGGCAAAATACCTGAATGATATCTCTCCAAAGATGATATACAAATGGCTAATAAGCATATGAAAATATATTCAATATCACTAAACATCAGAGAAATATAAATCTAAATCACGATGTGATATTACCTCACACCCATTAGGATAGCTGTTATTTTAAAAAACAGAAATAACAAGCATTGGAGGGGATGTGGAGAAATGGGAACTTTTGTGCACCATTGGTGGTAGTGTAAAATGGTACAACTGCTATTGAAAACAGTATGATGGTTTCTCAAAAAATTAAAAATAGGACCACCATGACCCACTAAATCCCACTTCTGGGGATATTTCCAAAAGAATTGAAAGCATGTCTTGAATAAATATTTGCATATCCATGGTCACAGCAGTAGTATTCACAATAGCATAGAGGTGGAAGCAAACCAAATATCCATTAATGGATGAATGAATAAAGCAAATGTGGTATATACATACAATGCAATATTATTCAGCCTTAAAAAGGAATAGAGTTCTGACATGTGCTGCAACATGGATAACCCTTGAGGATATTATGCCAAGTGAAATAAGCCAGTCATAAAAAGACAAATAATGTATTGTTCCACTTAAATGAGTAATCTAAAATAGTTATTTTTTTGAGAAATTGCCATACTATTTTTACAGAGTAGCTGTACCATTTTACATTCCCGCCAGTAATACAGAAGCATTCTGATTTTTCACATCCTCACCAACACTTATTATTTTTAATAACAGTCATCCCAATAGATGTGAAGCAGTATGTCATTATGATTTTGATTTGCATTTCCCTAATGATTAGTGATGTTGAACATCTTTTCATGTGCTCATTGGTCATTTGTGTATTTCCTTTGGAGAAATATCTGCTGAAGTTCTTTGCACTACTCCCCCTTTTTTTTGCGGGAGATTGGAATTTTATTAATACTCAAATCAGTCTCCCTGAGCATTTGGGGAGCAGAGTTTTTAGGGATAACTTTGTGGGTGAGGGGAGGCCAGTGAGCCGGGAGTGCCGATTGGTTGGGGATGAAATCATAGGGAGTTGAAGCTGTCTTCTTGTGCTGAGTCAGTTCCTGGGTAGGGGCCACAAGATCAGATGAATGAGTTTATTGATCTGGGTGGTGTCAACTGATCCATTAAGTGCAGGGTCTGCAGAATATCTCAAGCACTGATGTTAGGAGCAGTTTAGGGAGGGTCAGAATCTTATAGCCCCCAGCTGCATGACTCCTAGACCATAATTTCTAATCTTATGGCTAATGTTAGTCCTACAAAGGCAATGAAGGCTCCAGGCAAGAAGGAGGTCTGCTTTGGGAAAGGGCTGTTACCATCTTGTTTAAACCATAAACTATAAACTAAGTTTCTCCCAAAGTTACTTCAGCCCACGCCTAAGAATGAATGAGAACAGCTTGGAGGTTAGAAGCAAGATGGAGTCAGTTAAGTTAGATCTCTTTCACTGTCTCAGTCAAAATTTTGCAAAGGCAGTTTCAATCCCTCCTTTTGGAGGGATTTAATCTTAAGGTGTAGGCTATGAAGATGGGAAAAGGCCGTTGATCTCTCTGGCTTCTTCCTGCTGAGAGGGGACATAGTGGGAATGGGAGTGAACCCCATGGTGAGAAGAGTGGAACCGCTTTGCAATTGTCTGAGCGTACTCATGCAGGCCTGGTTGAGCTTCCAAGGCTTGCATCTTTGCCTGCTTTTTAATCGAGTTCTTTTTTTGGGGGTTGTGGAGTTATAGGTGTTTGTTTTGTGTTCTTTTATGATATAGTCAGTACGGTGGGGCCACAAGAGGAGACAAGAGAGGCTCAGGATAAATCAAAAGTTATTATATTTACAACACCTAGATACAGGAGGATTGGCATAGTACACCATGCAGGGCCACATGGGAAAGACACCAGGGTGATCAGGAGGCAGAAGACAGGCCAAGGGAAAACCATTAGGCCAGAGCCTTTGTTGGGGTTCCCATGGGAAAGACAAAGGTGGGAAGGGTGAACAGTTTAGGATTGGCTAATTTAAACACTTTCAGTGGGCTTTGGGCTCTAGGAGTGGTCCTGGTTGTCTGACATCTGGCCCTGGGATGATTAAGTCAGAGGAATATTGCCTCTTGGGATATACAAGCCTGACAGGGAGGCATGGCTCTAGAATGGTTAGTTTGTGTGTCAAAGGCATCCTGGAACCATTGCTATCTTGAAGAATTGACTAGCTAGAAAATCTTTCTCCAGCTAGAAAGGTGTTTTTTAAAGATGTCAAAACATCATAATATATAGAAAATTAAAAAATATATACATATATATACATATACAATACAGGGTTATTTATATGTTCTAGACATTAACACCAGATAGATATACGATTTGCAAATGTTTTCTCTCATTTTATGGGTTGCTTTTTCACACTGTTGATAATGTCTTTTATGCACAAAAGTTTTTACTTTTGATGAGGTCTAATTTATCTATTTTTTCTTTTGTGGCCTGTGCTTTGGTCTCATATCCAAGAAATTATTGGCAAATCCAGTCAAAAAGCTTTCTCCTTGTGTTTTCTTCTGGTTTTCTAGTTTTAAGGTTTATATTTAGGTCTTCGATCCATTTTAAGTTAATTTTTGCATATGGTTTTAGGTAAGGGTCCAACCTAATTCCTTTTCATGTGGATGTCCAGTTTTTCCAGTACCATTTGTTGAAAAGACTGTCCTTTCTCCATTGTGTGGTGATATGGCTTGGCTGTGTCCCCCCACCCAAATCTCATCTTGTAGTTCCCATAATCCCCACCCGGTGGGAGGTAATTGAATCATGAGGGTGGTTACCCCTATGTTGTTCTGCTGATAGTGAGTCGGTTCTCAGGAGATCTGATGGTTTTATAAGGAGCTTCCCCCGCTTCACTCTGCACTTCTCGCTTCTGCTGCCATGTGAAGAAGGACATGTTTGCTTCCCCTTCCGACCTGATTGTAAGTTTCCTGAGGCCTCCCCAGTCCTGTGGAATTGTAAGCCAGTTAAACCTCTTTCCTTGATAAATTACTCAGTCTCAAGTATTTCTTCATAGCAGTGTGAGAATGGACTAATACTTCTGGTCCTGGAACGCTTGTAGAAAATCATTTAACCATATATGGGAGGGTTTATTTCTGGGATCTCTATTCTATTTCATTGGTCTATATGTCTACCTTTCTGCCAGTAAGATACTTTTTTGGTTATTGTAGCTTTGTAATATGTTTTGAAGCCAGGACGTATGAGGCCTTTTCTTTTTCAAGATTGTTTGGCCATTTGGGGATCCTTTAAGATTTTATGTCAAGTTTTTTTTATATTTATGAAAAAATGTCATTGGGATTTTGATAGGGATTGCATTGAATCTGAGGATAGCTTTGGTCAGTCTAGACATTTTAACAATATTAAATCTTCCAATCATAAATATGGACTTCATTTCTATTTATTTGTATCTTCTTTAGTTTCTTTTAGTAATATTTTGTAGTTTTTGGTGTACAAGTCTTTGGCCTCCTTGGTTAAATTTATTTCTAAGTATTTTATTATTTTTGATGCTGTTGTAAATGGGATTACTTTCTTAATTTCCTTTTCTGATTGTTCATTGTTAATATGTAGAAATGCAACTAATTTTCGTGTGTTGATTTTGTATCCTGCAACATTGCTGAATTAGTTTGTTAGTTTAGTTTATTAGTTTTAACAGTTTAAATTTTTTAAACAATGTATTCTATTTAACCCTCTATATTAAAAATATTTCAATGTGTACTCAAATAAAAATTATTAGTGATTTTTACTTTTGATTTTAGCAATTAGAATCTTCTCTATTTTTTTCTTAGTCAATCTAGATAAAGGTGTGTCAATTTTATTGATTTTTTTTAAGAATCAACTTTTGGTTTTATTGATTTTCTCTATTGTTTTTCTATTCTCTATTTTTACTTATCTCCACTCTAATCTTTATTATTTCCTTCCTTCTGCTAGCTTTGGGTTTAGTTTGTTCTTTTTTTTTTTCTAGTTCCTTAAGGTTTAAAATCAGATTGTTGGTTTTAGATATTTCCTTTTTAACATTAGCATTTATAGCTATAAATTTCACCCTTAGCACTGCTTTTGCTACATTTCATAAGTTTTGGTATATTGTGTTTTCATTTTCTGTTGTATCAAGATATTTTCTCTTTTTTTGTGTCAAGATATTTTAAAATTTCCCTTCTGGTTTTCTCTGTAGCTCATTTATTCTTTAAGAGTGTGTTAATTTCCACATATTTATGAATTTTCCAATTTTCCTTTTGCTATTGATTTGTTTCACTCCATTGTGATCAGAAATGATACTTGGTATGAGTTAAATCTTTTAAAAATTTATTAAGACTTTTTTTTTTGCCTAACATGTGGTTTGCCCTGGACAATGTTCCATGTACACTTGAGAAAAATGTATATTCTGCTATTGTTGATGGAGTGTTCTGTATATGTCTGTTAGGTCCAATTGGTTTGTAGTGTTGCTCATGTCCTTTATTTGCTTATTGATCTGTTGGTTCTATCCATTTTTGATATAGTATCTCATATATATATATATGCACACACACACCCCGCCCCATAACACATCAGATGGGGTAATGTGCCAATGTTGTAACAAAGTTTTAGAGAGGCACATCTCATACATGAGTGTGAAAACCCAATCACCATACTTATGAGCTACAAAATGTATAAACACTCCATCAACGACAGCAGAATATACATTTTAATGATAAGTTTTGATTCTTTTTGGTGTATATTCTGTAACTATTTTCTTCATTGTTATCAGGAGGATTACGTAAAATATTCTAAATATAAAACAATATATTTTGAATCGATACCAACATAATCTTGATTGCATACAAAAACTAATCTTTACAGCTCGGCCCCACATTTTATTGTCATTTATGTTATAAACTACCCCTTTATATATTGTGTGCCCATCAAAATAGATTTATAATTATTTTTATGCATTTGTATCTTCAATACTGTGGCAAATATGAAGTTCCTGATTCTTAGGTAGATTCTTAAATTATTGATTTTAAACTACAACTTTTCTTCTAAGTACTATTTTAGCCGTATTTCCCAAATATTCATATGTTTGGGTTTCATTTTCATTAAGCTTTAAAGTTTTTTATTTTGTTTTATTTTGTTTTTTAGAGATGAGGTCTTGGCTGTGTTGCCCAGGCTGGAGTGCAGTGGCTCTCCACAAGCACAATCATAGTGTACTGCCAGCCTCTAACTCCTGACCTCAAGCAATTCTTCCACATTGGCCTCCCAAGTAACTGGGAATATAGATACATGCCACTGTGCCCAGCTCTCATTTTCATTAAGTTTAAGATATTTACTTGTTAATATTGCAATTTATTTCTTTACTCATTTATTATTTAGAAATATATTTTTAAATTTTTAAATATTTAAATATATAAAATTTTAAATATTTAAAAATATTTCCAGATATTTTATTGTTATTGATTTCTAATTTAATTCCACTGCAGTCAGAGAACATAATCTGCAAAATTTCAGTTTTTAACATTTATTGGAACTTTTTTTATGACCTAGCATATATTCTGTCTTGTTGAAATTTCCATATGCCCTGAAAGGGAATGTGTATTCCAGTTATTCAGTGGAGCAGTCCATAAATGTCAATTATGTTCAGTTGATTGACTGTGTTAAGTGTTTTGTAGCCTCACTGATTTACTGTCTACTTATTCTTTCAGTTATTGAGACAAGAGTGTTGAAATATCCAGCTATAATTATGAATTATTTTATTTGTTTTTTAAATTATATTAGTAAAGTTTGCTTTGTTTTATATTAACATACCAATTCCAGCTTTATTACTTTTTTTTTTTTTGACACAGGGTCTCACTCTGTCACCTAGGCTGGAGTACAGTAGTGCAAACATAGTTCACTGTGCTTTGACCTCCTGGGCTTAAGTAATTTTCCCACCTCAGCCTCCTGAGTAGCTGGGATGACAGGCACACATCAGTGTGCCTGGCTAATTTTTTTTATTTTTTTTATAGCGATGAGGTCTCACCATGTTGCTTAGGCTGGCCTCAACCTCCTAGGTTTAAGCAATCCTCCCCCACTTGGCCTCCCAAAGTGTTAGGATTTCAGGTGTGAGCCACCACACCTGGCCTCCAGCTTTAGTATCTTCAATGTTTGCATCATATATCTTTTTTCTATATTTTTATACTTATTTGTGTTTTAAAATTTAAAGTGAGTTTTTTGAATTCAGTATATAGTTGGGTCATGCTTTAAAAAATCTAGTTTGGTATCTGCCTTTTAATTAAAATATTTAGATCATTTACATTTAATATAATAAATGAAAAAGTTGGATTTAAGTCTGCCATCTTGATTTTTTTATTTAAATTTTTTTTCATTTTTCTTTTTATTTCTTAGATCTACCTAATTGTCTGACATTTGTTTTCTATTTCCTTCATCTGCTCTTTACTCTTTATCCATCTCCGTTTTTTTGGCCTTTGATATGATTTGGATGTTGTCCCCTCTAAATCTCATGTTGAATTTTAATCCCCAGTGTTGGAGGTTGGGCCTGGTGAGAGATGTTTCAGTCATGGGGGTGGACACCTCATGGTTTGGTGCTATCCTTACAATAGTGAGTGAGTTCTTACAAGACATGGTTGCTTAAAAGTGTGTAACACCTCCCTCCACTCCAACTCTTTCTTGTTCCTGCTCTGGCCATGTGATATGCCTGCTCTTGCTTCACCTTTCACCATAAGTAAAAGCTTCCTGAGGCCTCACCAGAAACTGAGCAGATGCCCAGCACCATGCTTCCTGTACAGCCTACAGAACTATGAGCCAATTAAATCTCTTTTCTTTATAAATTACCCAGTCTTAAGTGTTTCTTTATAGTAATGCAAGAATAGCCAAACAGCCTTCTTTTGGAGTGTTTTTCTATTCCATTTTATCTGCTAATGTCTTATAACTAAATACCTTTTAAACGGCTTTCTTGTAGTTACTCTAGGGCTTACAATGTATATCAATAGCAGGGCACAGTGGCTCATATCTGTAATCCCAGCACTTTGAGAGGCTGAGGTGGGTGGATCACTTGAGGCCAGGAGTTTGAGACCAGCCTGGCCAAAATGGTGAAACACTGTTTCTACTAAAAATAAAAAAAATTAGCTCGGCATGGTGGCATGTGCCTCTGGTACCAGCTACTTGGGAGGTTGAGGCAGGAGAATCGCTTGAACCCATAAGGCAGAGGCTACAGTGAGCTGAGATCGCACCGCTATACTCCAGCCTGGGCAACAGAGTGAGACTCTGTCTCAAAATAAATAAATAAATAAAATATACATCAACATCACAGACTACCTTCAAATATTATATCATTTAATGCACAATATAAGAGTCTTACAATAATATACTTCAATCTCTCCCTCTCATACTTTGTGCACATACTTTGTCTTATATGTTACAAATCCCCAAATATATTGTTATAATTTTTGCTTCAGTCAGTTATCTGTAATAAAACTTACAAGTGAAAAGAAAGTCTTTTATATTTACCCAAATATTTACACCATTTCTAGCACTTTTTATTCTTTTTTTAATATGCAAGCTTTTATTTCAATAATTTTCCACTGCTTGAAGCACTTCCTTTAATATATACATTTTTTGACTTTTAAAAATTTTGTTTTAAGTTCCAGGATACATGTGCAGGAGGTGCAGGTTTGTTACACAGGTAAACATGTGCCATGGCAGTTTGCTGCACCTATCAACCCATCACCTAGGTATTAAGCCCCACATGCATTAGCTATTTATCCTGATGCTCTCTCTCGCCTGACTCTCGACAGGCCCCAGTGTGTGTTGTTCCCCTCCCTGTGCCCATGTGTTCTCATTGTTCAGCTGCCACTTATAACTGAGAACATGTGGTGTGTGGTTTTCTGTTCCTGTGTTAGTTTCCTGAGGAGAATGGCTTCCAGTTCCATCCATGTCCCTGCAAAGGACATGATCACATTCCTTTTTATGGCTGCATAGTATTCTATGGTGTATATGTACCACATTTTCTTTATCCAGTCTATCATTGATGGGTGTTTGGGATGATTTCATGTTTTTGCTATTGTGAATAGTGCTGCAAGGAACATACATGTGCATATATCTTTATAATAGAATGATTTATATATATATCTTAAATTATACTTTAACTTCTAGGGTACATGTGCACAACATGCAGGTTTGTTACATAGGTATACATGTGCCATGTTGGTTTGCTGCACCCATCAACTCGTCATTTACCCTAGGCATTTCTCCGAATGCTATCCCGTCCCCAGCTCCCCACCCCCTGACAGGCCCCGGTGTGTGATATTCCCCACCCTGTGTCCATGTTTTCTCATTGTTCAATTCCCACCTATGAATGAGAACATGTGGTGTTTGGTTTTCTGTCCTTGTGATAGTTTGCTGAGAATGGTGGTTTCCAGCTTCATCCATGTCCCTGCAAAAGACATAAACTCATCCTTTTTTATGGATGCATAGTATTCCATGGTGTATATGTGCCACATTTTATTTTTATTTATTTATTTTATTATTTTATTTTTTATTTATTAATTTTTTATTATACTTTAAGTTGTAGGGTACATGTGCACAACGTGCAGGTTTGTTTCAAATGTACACAGGTGCCATGTTGGTGTGCTGCACCTGTTAACTTGTCATTTATATTAGGTATAACTCTTAATGCTATCCCTCCCCCTTCCCCCTACCCCATGACAGGCCCTGGTGTGTGATGATCTCCACCCTGTGTCCAAGTGCTCTCACTGTTCAATTCCCACCTATGAGTGAGAACATGTGGTGTTGGTTTTCTGTCCTTGCAATAGTTTGCTCAGAATGATGGTTTCCAGCTTCATCCATGTCCCTACAAAGGACATGAACTCATCTTTTTTATGGCTGCATAGTATTCCATCGTGTATATGTGCCACATTTTCTTAATCCAGTCTATCATTGTTGGACATTTGGGTTGGTTCCAAGTCTTTGCTACCGTGAATAGTGCTGCAATAAACATATGTGTGCATGTGTTTTTATAGCAGCATGATTTATAATCCTTTGGGTATATACCCAGTAATGGGATGGCTGGGTCAAATGGTATTTTTATTCCTAGATCCTTGAGGAATCGCCACACTGTCTTCCACAATGGTTGAACTAGTTTACACTCCCACCAACAGTGTAAAAGCCTTCCTATTTCTCCACATCCTCTCCAGCACCTGTTGTTTCCTGACTTTTTAATGATTGCCATTCTAACTGGTGTGAGATGGTATCTCATTGTGGTTTTGATTTGCATATCTCTGATGACCAGTGATGATGAGCATTTTTTCAGCTGTCTGTTGGCTGCATAAATGTCTTCTTTTGAGAAGTGTTTGTTCATATCCTTTGCCCACTTTTTGACGGAGTTGTTTTTTTTTTCTTGTAAATGTGTTTAAGTTCTTTGTAGATTCTGGATATTAGCCCTTTGTCAGATGGGTAGATTGCAAATTTTTTCTCCCATTCTGTAGGTTGTCTCTTCACTCTGATGGTAGTTTCTTTTGTTGTGCAGAAGCTCTTTAGTTTAATGAGATCCCATTTGTCAATTTTGGCTTTTGTTGCCATTGCTTTTGATGTTTTAGTTATGAAGTCTTTGCCCATGCCTGTCCTGAATGGTATTGCTTAGGTTTTCTTCTAGGGTTTTTATGGTTTTAGGTCTTACATTTAAGTTTTTAATCCATCTTGAGTTAATTTTTGTATAAGGTGTAAGGAAGGGATCCAGTTTCAGCTTTGTACATGTGGCTAGCCAGTTTTCCCAACACCATTTATTAAATAGGGAATCCTTTCCCCATTTCTTGCTTTTGTCAGGTTTGTCAAAGATCAGATGGTTGTAGATGTGTGGTGTTATTTCTGAGGCCTCTGTTCTGTTCCATTGGTCTATATATCTGTTTTGGTACCAGTACCATGCTGTTTTGGTTACTGTAGCCTTGTAGTATAGTTTGAAGTCAGGTAGCATGATGCCTCCAGCTTTGTTCTTTTGGCTTAGGATTGTATTGGCTATGCAGGCTCTTTTTGGTTCCATATGAACTTTAAAGTAGTTTTTTCCAATTCTGTGAAGAAAGTCATTGGTAGCTTGATGGGGATGTCATTGAATCTATAAATTACCTTGGGCAGTATGGCCATTTTCATGATATTGATTCTTCCTATCCATGAGCATGGAATGTTCTTCCACTTGTTTGTGTCCTCTTTTATTTTGTTGAGCAGTGGCTGTAGCTCTCCTTGAAGAGGTCCTTCACATAAGTTGGATTCCTAGGTGTTTTATTCTCTTTGTAGCAATTGTGAATGGGAGTTCACTCATGATTTGGCTCTCTGTTTGTCTGTTATTGGTGTATAGGAATGCTTGTGACTTTTGCACATTGATTTTGTATCCTGAGGCTTTGCTGAAGTTGCTTATCAGCTTAAGGAGATTTTGGGCTGAGATGATAGGGTTTTCTAAATATACAATCATGTCATCTGCAAACAGCTACAATTTGACACCCTCTTTTCCTAAATGAATACCCTTTATTTCTTTCTCTTGCCTGATTGCCCTGGCCAGAACTTCCAACACTATGTTGAATAGGAGTGGTGACAGAGGGCATCCTTGTCTTGTGCTGGTTTCAAAGGGAATGCTTCCAGTTTTTGCCCATTCTGTGTGATACTGGCTGTGGGTTTGTCATAAATAGCTCTTATTATTTTGAGATATGTTCCATCAATACCTAGTTTATTGAGAGTTTTTAGCATGAAGGGCTGTTGAATTTTGTCGAAGGCCTTTTCTGCGTCTGTTGAGATAATCATGTGGTTTTTGTCTTTGGTTCTGTTTTGTGATGGATTACATTTACTGATTTGAGTGTGTTGAACCAGCCTCGCATCCCAGGGTGAAGCCCACTTGATCATGGTGGATAAGCTTTTTGATGTGCTGCTGGATTTGGTTTGTCAGTATTTTATTGAGGATTTTTGCATCAATGTTCATCAGGGATATTGGTCTAAAATTCTCTTTTTTTGTTGTGTCTCTGCCAGGCTTTGGTATGAGGATGATGCTGGCCTCATAAAATCAGTTAGGGAGGATTCCCTCTTTTTCTATTGATTGGAATAGTTCCTGAAGGAATGGTACCAGCTCCTCTTCGTACCTCTGGTAGAATTTGGCTGTGAATCTGTCTGGTCCTGAACTTTTTTTGGTTGGTAGGCTATTAATTATTGCCTCAATTTCAGAACCTGTTATTGGTCTATTCAGAGATTCAGCTTCTTCCTGGTTTATTCTGGGGAGGGTGCATGTGTCTAGGAATTTATCCACTTCTAGATTTTCTAGTTTATTTGGGTAGAGGTGTTTATAGTATTCTCTGATGGTAGTTTGTATTTCTGTGGGATCGGTGGTGATATCCCCTTTATCATTTTTTATTGTGTCTATTTGATTCTTCTGTCTTTTCTTCTTTATTAGTCTTGCTAGCAGTCTATCAATTTTGTTATCTTTTCAAAGAAACAGCTCCTGGATTCATTGAGTTTTTGAAGAGTTTTTTGTGTCTCTATCTCCTTCAGTTCTGCTCTGATCTTAGTTATTTCTTGCCTTCTGCTAGCTTTTGAATGTGTTTGCTCTTGCTTCTCTAGTTCTTTTAATTGTGATGTTAGGGTGTCAATTTTAGATCTTTCGTGCTTTCTCTTGTGGGCATTTAGTACTATAAATTTCCCTCTACACGCTGCTTTAAATGTGTCCCACAGATTCTGGTACATTGTGTCTTTGTTTTCATTGGTTTCAAAGAACATCTTTATTTCTGCCTTCATTTCATTATTTACCCAGTAGTCATTCAGGAGCAGGTTGTTCAGTTTCCATGTAGTTGTGCAGTTTTGAGTGAGTTTCTTAATCCTGAGTTCTAATTTGATTGCACTGTAGTCTGAGAGACAGTTTGTTGTGATTTCTGTTCTTTTCCATTTGCTAAGGAGTGCTTTACTTCCATTTATGTGGTCAATTTTAGAATAAGTGTGATGTGGTGCTGAGAAGAATGTATATTCTGTTGATTTGGGGTGGAGAGTTCTGTAGATGTCTATTAGGTCCGCTTGGTGCAGAGCTGAATTCAAGTCCTGGATATCCTTGTTAACCTTCTGTCTTATTGATCTAACATTGACAGTGGGGTGTTAAAGTCTCCCATTATTATTGTGTAGGAGTCTAAGTCTCTTTGTAGGTCTCTAAGGACTTGCTTTATGAATCTGGGTGCTCCTGTATTGGGTGCATATATATTTAGGATAGTTAGCTCTTCTTGTTGAATTGATCCCTTTACCATTATGTAATGGCCTTCTTTGTCTCTTTTGATCTTTGTTGGTTTAAAATCTGTTTTATCAGAGACTAGGATTGCATCCCCTGCTTTTTTTCCTTTCCATTTGCTTGGTAGATCTTCCTCCATCCCTTTGTTTTGAGCCTATATGTGTCTTTGCATGTGAGGTGGGTCTCCTGAATGCAGCACACTGATGGGTCTTGGCTCTTTATCCGATTTGCCAGTCTGTGACTTTTTTTTTTTTTTTTTTTTTTTTTTTTTGAGACAGAGTCTCGCTCCGTCGCCCAGGCTGGAGTGCAGTGGTGTGATCTCGGCTCACTGCAAGCTCCACCTCCTGGATTCATGCCATTCTCCTGCCTCAGCCTCCCGAGTAGCTGGGACTACAGGTGGCTGCCATGACACTTGGCTAATTTTTTGTATTTTTAGTAGAGACGAGGTTTCACCATGTTAACCAGGATGGTCTCGATCTCCTGACCTCGTGATCTGCCTGCCTCAGCCTCCCAAAGTGCTGGGATTACAGGTGTGAGCCACTGTGCCCGGCCTGGTCTGTGTGTTTTAATTGAGGCATTTATCCCATTTACATTTAAGGTTAATATTGTTATGTATGAACTTGATCCTGTCATTATGATGTTAGCTGGCTATTTTGCCCATTAATTGATGCAATTTCTTCATAGCACTGATGGCCTTTACAATTTGGCATGTTTTTGCAGTGGCTGGTACTGGCTTTTCCTTTCTATGTTTAGTGCTTCCTTCAGGAGCTCTTGGAAGGCAGGCCTGGTGGTTACAAAATCTCTCAGCATTTGCTTGTTTGTAAAGGATTTCATTTCTCCTTCACTTATGAAGCTTAGATTGGCTGGATATGAAATTCTGGGTTGAAAATTCTTTTCTTTAAGAATGTTGAATATTGGCCCTCACTCTCTTTTGGCTTGTAGGGTTTCTGCTGAGAGATCAGGTGTTAGTCTGATGGGCTTCCCTTTGTGGGTAACCTGACCTTTCTCTCTGGCTGCCCTTAACATTTTTTCCTTCATTTCAACCTTGGTGAATCTGACAATTAGGTGTCTTGGGGTTGCTCTTCTCGAGGAGTATCTTTGTGGTGTTCTCTGTATTTCCTAAATTTGAATGTTGGCCAGCCTTGCTAGGTTGGGGAAGTTCTCCTGAATAATATCCTGAAGAATGTTTTCTAACTTGGTTCATTTCTCCCTGTTGCTTTCGGGTACACAGTCAAACGTAGATTTGGTCTTTTCACATAGTCTTGGAGGCTTTGTTCATTTCTTTTTATTCTTTTCTCTCTAATCTTGCCTTCTTGCTTTATTTCATTAATTTGATCTTCAATCAGTGGTATCCTTTTTTCCTCTTGATTGAATCGGCTATTGAAGCTTGTGCGTATATCACGAAGTTCTCGTGCTATGGTTTTTAGCTCCATCAGGTCATTTAAGGTCTTCTCTACACTGTTTATTCTAGTTAGTCATTCGACAAACCTTTTTTCAGGGTTTCTAGCTTCCTTGTGTTGGGCTAGAACATGCTGCTTTAGCTCGGAGAAGTTTGTTATTATCAACCCTCTGAAGCCTACTTCTGTCAACTCATCAAGTCATTCTCTGTCCAGTTTGTTCCATTGCTGGTGAGGAGCTGTGACCCTTGGGAGGAGAAAAGGCCCCCTGGTTTTTGGAATTTTCATCTTTTCTGCTCTGGTTCCTCCCCATCTTTTTGTTTTTATCTACCTTTGGTCTTTGACGTTGGTTACCTACAAATGGGGTTTTGGTGTGGATGTCCTTTTTGTTGATGTTAGTTTTCCTTCTAACAGTCAGGCCTCTTAGCTACAGGTCTGTTGGAGTTTGCTGGAGTTCCACTCCAGACCCTGTTTGCCTGGGTATCACCACTGGAGGCTGCAGAACAGCAAATATTGCAGAACAGCAAATATTGCTGCCTGATCTTTCCTCTGGAAGCTTCGTCCTAGAAGGGCACCCACCTGTGTGAGATGTCTCTTGGCCCCTACTGGGAGATGTCTCCCAGCCAGGCTACATGGGGCTCATGGACCCACTTGAGGAGGCAGTCTGTCCATTCTCAGAGCTTGAACGCTGTGCTGGGAGAACCACTGTTCTCTTCAGAGCTGTCAGACAGGGACGTTTAAGTCTGCAGAAGTTGTCTGCTGCCTTTTGTTCAGCTATGCCCTGCCCACAGAGGTGGAGTCTACAGAGGCAGTAGGCCTTGCTGAGCTGCAGTGGGCTCCACCCAGTTCAAGCTTTCCCGGCCACTTTGTTTACCTACTCAAGCGTCAGCAATGGCGGATGCCCCTCCCTCCGACAGGCTGCAGCCTAGCAGGTGGATCTCAGACTGCTGCGCTAGCAGTGAATAAGGCTCTGTGGATGTGGGACCTGCTGAACCAGGCATGGGAGGGAATCTCCTGGTCTGCTGGTTGCTAAGACCATGGGGAAAGCACAGTATGTGGGTGGGAGTGTACTGTTTTCCCAGATACATTATGTCACGGCTTCCCTTGGCTAGGAAAGGGAAATCCCCCGACCCCTTGCATGTCTTGGGTGAGGCATCACCTTGCCCTGCTTTAGTTCACTTTTCGTGGGCAGCTCCCACTGTCCAACCAGTCCCAGTGAGATGAACCAGGTACCTCAGTTGGAAATGCAGAAATCACCTATCTTCTGCATAGACCTTGCTGGGAGCTGCAGACCAGAGCTCTTCCTATTCAGCCATCTTGGAAGTGACCCCTTTAATATTTTTTTGTAGTATAGATATGCTAGTGATGAATTATCTTAGCTTTTGCTTTTCTGTAAATATTTTTGTTTGCCTTCTTTTTTTTTTCTTTAGATGGAATCTTGCTCTGTCACCTAGGCTGGAATGCAGTGGCACGATGTTGGTTCAGTACAACCTCTGCCTCCTGAGTTCAAGCGATTCTCCTGCCTCAGACTCCTGAGTAGCTAGGATTACACATGCCTGCCACCACACTCAGCTAATTTTTGTATTTTTTAGTAGAGACGGGGGTTTCACCATGTTGGCCAGGCTGGTCTCGAATGCCTGACCTCAAGTGATCTGTCCGCCTTGGCCTCCAAGGTGCTGGGATTACAGGTGTGAGCCACCACGCTGGGCCTGCCTTCATTTTTGAGATATATTTTTATTGTATATAGAATCCTAAGTTGACAGTTATTTTTTTCTGTTAGTATTTTAAAGATGTTGTCTCCTTTCTGGATTTCTGATGAGAGGTCTGAAATCATTTTCATCTTTGTTCCTCTGTAAACAATGAGTTATTTTTTTCCTCTGGCTTTCAGGAATTTGATTAAGATGTTGCTTGATGTGCTTTGCTTTATATTTATTTTGTTTGAGGTTTGTTGAACTTCTTGGATCTGTCTTTCTGATTTTCATCAAATTTGTAAAAAAAAAAGTTGGCATTATTTCTTTCAAAGTTTTCTTATGCTTCTTTATATACCTCTTTCTCTGGGACTCCAATTATTAAACTGTTTGATTTTGTTCCATAGGATATTGAGACTGTTCATTTTTATAGTTTTTTATTTTGTTTTGTGCCTTATTTTGGCTAGTTGCTACAGTTACTTCTTCAATTACATATTTTCTTTTATAATATCTAATATCTAGTTATTCCTATCCAGTGAAAGTTTCTCTTGAGCTGTTGTGTTTTTCATTTCTGATATTTCTATTTAAAACAATAACTTCCACTTTTCCTTTCGCTTGTGCTTTTCTTTTAACTAGTTAAGCATTTTGAACACATTTATAAAAGCTCTTTTAATGCCTTTGTGTGTTAATTACATAAGTTTTGTCATTTCTAGGTCTGTTTCCATTGATTAATTTTTTTCTTAAATTTTAGTTTTACATTGAAAAATATTATTTATTTATTTTTGAGATAGTGTCCTGCTCTTTCATCCAGGCTGGAGTGCAGTGGCATTATCTTGGCTTACTGCAGCCTCAGCCTCCTGGGCTATCCATTCTATGCTAGCTAGACAATCTTGGTACCTCCTTTCACAGCCATAGCAGTCATTCCAGGAGTAGATAGTGTCAATCATAGTCTTCAATAGCACTAATATACAGACATAGACAGAGATGCATGTTCTCTGGCTTGGCATGTTAAGCTGGGAGAATGTGAATCTGGGTCAATTAAAGATCATTTCCCTCTGCCTTATGGAGAAAGACTGACTGCTGTGGGAGAGAATGAAATCAACCATTGAGTGAAGAAGAGCAAATGGGTAGAGATAGAAGAATAAAATAGAAAAATAAAAATATTGGGAAATCCCTAGATCCATCTGTGCACAAAGCTAGCAAATCCCCACCTTTCTCTGAACACTTTGAACCAATTAATTTCCATTTTGCTTAGTTTAGTTTGAGCTGAGATTTTCTTACTTATATTTGAAAGAATTTGGTTCAAGACAGCCCCCTCTGTTTTTGTAATAAAGTATAGCTCCAGGGAAGCTACTCACTGACCCCAGAAGCCTTCCCTGCTTTTGGTACTTTATGCTGACATTCCTACCAGGCATACCATGCTATGCTTATCAAAATGGAATTCAGAACAAGTCTTGGTGCCATGGAAAGAACTCAAGCTCAGAGTCAGAAATATGTGGATTAAAGATTTTTTGCTGCCTATTAGCTGTGTGAGCTGTAAGGTTACTGCACATATTCTATTTCCTTCCCAATAAAGATGGGAGGAAGAGGGGAGGAAGAAGACAAGCCCATAGTACCAGTGAGAATTAGATTTAATCACACAGAACTGGAAACCTAAGAATTCTTTGATAACATAGAAGTTTGTTTCTTTGTCATGTAAATTAATTGGAGGTAACTGATCCAGACTTCACAAAGCCATCAGGCAGCCACCCCTTCTAACTTTTTTCTCCACCATCCTAACATATGACTTCTATTCTCAAAGTTCTTCCCTGCAGAATCGATGTGTTTCACCCACCCAGGTCCACAGAGAAATGGTTAGGAAAGTGGACAGGTATTTTTCTGTGTTGGAAATTTTCTTCTCAGAAGGGAGTTTTCCTGTGCTCCTATGGTTCATGCCAGTTAGCAGGATCTGCCTAAGCAGGAAGTTGGATGCTTTCTGAATTTCCAACAAATGGGAAGAGATTCAATAAAAGACTATGCGATAGTAGCAACCATGATGAGTTGTAAGTATTTTTATCAGCTGGGAAAGGTAGTGCTTTGCTTAAAATGATTAAGCTTGGATGCATCTGTGGGGATGGCAAGGAAAGGATGAATATAGGGAAGCTAAATGATTTGGGGACTCTAGGAATATGGGCAAAAGTAAAACCTAATTTCACACAGATGCCTGGCATCTCAAAGGTCCCCTTCTCCCCATCTGCCATGATTCTCCCCATCTGCCATGATTCTCCCCATTCCTCTGGCATCCTTTTTTGGCCTCTTTTTTCCCATAACTTCATCCTTCCTAGCCTCTTGTTTTTCACTCCTCTAGTCCCACCTCCCCTAATCTATCTTCGTAACAGAGCAGGAGATGTCTTCCCAAAACACAATTTTGTTACCTGCTTTTCTATTTTGGTGACTTGGAGGGTTTGTTTTGCATCATGGTGCTAGGTTTTCATCACTAGGACCAGTTTCATCAGGATCCTTAGCCCCTAGGATCCTGGAATAATGTAATTTAAGAGGTTAAGACAAAGCCTACTTGACAGTTAGCCTCTTAGGAGATTTTTATTGATACTGAACCAGTATCATGTCTTTGGAGTTAAGCCTGAACCACAGAGTCAGGGTGGTCTAAGCTGTGCTGCACTATCAACTCTGAAATCTCAGTGGGTTGATTCAACAAAAGTGTATTTTTTGCCTATGTTAAGTAGGCAATTTGTGCGAGCAAGGGGCTCTTCTCCACACAGACACTCAGGGACCACAGTCTCCACCATCTTATAGAGGCACTTCCTTGAACATGTGGTCCTCTCAGCGCCTGCAGCAGAAGAGAGCACTGGAGAGTGCCTGTCCTTGGAATTAGTTCTTCTTCCCTAATTAGAGTGTAAGTCTCTTGAGGGCAGGGACTGTGTCTTATATTCATCTATTTATTTATTCTGTCAGAAATCTGGGCAGAAATTGGTATTAAGGTATAGTTTGGCCAAGAACCCGGGAAAACCAAAATTCTACCCATTCTTTCTGAGTGTGGCCAGGCCCGGTGGTGCGTGCCTGTACTCCCAGCACTTTGGGAAGTCTAGGCGGGTGGATCACTTGAGGCCAGGTGTTTGAGACCAGCCTGGCCAGCATGGTGGAACCCCGTCTCTATTAAAAATACAAAAATTAGCTGGGTACGGGCCAGGCGTGGTGGCTTACGTCTTTAATCCCAGCACTTTGGGAAACTGAAGTGGTTGGATAACCTGAGCTCAGGAGTTTGAGACCAGCCTGGGCAACACAGTGAAACCCCAGCTCTAGAAAAAAGTAAAAAAACAAAAATTACCCGGGCGTGCTAGTGCACATCTGTAGTCCCAGCTATTTGGGAGGCGGAGGTGGGAGGATCGCTTGAACTCGGGAGGTGGAGGTTGCAGTGAGCTGAGATCATGCCACTGCACTCCAGCCTGAGTGACAGAGCAAAACCCTGTCTCAAAAAAAAAAAAAAAAAAAAAAAAAAGGAAAGAAAATGTAGTTGAGTGCCAGTTCTGCTCTGCCTATGTGGTCAAGACCTGAAGAGGAAAGACTGAGCCATTCCACCCCTTCCAGAGCTAGAAGGCTGTAATCAGAGAGTGCAATTGTGAGAATGGAAGCACCAATTTCCAGCATCTGGTACCAGGCTGGCTTAGTGCTGTGCCAGGGCTGGTGCCATGTGGGAGAAGAGGCAGGAGGTAAGATAGGCTGCTGAGTCTTCTCCATCAGGGACTCACTCTGTCTCTTTACTCTCTTATGTGCACAGACCTCCTAACATGGTGCCTTCACCCTTCAGCCCAATAAGTGTTCACAAAACTGACCAGACCACGGAAATTCCTTCTCCTTGGGCAACTGAAGAAGAGGATAAAGAGAAAGAAAGGAGGCTTGAATGTTTTCCTTTCAAGGCAATATGTTACTTACTTAATATTAGAATTAACTAATTAAAAAACCTCTTAGCTTCTCCTATGGGCAGACATTCTTCAAAGTTACCATATCAGGACTGGAGGCAAATAATAAATATCTAATGGTACAACAGGCCACAGTTTTTACTATCCTAGTGAAATCTGCATACTTTCAAAATTAAATCTGCTTGATTCCACCCACTAGAGTTTGCAGGTAACAACAATGACATAATGATGATGTCGACAGCAATGGGTCTTGCTGATTCAGTGCTTACTATTACCTGTCACAATACTAACTGCAATGTACTGCTCATTTCTCACAACAAACCAGAGGATGAGATGTTATTCCTCTCCATTTTGTAGATAAGCTGACTGGGGTACAGAGAGGTAAAGCGGCTTACCTAAAGACACACAGCAAGTGACAGGCAAGGCCAGTTCTGCCTGGACTCACAGTCCCAGTTTCTTCTTTTGCCTCCTTGATGAAAGCATCACTTTGAGGAAAGGCAAGGTTTTCCTAAGTTTACCTAGAAGAGGTTTGCATTTGAAACTTCTATAATAATAATTTTAATAATATTCATAAAAAACATATCATCCTAGTACTTAATAATATACATACTTACCATGTATCAGATGCTGTTCTAAGTACTTTACATATTTCCGTTCATTGAATCCTCACAACAGCACTGTGAGACAGGTACTATTATTATTCCCATTCTTCAGATGAAGCCACTGAGGCACAAGGTTAAGTAACTTGAAGTTTTATACCTAATAAATTAAGTCTGGTTTGAATTGTCCGAACTGTCTGACAGTTAGACATACTGACAATTATAACTATTCTATGTATAAGTAAATAAAACTATACAGGCATGCCTCATTTTATTATGCCTCAAGATACTGCATTTTTTTTACAGATTAAAGGTTTGCGGCAACCCTGGGTTGAGCAAGTCTATCAGTGCCATTTTCCCAACGGCATGTACTTGCTTTGTCTTTGTGTTACATTTGGATAATTCTCATAATAATTCAAATGTTTCCATTATTATTATATCTGTTATGGTGATCTGTGATCAGTGATCCTTGATGTTACTATTGTAATGGTTTTAGGGCTCCATAAACTGCACCCAGATGAGAGGAAGAACTTTGATAAGTGAGTGTGTTCCGACTGCTCCACCAATCAGCTATTCCCCTGTCTCTCTTCTCCTTGGGCCTCTCTATTCCCTGAGACACAATATTGAAATTAGGCCAATTAATAACACTACAATAGCCTCTAAGTGTTCTAGTGAAAGGAGTAATTTTGCATCTCTCACTTTCAATTAAAAGCTAGAGACGATTGAGCTCAGTGAGGAAGGCATGTTGAAAGCCGAGATGGGCCAAAAGCTAGGTCTCTTGTGCCAACCGTTAACCAAGTTGTGAATGCAGAAGAAAAGTTCTTGAAGGAAATTAAAAGTGCTGCTCCAGTGAATGCATGAAAAATAAGAAAGTGAAACAGCCTTATTGCTGATATGAAGACAGTTTTAGTAATCTGTATAGAAGATAAAACTAGCCACGACATTCCCTTAAGCCAAAGCCTAATCCAGTGTAAGGCCCTAACTCTCCTCAATTCTGTAAAGGTTGAGAGAGGTGAGGAAGCTGCAGAATAAAAGTTGGAAGCTAGCAGAGCCTGGTTCAGGAGGTTATAAAAGATGCGATCTCCATAATATAAAAGTGCAGGGTGAAGCAGCAAGTGCTGGTGGAGAAGCTGCTGCAAGTTATCTAGAAGATCTAGCTAAGATCAATGATGAAAGTGGCTACACTAAACAACAGATTTTTGATATAGGTGAAATGGCCTTCAGAAAAAGGAAAAAGATCAGATGGAAGAAGGTGCCATCTTTCATAGCTAGAAAGGAGAAGTCAATGCCTGGCTTCAAAGCTTCAAAGGACAGGCTGAATCTCTTATTAGGGGCAAGTGCAGCTGATGACTTTAAGTTGAAGCCAGTGCTCATTTACCATTCCCCAAATCCTAGGGCCCTTAAGAAACATTTTAAATCACTTCTGCTTATGCTCTATAAATGGAACAACATAGCCTGGATGGCAGCACATCTCTTTATAGCATGGTTTACTGAATATTTTAAACCCATTTTTGAGACCTACTGCTTAGAAAAAAGTCTTTTCAAATTTTATTGCTCACTACAAATAATAACAATAAATAAAAAATAAAAAGGCTGGGTGCAGTGGCTCATACCTGTAATCCCAGCACTTTGGGAGGCCAAGGTGGAAGGATGACTTGAGTCCAGGAATTCAAGACCAGCTTGGGCAACGTAGGGAGACCCTGTTTCTACAAAATAATAATAAAAAAATTTACTGCTTATTGACCAATGCACCTGGTCACCCAAGAGCTCTGATGGAGGTGCACAAGGAGATTAACGTAGTTTTCATACCTGATAACACAGTTCTGCAACTGACAAATCAAGGGGTAATTTTGGCTTTAAAGGCTATAGCTGCCATAGACAATGATTCCTCTGTTGGATCTGGGCAAAATGAATTGAAAGTCTTCCGGAAAAGATTCACCATTCTAGATGTCATTAAGAACACTTGTGATTCACAACATTAACAGGAGTTTGGAGGAAGTTGATTTCAACCGACATGGATGACTTTGAAGGGCTTAAGATTTCAGTGAAAGAAGTCACTCCAGATGTGCTATAAATAGCAAGATAATTAGAATTAGAAGTGAAGCCTGAAGATGTAATTGAACTGTTGCAATCTCATAAAACTTGAATGGGTAAGAAGTTGCTTCTTATGGATGAACAAAGAAACTGGTTTCTTGAAATGGAAACTACTTGTAATAATGCTGTGAAAATTGTTGAAATGACAACAGTGTTTAGAATATTACATACATTTAGTTGATAAAGCCATGACAGGATTTGACAGGATTGGATATGATTTTTTTTTTTTTTGAGACAGTGTCTTGCTCTGTCACCAGGCTGAAGTGCAGTGGCGTGATCTCGGCTCACTGCAACCTCTGCCTCCCAGGTTCAAGCGATTCTCCTGCCTCAGCCTCCCGAGTAGCTGGGACTACAGGTGGGTGCCACCACGCCCAGCTAATTTTTGTATTTTTAGTAGAGACGGGGTTTCACCATGTTGGCTAGGATGGTCTTGATCTCTTGACCTCGTGATCTGCCTGCCTCGGCCTCCCAAAATGCTAGGATTACAGGCGTAAGCCACTGCACCTGGCCAACTGAATACAATATTTAAAGAAGTTCTACTGTGGGTAAAATACTACCAAACAACAGCACATGGTACAGAGAAATATTTCAGGAAAGAAAGAGTCAATCAATGAGGCAAACTTCACTGTTGTCTTATTTTTAGGAACTACTACAGCCACCCCAACCTTGAGCAACCATCACTCTGATCAATCAGCAGCCATCAACATTGAGACAAGACTCTCCACCAGCAAAAAGATTATGACTTGTCCGGGTGCGGTGGCTCACACCTGTAATCCCAGCACTTTGGGAGGCTGAGGCAGACAGATCATCTGAGGTCAGGAGTTCGAGACCAGCCTGACCAACATTGTGAAACCTGTCTCTACTAAAAATACAAAAAATTAGCCGGGCATGGTGGTAGGCACCTATAATCTCAGCTATTTGTAAGGCTGAAGCAGGAGAATTGCTTGAACCTGGGAGGTGGAGGTTGCAGTGAGCCGAGATCACATCATTGCACTCCAGCCTGGGCAACAAGAGCAAAACTCCGTCTAAAAAAAATATATATATATATATGACTCACTGAAGGCCCACATGATCATTCGCAATTTTTAGCCATAACGTATTTTTAAAATTAAAGTATATACATTGATGTTTTAGACATAATGGCATTGTACTCTTATTAGACTACAGCATAGGGTAAACATAACTCCTCTATGCACTGGGAAATAAAAAAATCTGTGACTCACTTTATTGCGACATTTGCTTTAGTGCGCCAGTTGGAACCAAGTCTGCAATCTCCCAGAGTATGCCTGTGTATAGTAATAATAATCACATACATGCCCTGAGGTGGTTGCAGGATAATGGGGCAGATTTCATGGTGGGCTTCCAGAATTCATTTTATGTTTGTGGTTTGCTTCACATGACTACACTTATGAATGGAATCTCCATGAGACAAGGGTCTTTGTTTCACTCCCTGCTGTGTCTGAACTCTTAGAATGGTGCTCAGCACACACAAAGGGTGACTTGGTGGCTGAGTGCATCTTCCCTAGTTCATTTGTGTGTATATATATATGATAGTAGTTATATGGTGACATGGGAAAGAACATTGGGCAAGGAAGTAGAACTGGATTTGAGCTCCGCCCTGATTTACCTTACTATTTGGGTGAACTTGGCCAGTTACTTTAATCCTTATGAGCCCCAATTACCTCATCTGTGGAATGGAGCAGTTACTGTGCTCCCTCTCTGGGGTCTTATAAGAATTTAATGCCAATGGGCTGTGAGAGAGCTATGTAAACTCTGAAGCGCATTATTTGATTAAAAGCTCTGGCTCATATGGCTGCCTTAGTTGTAAGAAATAGAAGCTTGCAAAGAAACAGCAGTGAGGTCTTACTATCAGGATGCACATAGCAAAAAAGGAAGCTAAGACTCTGACTTGTCCTGAGAGCCTTCAAAGAGTTGAAGTGAGGCACAGTTCAGGGATGGGAAGGTTCTGAGGCTTTTCTACTGACAGGATCATTTTGGGCCCTCAGTTGGAGTTTGCAGACATACTATTTTAAGGTAATATAACATCTCCTAATATTTGCCTTTACCTTTCCTACTTTGATTGACATCCTTCCTGCCTCCGTTTCCTGCTCCCCTGTGTATTTTTCTCCTCCTCAGGGCTCCTGCTTCTGCATAACTTCAGCTTAGTTATAGCCCTTAGGACTTAGGATCTGTCCAGCATGTATTCCAGATCAAATTCCTAAGAGATAATCTGACAGGCTCCATTGATTCCATTTTCTCTTTTTTAGCTGAGCTTTTTCCACCAGGATGCCTCATGGGTCAGTGTCCACCCTGGTTCAATCACCTGTGGCTAGGGGATAAGTCTGTGGCTTCACTGTACACTGTCTTGGATCACTCACTCTTGGGAAACCAGCCACCATGTTATGAGGACACTCAAGTTCTCTGTGAAGAGATCCATGTGATGAGGAACTGAGATCTCCTGCCAACAGCCGGAACCAACTTTCCAGTCATGAGTGAGATCTTAAAAGTAGATCCTCCAGCCCATAGTGAAGCCTTCAGTTGGTTTATCCCCAGCTGACACCCTGACTGCAACCTCATCAGAAACCCTGATCCAGAATTTCCCAGCTAAGCTGTGCCTGAATTCCAGACTCACAGAAACTGTGAGAGATAATAAAAATTGATTTAGGCCTCTAAGTTTTACAGGAATTAGTTGTGTGGCAATAGATAACTAATACTGGGCGGGTGTTGAGAAAAATAGACATACCTTGCATGGTCCCAGGTGAAATGTTACAAGATCCTCAAGCAAAGGAAGATTAGTTTCCTAGACACAGAAGGAGGTGCTCCTCCTTTCTATGAAAAAGAGACTCAGAAAGACAGGGGCTTAGGGTTTTTAGCATCATCTGAGTCCACCCATATATCCTTATTTTATATCCAGGGTCCCACTCTTTCCTAATCAATGCCTTAACATATGAGACTTGGTGGTCTGACAATTCAACTTAAGTTGTGATTCAGTAACTCACAATTAGGTTTTGCATTCGGTTTTTGTTGAGATAGTATCTGCAGTTATAAGAAATAATAATTAAAGCTCTCTGGTTCTCTGACCATGACTTAAGGTGAGCATTAAAGCCTTGAATTTGTTGATTTTCTTAATCTCTTCAGTTCAGGTAGATATAGCTGTCCCACTATATGGTCCTTGAAGTCGTTGTCATACCTTTAACAGTCAAGTGCAGCAGCCACTTGGTCCCCAAGGCAATTGCTTCAGTAGGCAATCTATCATGATCAATTGTGGGTGATAATTTTATTAATTATGATGCCACTGCCTACTATGGGTTGCTACTACTAACATCCCATTTCTCAAACACTCCACAACTGCATTTAAGGCCAAGATCATGACAAAAGCAATCCCAGAATGCTATCTGAAGACCATTTTCTGGGATCACTCCTGATATTAAATATTGGATCAGTCAGAGTCAAGTCAGGGAAAAAAGGTTGTATTAGTTTTCTCTAAATTAAATTATCTCTTTCAAAGGGACCTAAAGGCAAAAAGGAAACACAAAGGTATCAAAATGCAGTACCCTTAGTGCTTGCTATGGTTTAAATGTATGTGTCCTTCCAAAATTCATATGTTGGAACTTAACTCCCAAATTGATGATACTGAGGTGGGGCCCTTAGGGGATGATTAGGTCATGAGGGTTCCACCCTTAGAGATGGGATTAGTGCCCTTATAAAAGGGCTTCAGGGAGAGAGTTCATCCCTGTTTTGCCTTTCTGTCCCTTCTGCCATGTGAAGGCACAGTGTTTGTTCCCTCCAGAAGACACAGCAACAAGACGCCATCTTGGAAGCAGAGAGTGAGCCCTCACCAGACACCAAATCAGCCAGCACCTTGATCTTGGACTTCTCAGCCTCCAGAGCTGTAATAAATAAATTTGTATTATTTCTTAATTACCCAGTCTAAGATACTTTGTTATAGCAGCCTGATTAGACTAAGACAGGGCTTGAGAAACAAAGTTACAAAGATGGGGTTTTTGGAACCTAGATTCTTGGAGGATGGGCCCTATGGAAGTGGGACTGAGAACTCAGAAGGGTATGCTGCCAGCTGGTGCTGTTACATGTTGCTGCTGCAGTGGAGGGCCATCACCAGAGTGATGCCAACAGGACAGTGCAAAACAGAAAAGAGCAAGTTATTTTTCCCTCCTCCAGCTTTCCAATCTCCCTCAAGTGTCCTCCACATCAGTGGCTCCTAACAGGAAGCTATCTGGCAAAGAAGGAATTCATTTGCAGAGTCTCAGCCCCACATCACAGAAGGAAGTATAGACGAGTAGGCATGTTCCTGAGAAGCAATTGTTTAATAAGCTTACCTGTTGGAGGCATGGCATCTGAAATCCCTAATCAGGATGCTGATGTACTAGGGTAACCCTACCATAAGAGAATTTTACTTAAGACTGGGGTTTCCAAACACCACATGTTCTCACTCATAAGTGGAAGGGGAACAATGAAAACACATGGACACAGGGAGGGGAACATCACACACCCAGGCCTGTCGGGGGTGGGGGGCCAGGGGAGGGATAGCATTAGGAGAAATACCTAATGTAGATGATGGGTTGCTGGGTGCAGCAAGCCACCATGGCATGTGTATACCTATGTAACAAACCTGCACATTCTGCACAATGTACCCTAGAACTTAAAGTATATTAAAAAAGACTGGGTTTCCCCAAAACACCGCTTGGAACCCGAGGACAAGAATATAGGAGAGACTCCAGGCTATTGTGTTTTCTTAATCCGCCCACCGATGGCTTTCTCCACCTTCCTTCTGCTCCCAATGCTGGCTCTGCAGACCATGTAAGCTCAGCTAAGAGGAGGCTAACTCTGCACACACTTACATCAATGCATACCCCAATTAGAGCCCTAAAGAGTATATGACATGGGACCATCTTTGTACTGTTAAGTAGCCTTAGCAGGCTTTCTTTCTTTTGTTAGCACTTAAACTTCCTTATCTCATTAGCACAGTCTTCTGGAGGGAGAAGAACTAATTAGAGAACCTGGGTGACTTTGCCTCATACCTCCAACCTTTCCCAAACATCTGCCTTGCCTGCTAGAGAGAGCCAGAGCCTGCTGCTAGCCAGCTTTCTCTTTTGAGAAACCATCAAAAACATTTGCAAATAAATGTGATTGCCTTAAAATGCAGGAAAGAAGCACATTTTCCAATTACAAGCCTGGGTGATTGCTCTGGCTTGTTTAATTAATGGAGAGTGCATCTGTTTTCGGGGGCCTTTTTGAATGTGTTTTCTGGAGTTCCTTAATTAGTTACAAAAAGCTGCAGGTGTACTGGCAGGGGAGAACAGTAAAGCTGGGATGTATTCCAGAAGAGAGAATCTTTTTTAATGTAAATATTTAGTCATATGATGATGAGGTTCATTTTAAAGTTCTCTTTCCTATTTGGTCTGTGTGAAATGGTGTTGGAAGATATATTCGGGCTTCATTTGGATTGTTGACAGAATAAATTGAAACGGAAGAGACTAATTTTCATTATGACAGACACTTATATGCAGTTAGACCATTACCAGAATGACAAGTTATTCTCGTGTTGTCAGTGTGAGACTACTGCCTGGCTTTTCAGGCAAAAATGCTTGCAAAGATGATGAGTGGTTGCCTACTAATTCTGAGAACTGTTACACGGTGGAACCCAGGGGGCAGTGAGGGAGGTTTTGTCCTCCTGGTAAGTAAAGATTTTCTTGGATGTGTTGGAAAGGTTTACCCTTCTGTAACAATTTATGAAAAACGAGATGTTGCCTCTTATGGCAGTAATTACCACCTCTGGATCTGAGATATGATATTACCAATTGAAAGTTGCTCAAGGCTGAGTTTAGTCTGTGATGATAGAATGTGTGGGTGTTAGAGGATTAGGACTGTGCACTCTGATCAACTATAGAGGGCTGGGCAAACTGTGGCCCACAATCTGTTTTTTTAAATAAAGTTTTATTGGAACACTTTTACTCCTATTTGTTTACATACTGCCACCATGGCAGAGTTGAGTAATTGCAGCTGCCTAAAATATTTATCATCTGTCTCCTTATAGAAAAAGTTTGCTGACCTCTGGATTGTAAGTACACTGTGGTCTATGGAATGAAGCCTGAGGAGAGGGGCTGTGGCTTCTAATGCTTTATTTGTAGATCTATATGTTGGAGCTAAAATTTCCTATTCTTTATGTCTTAAAGTACTGTGTGTGGCATATTGGTTGAACATTTTTTCGAATGAATTTTTTTTTCACTAAAAAACATACCATATAATTGAGAAAGTGGAAAATATGTCTTCATTTTTGCCTTGATGCTCTCTATGTTATGAACAAAGATTAAGTGATTCACTGAAACAAAACAACTTGAATTAGGCACTTCTGTTTTCCATCATGGCTCCACTTCTGCATCATCTGTAGCATTTACAAGATGAAAACTCAGTTTCATTCTAGGAGAGATGGACATGTAAGTCTCTCCTGGTGGCGGTTCACTGCTGCCTCTCACCCATGCATGTCCCGGGTCCAACTTCAGAAGCCTCAGTGCTTCACTCCAGTAACCACAAGAGGAGGCATCTCCATCCTGCAGATCTGAATTTTTTTTTAATGTTTAAATCGCACATCTTTGTTTTTAAGATTTCATAAATCAGGGTTATGTGGCCAGGATTAAAGTTTGAAGGCAAAATTGATTTTAGCAAAGCATCCTGTGAGCATTTAGGCACAGCTTGGTGAGCTGAATTAATGCCTCTCTTTTGTTTAACTCCAGCCGCATCATCATGGTGCCCACATAAATAATGCAATTAAGAAGCTGAGAGAACGGGTCTTATAGAAGCTGCTATTATATAGCTGGGTGACCTTGAACAACTCACCTGCTTCCTCTGGGTTTCATCCACAAATGAAGGGTTTGGGATAGATGGCCTCTAATCCCTGTCTGTTTAAAAAATTTAGTATGCGGAGACTGATTTCTATTATGTGGGTAGTGGAGCGATAGTCTTATTCAACATATTCTTTCTCTTCTAATTCTGCACACCCCGTTAAGTCTGGTCTTTGCCAGGGCCCCTTAGGTGACCAAACAAGGTGGGATTGGCTGGCAAGTAGGGTTGTGCAGTCAGGGCTCTTACAGGTGTGCAAACAACAGAAACTGATTCTTTCAAACTTCAGAAAAGTGACGCGCTGGAAGGATAACAGAGAGCTCACAGAACCGGCAGGAAGGCTGGAGAGCAGCGACTGAGGGAGTGACCCTGGAATAGATGCCGGCTGCAGGTGCTTCTACCTGAACCTCAGCTCAGAACTGCTGCTATTCATTTATGGGAATTAGAAAAAAGTGCCCACTTTGCCACTACAAGCTAGATGTATGAGCTTGGTGAGTCGAGTGTGGGCTGCTAGCCACACCCAGGCACCCTCAAGTAGTGATAATGATAGTCCTGTTCTCCCTCACCACTGCTGGATTGTCATCTCCACTACTGCTGGCTTTGGTAGTCTCCATTGTGCCTGGATTTATGTGTCACCCCCTTTCGATTTAGGGTTCTGCACAAGAGCACTGGTTTGGCTTACTTTGAGCATGGACCAGATGCAAGGAGTGGAGAAGGGGAAATACACATCTCCTTTGGCTGCAATAGTGAGATTTTGGCTGCTGCCTCCCTGTGGTTTGGGTTCCACTCAATTGGAGAAATATTTTCATGCTAGGTAGCCTAACAAAAGACAACAGTATAACTGCAAAGTGTGCAAAGTACAGATGCACAGGTTGTTCACTGCAGAACTGTTTTTTCAGTGAATCACTTACTCTTAGTTCATAGCATAGAAAGCATCAAGGAAAGAATGGAAACATATTTTTCATTTTCTCAATTACACAGTATGTTTCTTAGTGAAAAAATACAAAAATTCATTGAAAAAAATCTTCAACCAATATGTCCCACACAGCACTCTAAGAGATAAGGAGTAGGAAGTTTTAGCTTTAACTTACAGGTCTGGAGACAGAGGCCTGGAAAAAGGACAAGAGAAGCCATAGCCCCTCTCCTCGAGCTTTGCCCTATAGAGCACAGTGTCCTTATAATTCAGAGGTCAGTAAATTCAACCCTACCCTTCCCTCCCCTCCCCTTCTTTTCTTTTCTTTTTTCTCTTTTCTTTTTGAGGCAGAGTCTCCCTCTGTTACCCAGGCTAAGGTGCAGTGGCACAATCATGGATCACTGCAGCCTCAGCCTCCTGGCTCAGGAGATCCTCTCATCTCAGTCTCCTGAGTAGCTGGGACTACAGGTGTGCACCACCATGCCCAGCTAATCTTTAAATTTTTTTGTAGAGATAGAGCCTTGCTATGTTGCCCAGGCTGGTCTTGAATTCCTGGGCTCAAGTGATCCTCCTGCCTTGGCTTCCCAAAGTGCTGGGGTTACAAGCGTAAGCCACCACACCTGGCCTAGCAAACTTTTTCTATAAAAAGACAGATGGTAAATATTTTAGACAGTCACAACTACGCAATTCTGCCACCATGGCACCATACACATTGTACTCTAAATGCATAGTGTCCACTGGGGTTCTGCAGGGCACAGCAGTTGCAACTGTGTAGTAATCAAACTCATTCACCTTCTCTTTCTGGCATTCTGTGAATGCTGACTCAGCAGTCCTCAGTCCCTTTTCTCTTCAGAGAACATCACATCAAATTCAGAATTATACCAACATTATCAATACATTGAGTAGGAACAAAGATTTAATTATTGGCTCCTTAATGTGACTTAGGTTGAAATATGCCAACTGTCATTCAAATGTTTTCACAAATACAAAATGGCAAGTTGATCATTTGCGTGTTTCCAGAGAGTTTGCTTCATTTAGGTGATCTGTCTCTTTTTTCAACCTTTACAAAATTTAGTTTCTTCTGTTCAGAGGAATTTGCTCTGGAAACACCATGGGATGTCATGAAAGAAGTTAATATTTAAACTTGCTGCAGACATGTTTATATTGAATGCTCAATTTTGAATGCCAAAGGAAGGAGAGAGATTTTTAGTGATTTTCATCAACACAAATGCCTTCAACAGTTGTTAAGGGTTTAAAATGAGAGTTTTAAAGGAGACAGTTTTTCCTCCAACTGTCCTACAAAAATCCTGTACTTTGCTCTCCTTGGTTGAGCTGTTTACATTCATTTTCCTGAGTTTAATAACAGAAAATTATTTTCCACTATTTTTTCTAGAAGCCTATGTTTTGACATAAAACCAAGAAGCATTTCCACTTCTTACATTTTAGTTTCCTCACTTCTCAAAGCAAAAGTAGTTCAATTAAATATCATTGGAGGGCTCCTTCGAGGCAGAGACCTTTAGAAATTGCTCTAACCCTTTAACATTTAGAAAAGCATATTTATAGAAGCAGAATGTCTTTGCAGTATGTGCTTGCTGTTCAGAGAGGGAAAAACTCCCTGCACTTTACTTTGAAGAATGAAGTAATTCCATTTCAAAGCTGGCCATTAGGAGTAATGGAGAGGCTGCCCAGATAGAGCCTCAAGTGTCATGGGCCCATCAGACTGGATTCATGTTTAGGTTTTAAATTAACTTCAAGGAGAGGGACCACTTCTGTTTTCACTGGGTTAGGGGAACAAACATCAGGGTAGAGATTTTGGCGGGGGGGTAGATTTTTGAAATCACAAGAGGAAATTTCCTCCATGCTAAGTGGGGGAGTGTGTACCCCATCCATCCTCTCATTCTCCTACTTATCCATCCTCCCTCTTTCATCCAGCTCTTCAGTTGTCCCAGAATTTATTCAATAAAGTTTATTGAGCACTTACTGTGTATCAGCTCATATATGGGAATAGTGCAGAGAAACACGGAATGCCAGAAAAACAGATTCAGGGACAGCAAGGGATAAAAGGGAGGGAGGGGAAGGAAGTATAGCAGGGTGGAGCTAGGGAGGTGGTGACAGCAAGAGGAAGTGGGTCTGATGTATTTTTACATCAGCATTTTAAGCTTTTTCAGATTCACCCTCCAATTACTTGATGCGGTTTCTCTGCTGTGTAGAATTTCCATGACCAACTGCATAGACGCCAGGGCCTGCTTGGGGGTGGAGGTTGGGAGGAGGGTGAGGATTTAAAAAGCACCTATTTGGGCCAGGCGCAGTGGCTCACGCCTGTAATCCCAACACTTTGGAAGGCTGAGGCAGGCAGATCACTTGAGGTCAGGAGTTCGAGGCCAGCCTGGCCAACATGGTGAAACCCCGTCTCTAATAAAAATACAAAAATTAGCCTGGCATGGTGGTGCATGCCTGTAATCTCAGCTACCCGGGAGGCTGAGGCAGGGGAATCGCTTGAACCCAGGACGTGGAGGTTGCAGTGACCGAGATCACCCCACCACACTCCAGCCTGGGTGACAGAGTGAAACTCCGTCTCAAAAAAAAAAAACCCACAAAAAACAAAAAACAAGCCAAACCCGCCCCCCCGCAAAACAACAACAATAAAACCACCTATTTGTTACTAAGCTCATTACCCGGGTGATGAAATAATATGTACACTAAATCCCTATGACATGCAATTTACTCATGTAACAAATCTTCGCATGTACCCCTTGAACCTGAAATAAATGTTGGAAGGAAAATGAAAATATACACATAAAACAACAATCATAACAATAAAAACCCTAAATATACATTGACACCAGGGACTATGCTGGGCCTTGGTATATAGTGGTGGAAAAAGAAAAAGACATGTTCTCTGGCCTTGATGGAGTTTACAGCCTAGTGAGGAACAAATACAAGCAAATCAATATCTATTTATAGTTGTGATACAGGCCACAGAGGAAAAGTGTGAAAGTGCAGTGATGATTTATTGAACATTCATTGCAAGCCAGGTACTGTTCTAGGTGCTTAAATGTGTCATATCTCATTTATTCCTCAAAACAAACCTATTTTATTTCCGTTTTTACAGACGAGGAAACTGAAATACAAAACCGTGAGCATGGGGAGACTTTGTTGTGATCAGAGAAGGCATCCTGAGGAACACACACGTGAATAGGGGTTAGCTAGGCGAAGACAGGGGAGGAATGTTCTGGGCAGAGGTAATGAACAGCTCGTGTGAAAGTCCTGGGGCAGGAAAGAGCCATGGAGAAAGTCAGTCAGCCAGTGAGGGGCCTGGAAAGGAATGGATGATGACATCAGGATAGGGTGGGCAATGGAGGGCGTTGTAGGCTGGGCAGGGAAGAGGTAGGTGGTCATTATAGGAAGAATGGGGTGGCACTGAGGAGGTTCGGCAGGGATAGTGTGAAGCACAGCTCCAAGCAGAAGCCCTGAAATAGAAATATAGTTCTTGGCTGTCTGTCCACTTGTGGCTGACAAGCTCTCTCTGTGGTGTCTAAGCTTGCTGCAGGATGACACCTCCAACAATTCATGTTTTGCAGATTATAGTTTCCTCATTATTTGAAAATACTTAATGTTAAAAGGCTGGGTTGAATTTGAAAAACTTTTGCATTATTACAAGAAATTTCCACATGCCAAAGAGCTATTAGATCCTTTAAGTATAACTTCAACAATTTTGGAATTGTTAAAATATTAAAAATGTTTCATTGTTACCTGTGCATACAAGTTTTCCCATGGATGATGACCACTGGGAATTTGGAGAAATCATCATTAACAAGTCTTTATCAGAAATTGCGTGGTCATTTCAAGCATAAAATATAATGCAAAAAAGTTACATTTACCAAAGCAAGCCCAAGCTTCTTAATTAAAACATTAAAAATATTTTAAACGGAGAGCTTATAAATTTTTTGCTTCCCGCAGAGATCCCTCAAGGGGAAGCCAGGGCCTCCTGTCCAGTGGGGCCTCAACAGGAAAACACACCACTGTGGGAGCCGGTGTCCTTGCGGCTCTCAATAACCACGCCTCCTTCCACACGGCCCTCTCCAGGTTCCCAAAGCAGGCTGTCTGTTCTTGTTCCTAACGGTAGGGGTCATCATTTCCCTTTTGTAATTTTTTGGAGACCAAAGCCAGTGCCTTCACAGGCTTAACTATATTTTTCCTTTTTTTTTGTTTATGGCATTAATCCTGAGGTTAGGGTCGGCCTGTGGTGAGCAATAATACATTTACCCTTTGACTTCGTGCACTAAGATGTAATTGATCATTTGAGGTCTCATTTGCAGGAGCTGGGAGCCTTAGTTCAGTTTAAGATAAATGGAGACAGGAGGACCCTTGTTTTAGTGATGTGTTGAAGAGAGCAAAGCACAGATATGACTGACTTATTTTATGAATTCCACTATCCCTCTCATCTTTATTTAAAAGCAAAAAAAATTTTTCTTTCACTAAGTGATTTGTTATTTAACATTTTATAGCCAGAGTCAGATCCTGGTGAGGGTAATTTCCCTTAGAATGCACATTAGTGTCTAGTTGGTAAATAAACTTGAGGCATTTTTATATTAGGCATAAAATAAAGATGAAAACGTTGACTTCTAAACCAAACCATAGCATAGAATTCTACATGGCACATGCTGTGTTGCTCCTTTGATTATAATTTTGTTGCCGCTTCCATTACAAAACAATTATCCAATGCATTTTAACTCGAACATAAAGAGCCATTTCTGGTGAAATGACAGTAACCGAAACTATTTGTTGAAAGCCTACTCAACCAACAAACAACATCATCTCTTCTGTAATCTTAATCTTCACAATGTTCCTGAAAAGTAGGTATCACTAGATTTGATAGACAACGAGACTGTGCCAAAGAGAAAAAAGGAAAAGATAAAATGACAAAACTAATAAGGGGGTAGAACTAAAATTCAAACCCATGTCTCAGACACTCAAAAGGCCCCTGATCTTGCCATGATACCACTTTGGGTTCTGAATGCTTTTATGAATGCTTTGCCTTTCCCTCTTATTTTTTTTTCTTTCCCTCTTTTTCATTTTCCTTTTTGGTTTGTTTTTCTTGTTTGCCAGTTTGAGGCTCTAGACATAAGATCTTTTCAATTCACACAAATAATGTGTGTCTGGACATTAATTTGGCCTGAGACTTAAGGAACATCCTTAGAGTAGTCTAGTTAGTTTCTTTCTCCTCCTAAGAGGGAAACAGTATGTGCTCAGTATATTTTTAATCTTCTCAGTGGATGCAGCAGCCAATTGAATTCTTCAGGGATTTAGTTTCTTCTGCCCATGGGGCATTCTCCCTTTATCCTTGAGCAACAAAACTGGTTATTGAAAGAGAACCTTGGCCCAGCAGGTCCTGGGGTAAGTAAAGAGCCCCAGATAAAGAAGTTTATCCCCTGAATGACTGGCCTATATCAGGCCCCTGGGGAGTTCCCATTTAATGCCCTTGATTGGACCACCCTGACGCTCAGGAGTCTGTGATGGGGCTCTACAGATGTAATGACTGCATGGGGCTTTCTGCAGGGTTGTCTCATCCAGGTATCCCAGGATGATTCTGGTCTGTGGCCAAGCAGATGCCATCTTCATGAATTCTTGCTTTTTTGCATAGTGGGGAGAGTGGGGCAGAGGACTCCCCATTCTTCCATAGTTAATGCTTTTCCCATCTCAGAGAACAGCCTGCCTAACTGTCCTCCCTCTGAGGCCAATTTCAGGTTCAGACATTGAGGCTCTGCATCCAACTGTGTCCTTGGAGGAACACAAGATGCCAACTCTTCTTTCCTCCTGCCCCTTGCCACTAGAGTCCCAGGAGTGTCTCCATTTGTAATGAAACTCTAGGATATAAGAGTTCACAATCTTATATAGTATTATTTGATTATTTAAATTTGTTAAATATTTGTCTTTCTTTGCAGCTAATTTATATAGTGCATGCTATAAGGTAAACCTGTTTCCCTACTTCCTTGGATAGAGGTCAGAAGAAACTCATTGATGTTCCGTAGGGTATGAACCTGCTGAACACTGTAAAAATAATACAGAATTATAAGGTGCAATACAGAATAGGAAATGTGCAAAGTGCCTTCCGGGACTCCATGAATAGGCATTTAACAAGGAGTAAACTGAGGCTCACAGACATTAGGGGATTTGTCTAGGTCACACAGCTAGGTCCTCAAACGAGAAAATAGGCTGGAACAGCCTGGAGAAGAGAATTTTCAAGAGAAAGAGAATCTGATTAAAGTTCATATAACTACTAAGGAAATGGAGGGAGTGAGCATGATCCTGTTGAATGATGCTTGGAAGATCTTTTCATATATATATATTGAAATGGAGTCTTGCTCTTGTCGCCCAGGCTGGAGTGCAGTGGCACAATCTTGGCTCACTCCGACCTCTATCTCCCGGGTTCAAATGATTCTCCTGCCTCAGCCTCCCAAGTAGCTGGGATTACAGGCATGTGCCACCATGCCTGGCTATTTTTTTTTTTTTTTGTGGAGACCAGATTTCACTATGTTCCCCAGGCTGGTCTTGAACTTCTGACCCCAGGTGATCCGCCCTCCTTGGCCTCCCAATGTGCTGGGATTACAGGTGTGAACCACCACGCCTGACCCTTTTCTCATCTTTTAATATGAACTTGGCCTTCAGGTCCCAGCTCCAGTATCCTAAGCCTTCCTTTACACCCTTCTAGATGGAGCTAATCACTGCTCCTTGGTTTTCCGTGACACTGGATTCTTAAGGATCCTTCTTAGAGCATCCAACTCACTATTGTGTTATTGTCCTCTGTGTTAGTCAGGGTTCTCCAGAGAAACAGAAACAAGATGTGTGTATACAGAAAGGTTTACTTGAAAGAATTGACTCATGTGACTGTGGAAACTTGGTGAGCTTAAAATCTGATGGGTAGGCTGGAGACCCAGGGAAGCAGGGAAGAGTTTCAATTTGAGTCCAAAGGCTGTCTGCTGGCAGAATTCCTTCTTATGTAGCGGAAGTCCGTCTTTGTTCTATTCAGGACTTCAACGGAGTGGATGAAGCCCACCCACATGGCTGTCTGCTTCACTCAGAGTCCACTGATTTAAATGTTAATCTTATCCCAAACACCATCGCAGGAATATCCAGAATAATGCTTCATCAAATATCTGGGTGCTGTGGTCCAGGCAAGTTGCCACATAAAATTAACCATCACATCCCCATTCCTGGGTCTGTCTTCACTGCTAGACTGTGGGGTCCTCTGGGCCAGGGACTGTCTTTTATCTTTCTTTCCAGCACTCAGAAAGAACATACAGCAGGTACTCAATACATTCATTTTGATTTGAAAAAAAACAAACAAAATAAACAAACACCCCAAATTGCTTTCAAAAAAGTATTCCTTTTATTCCTACTGCAATTCTCTGCATTCCCCTACTCTTTAATAAGAGGAAACAGAGGCTTAAGGAAATATACCCACGATCACAAACCAGATAAGTGGCAGAGTTCTAGGCTGTGTGCTTTTTGCACTATATAGCACAATGTCCTTTGATTTGATAAAAATGTCAGAGGAGGTGGTCCGGGGTCTGGGGTATTCTGAATCAATGTCTTACAGAAACTGTTATTCAAAATCTAGCCCAACTGTGCTCAGCAACAATGAGAATTTTATTAAGACCTATCATTTGCCTATTAAAATCAATCAGTTATTTTCTGAACAGCTGCTAAATGCCTGTCCTTGACTGGAGACAGGTGATTGATGTATTTCCCTATCCCTCTATTCCTCCATTTCTCAATTCCTCCATCTTCTCCTCCCTCTCTCTCTCCAGCCAATACTTACTGAACATCTACTATGCACCAGGCCCCGGGGGAGGTGCTGGGGCCACAGCGAAGGCTAAGACCTGGTCCTGTTCTCAAGATGCTCATAGTCAGGGTGGTGGTGGGGGGAAGCAGGTGTGTCATCCACTAGCCACAAGGGCTCAACTGCAGCACCCATCTCTAGAGGCAGGGAAGCCTGTGAGCATCATAATGGCTATGATCCCAGCAGGGACTTGGGATCCAGTAGGAATGCCTGTGGGCAGTGAGAATGACCTCTGGGATTCTCAGGCATGTCACAGGCAGGAGAAAGAGAATGAAGGAGATGTGCTATCCTTTGCCCTTTATTTGAGTCTGAGAAAGGCCACATATCTTTGCCAAGGGCAGCATTGCCCTCTGACAGCCTGATCTTTTTAGCATTTTTATCATCATCACCATCATCAATTATTATATGAATATTTATTATCAGATATTCAGAATCATTTGGTTGTAGCAGGCTATTTGGAGCTTCCCTTTCCTTCCATTTTTCTTCCCTTCTCAGCTCCTAACCCCAAAGCCACATGGAGACAGTTACCTAATTACTCTCAATTGAGTTCTCTTTTCAGTGTTTCTTTTTCATGGACAGCTCCACCTGCAAAGCCTGGTGGGTGGAAGGTAGCTTTCATCCACATCAGCCTTACAAGGACCTCTGAACCTTCTCACACACTCTTCTATGTGCTTGGCACACTCTTCCTTTTACATGGCTCTTCCTCATCCTTTTATGTCCTAACTCAGATGTCACCTCTTTGGAAAGACTATTCCTCTACCCCTCCCAATCGGCAGTAGCTCCTTTCCCATTTGCTTCTCACTGCCTCTTATTGTCTGGTTTATTTAATTGTGTAAGGCCTCCCCCACTAGAATACAAGCTCTGTGAGGGCAGTGACATTGTCTGTCTTCTTCAATGTGCTGAGAACAGTGCCTTGCATGTACAGAGTATTCCATTCAGTATTTATTGAATAACTGCAAGAATGGTCGAAGCCACATATCCTGTCACTGCATGGCTCAGCACCTCTGACCCCCTGTCCCTGCTAGAACAGCCTTATGACAAGTGACTCATTACTTCCCACTCCTCATTCAGGTGGTTCTGATTCAGGACCCTTCATGGACAGCAGAACTTTGAATAGAGGTTTTCCAGCCATGCTGAGCCATCCATCCTGAACTCTTTGGCACCTTCCTATGGGTTGGGTGGTGATGTACCCTTGCTGTCTCCTGCCCACATTCCCAACTAGACTATGAGCTTCTCAAGGCCTTGACATGCTATTTCATATCTCTGACAGCACTAGGTGTTCAGAAAATACCTGTAGGTTATCCAGTTGTGACTGTTTTAAAACCTGTAACTGTCCAGATTTGGATAGAGTCAAGCAGCTCTCTGATCATCCCCCATCTACAAGTGACAAACTCCTAATAGTATAGTGGAGTGAATAGGAATTTGATCTTGGGAGTCAGTCAGTTTGGATATAAGTTCCAGCTCTGCTACTGTGACTTCAGGGCAAGTAACTTAACCTATCTGAGACTCAATTTCCTCATCTGTAAAATGGGCATAATAATAGTGCCCATTTTCAAGAGCTCATGAATGGAGGAAGGTGTCCTGGACATGTCTGGAGAGCCAGAAGGGTGGGGAAGAATTACTTTCAAGCTGTTGCTGTATTACAAACGCTTATTGAATATGGTGGACTCTTAAGAGCAGGAAGAATCTTGCTGCTGGTGGGTGGCAGAGGATGGTGATGGGACAGGAACAATATGAATATGACAAAAATCACAATAAGGACTGTAGAGGGTTGCTCTGCCTCACAGGGTCATGCAGATTTGGGAGTCTCAATCACAGCCTTGGAACTCCAGGCAAAGGGTAGACTGTGCTAAGCTGCCTGCTCTGTTTAAAAGAGGTGACCTCTATAATAATCTTAGAAATGTTTCCACCAAGAATAATTAAAATAAAAACACATATGTAGACTCATACTCACATAAACTGGCATGTAAACTGAAACTTTTAAATCTACCAGATCGTGAAATCTTTGAGGGGCAAGATTGATGAAGGTTAATCATGGGATCCCTGTTGCCTGCAAGGCACCAGACACAGCCTAAGCACTTAGGAGATGTGCTTGGTTGAATAAATGAATCTGGAGGCTGGAGGTGGTGACTCACACCTCTAATACCAACACTTTGGGAGGCCAAGGCAGGAGGATCGCTTGTGGCCAGTCTGGGCAACATAGGGAGACCCCCATCTCTATAAAATAAAAAAATTAGCCGAGCATGGTGGCATATGCCTATAGTCCTAACTACTTCGGAGGCTAAGGCAGACGGATTGCTTGAGTCCAGGAGTTCAAGGCTGCAGTGAGCTATGATTGTGCCACTGTACACCAGCCTGGGAGACACAGTGAAAACTTGTCTCTGAAAAAATTAAAATAAATAGTATAAAACAAACGTGGAACTTGATTTTTGAGAAGTATGTAATTCTTATGCTCCTATCTTCTCATATTTGAGAAGTATGTGCTTCCTATATAATTCCTATAGTAGCAGTTACTCATGGTGGGAGGATTCAACTTGGTAGAAGGATTATCTGAGGCATGGGCCAGGTAGCAGATGGGCTGGGTGTCAGAGCAGGGTGCATAACTAGAAGTGTGCTTTTACTCAAACACAGAGGCTAGGGGGAAGCAAGGTGGTTGGGAGAAGCTGCTTTAGAAATCTGGAATTGGGAAAGACCTGCAGAAATCAGTGGTACCAGCTCTTCCTCCTAGCACATGGAAATCTAACACTGATAAATTATTTATTTATTTATTTATTTTTTGAGACAAAGTCTTGCTCTGTCACCAGGCTGGAGTGCAGTGGTGTGATCTTGGCTCACTTGCAACCTCTGCCTCCCTTGTTTAAGCGATTCTCCTGCCTCAGCCTGCCTAGTAGCTGGGACTAGAGGCACATGTCAGCACACCCAGTTAATTTTTTATTTTTAGTAGAGATGGGGTTTCACCATGTTGGCCAGGATGTTCTCGATCTCTTGACCTCATGATCTGCCTCCCAAAATGCTGGTATTACAGGCTTGAGTCACCACACCCAGCCATTTTTTAAAAAAAAATTTTATTTTTATTTATTATGGATGTATATTAGTAGTATATATTTAAGGGGGTATGTGTGATTCTTGATACAAACATATAATGTATAATAAATCATAACAATTGGGATATTCATCATCTCAAGCATTTTTTTTGTGTTAGGAATATCCCAATTCCGCTCTTTTAGTTATTTTGAAATTTACAGTAAGTTATTGTTTACTATAACCCTCCTATTGTGCTACAGAACACTGTTCTAACTGTATTTTTGTTGAAGAGGACACTATAAAATTGAAAGATATTCCATGTTCATGGATTGAAGAATCAGTATTGTTAAAATGTCCATACTACCTAAGGTGATCTATAGATTTCCCAGTTCTTTTTAAAGATCTCCAAGGATAGGGGGCCACCATTTTTTCACTGGTGACTCTTATGACTGACCACTGTCTCTCTTGACGTATTGGGAGCAAACATCTCATTTTTGGGCCCCTAGGAAAATGTAAAGGAGAGCTCAGCATCCTCGAATGCTTCATTGACCTCATTTACTGCAATATCTTTAAAGTATTTTGACCACAGCTGACTAAGACACCCAATGTAGGCCTTACAAATGAGAAGGTTCAACAGGACAGGCAAATCACAGTATTCTGAAAGCTCCATCACCAACTATTAATATTCTGACCCAGCTGGGGTTGTCAGCTCTAGGTGGCTCGGGTGAAATAACCAAATGTTCCAAGGGTCAGTGGAATGTGGCCACGATGTGCTCAACACAGCCAGCCACACTGAGTTTGGAAGGTGAGCTTTTATTTTGATATTTGGGAGGCCACAAGGTAGCTAGGGATTAGGAAAAGGGCTCTAGCACTGGGTATGCAGTATGAATAGTAAGGTCCTCTGGGAAAACTAGGTGAGTGATTGGATTAAACTCAGAATAGTGATTAAAGGAGGGCTCTAATACAAATAGCAATAATTGCAAATGGTCATTAAGTTTTAATGACAAAAATAGCTTTTTGAAAAAAGCACTTGTAATATGCAAGGTATTCTGCTAAGCCCTTTACACATATTATGTCGGTTAATATTCTCACCAAACTATGAGTTGATTATGCCTGTTTTACAGATAAGGAAACTGAGGTATATAGCAGTTTAATAACTTGCCAGGCCCTGTGTTAAAGACTTACTACTAGTGGTTATTAACTCTCAGTGATTTTGTCTCCCAGGGGAGATATGACATTTTTGTTTCTCACAAAAATGCAGACATTTTTGGTTCTCACATGGCATGTGGAGGGTGTTCTATTGACATCTAATAGGTGGAGGCCCAGAATTCTGCTAAATATTCTACAGTGGATAGGACAGTCTGCTACCTGTGACCCCAACAAAAAATAAGCTCAAAATGTCAATAATGCCCGGTTTGAGAAATCTTGCTTTATACGAGTTGTCAAATTTAATTCATTTTTAAAAATTAATTTTAATTTTAATTTTAAGTTTCTGGGTATATGTGCAGGATGTGCAGGTTTGCTACATAGGTAAATGTGTGCTATGGTGGTTTGCTGCACCTATCTACCCATCACCTAGGTATTAAGCCCAGCATGCATTAGCTATTTTTCCTAATGCTCTCCCTCCCCTCACTTCACCCCCCAACAGGCCCCAGTGTGTGTTATTCCCCTCCCCGTGACCATGTGTTCTCATTGTTCAGCTCCCACTTATAAATGAGAACATGTGGTGTTTGGTTTTTTGTTCCTGTGTTAGTTTGCTGAGGATAATGGCTTCCAGCTTCATCCATGTCCCTGGAAAGGACATGATCTCCTTCCTTTCTATGGCTGCATAGTATTCCATAGTGTATATGTACCACATTTTCTTTATCTAGTCTATAATTGATGGGCATTTGGGTTGATTCCATGTCTTTGCTATTATGAATAGTGCTGCAATGAATATATGTGTGCATGTATCTTTGTAATAGAATGATTTACATTCATTTGGGTATATACCCAGTAATGGGATAGTTAGGTCAAATATATATAATTTAATTCTTACAACAACCTTGATGAGTACATTGAGGTTCACAGAGGTGAAGTCACCTACCCAAGGCCACACAGCTAGTGGCAGGGCTGTGGTTTGAAGCTATGTACATCTAATTCCCAAGCCAGTGCTTATACCTACTCAGATGGATGCCTCCAAATAAATTGGTACCCAATTTCAGGGATGGAGGAGACTTGGGCTTGGGAGATTGGATGCTGAAGCACTGTTATGAAGTTGTGGACGTTACCAGGGGTCAGCCACAATTTCGGGCATATCATGGGAGAACAATGGTGAGCTTGGGGAATTGTGTTTTTGTTTGACATCAATTGGAGGGCATGTCAGCACTAAGCATGTTCTGATGGGAGAAGGACATCACATAATGAACTTGGAATGTATGTTGGCTGCACATTTTTTCAATCATTAATTCAGCATTTTTTGGGCACCAACTCTGTGCTTGGTGCTGTGATATAATGGGCAAAGGAGCCAGGCCAACTTCCTGCCCCTATGGAACATGCATTCAAGTGGAGGAGATGGACAATATGTCAACCAACAAATACAGAATAAATATACATCATGATTATCACCTTGAAGAACATAAGTAGGGTGTTGTAATATGGGTAATGGGTTAGTGGATATTTTATATAGGGAGTCAGGAAGGTCTTCCTGAGGTGGGACCATATAAGCCATGTGAAGGCTGGGAAGAAGCCAGGAAAAACAATGTCAGGCAGCAGGAACAGCAAGGACAGAGATGTCTGGTAGGAATAGACCCAATGTGTTCTAGCAATAGACAGAAGGATAATATACAGGGCTATTCAAAGTACCAGTCTATGAGAAGGTAAGGAGCTTGCACCAGAGTGTACATTAATGCACTGCTTCCTTCATTGAGAAAGTCTAATGTCTTAGTCCATTTGTGTTGCTATAAAGGCATGTTTACTTGCCCCATAGTTCTTCAGGCTGTACAACAAGTATGGCACAAACATCTACTTCTGGTGAGGGCTTCAGGCTGCTTCCAATCATGGCAGAAGGGGAAGCGGAGGAGCTGGTGTGGGCAGGTATCATACGGTGAGGGAGGGGGTAAGGTGGATGGAGGGAGGTGCCAATTTCTTTTAAACAACCAGCTCTTGAGGGAGCTCTCATGGAAACTAGGGCAGCACAAAGTCGTTCATGAGGGATCTGCCCCCATGACCCAAACACCTCCCATTAGGCCCCACCTCCAACACTGGGGATCATATTTCAGCATTAGATTTGGAGGGGTCAAACAAACCATATCCAAACTTACAACACGTGACTATGAAAAAATGTCAGTGGAACTAAGCAGTGTGCTTAGTGATGTAGTTAATTGACATTCTTGCCCAAGTGCCTTGTCTCACCATAAACTGGTTTTTTGTGCATGGTAGGTGGTCCAGGGCCACCCATTGAGTAATACTGAAGGGGCAGGGGCTGTTGGTGTTCTACTCATAACTCCCCAGTCTATATGGGTAGTCAGGGTTTACTGTGTCTTTCTGTCTCAGAGTGTTCTCCAGCCCCAGGTGAGTGCTCTGCCAGAGCTCTGGGAAGCTGTGTCCCCAGAATGACCCTCAACAATGTGGTCTGGGACAAGGTGGATAAACTCCCCAGCTTCCCCACCTTGTGCTGGCACAGCTCTCAGGCATGTCCACATAAAGGCTCCCCAGCAGAACTAAGCCCCAGTTGTCTACAGAGGTAACCCACTCATTAATGCGCCCTGCCTCAGCTTTCCTCTGTTCTCTATTGCACTTTCCCTACTCTCTCATGATGCTTTCTGGGATCACCTCCCAAATTATCTACTTGAAACCCATTCCTTGTCTCCAGGTTTGCTTCTGGGTGAACCACACTAGAGAGTATGGCTGGAATGTAACAGAGGGCACCTGGTGTTGTGGACGTCAGAGACCTGCGCTGGGCCAGGTCATGCAGACCCTACAGACTATGAGAAGAAACTTGGACTTGATTCGAAGCGTGTGGGAGCCACTGAAGGGTTTTAAGCGGGTGGGGGGAGGGGGAAAGGGGGATACTACATAATCCAATTTATAATTTAAAACGCTCTTCTGGTTTCAATTCGTAGAAAAGGTTGAACAGGAGCAAAAGTAGAAGCAGGCAATAAGTTGGAAAGTTTTTTGAAGCAGCCCAGGGCAGGGCTGATGGAAGCTAGGGGTGAAGAAATGGAGGTGCCTGCAAAGATCTTAGATATATTTTGGGGGACAAACCAATAGGACTTGCTGGTAGATGGATGGTTGGGGACAGTGAGAGGGAGGGGTCAAAGATGATGCCTTGATTTCTGGACCTCTGGTGGGGATTAAAGGAGCCAGGAGGTATTCTGGCATGAAAGGCATTCACAAAGTGAATAATTAGGGAGAGTGTCTCTGCTTTGATAGCTCCCCCAAATTTAACTAAGCCACACTGGCTTATTTATGCAGTGAGTAAGTATGAACAGTATGTATCTGAGTAGAGTCTCTGAGATAATCTCTGTAAAATCACCACCACAGGCCACAAAGAGAAGCTGTTCCCTTTACTTCACCAAACATAGGGGCATTAAACTTAACAGGCTAAAAAATGAAGTGTAAGACCAGCCCAGTGACCGTGACAGCTGCTGACAAGCTCACACAAAGGGGATGCCCTCAAAGTGAAATGAGGGACACTGAAGACACAGGATAGAGACCTGGGACCAAGGCCCTGAGCTACAATAGCTAGGAGCTTCTAAACCACCATCCTCAAACCATAGAAGGAAAGTGTGCATTTCCCAAGATCTGGCTGCAAAGGGAGAAAGTGAGTAAGAGACCTTGGGCCATGTTTTATTCAGAGTGTGACTTTTTCCAGACAGGGTATCTGGAACAAAACACAAACCAATAATACTGATGTTTTAACAAACAGACCAAGACCACTTAAACACACCAAATGATGGTTTCTGTAGGAAGCAATCTCCTTGGATAACCTAGAGTTACGGGTTTTCACAGAGAAATGTCCAAAGTTAGCATGGGCTGCCTTAAATTGCAGTGAGCATCTCACCAGTGGATGGGATGGGTACTTGGTAGCATTGCAAGCGGGGATATTGATGGGAATGGTCTGATTCCAGTACTGAAATTCAGCTGTTTTAGCATTTCCAGTTGATGATACAGGGCAAGCAGCTTCCATGCAAGCTATGGCATTTGGGTTTAACCACAATTCTGATATCTGGATTTATTTATTTATTTAGAGAAGGAGTTTTGCTCTTGTTGCCCAGGCTGGAGTGCAGTGGCGTGATCTCTACTCACCGCAACCTCTGCCTCCCGGGTTCAAGCGATTCTCCTGCCTCAGCCTTCCGAGTAGCTGAGACTACAGGTGCCTGCCACCGTGCCCGGCGAATTTTTTTGTATTTTTAGTTGAGACGGGGTTTTTCCATGTTGGCTAGGCTGGTCTCGAACTCCTGACTTCAGGGGATCGACCTGTTTCAGCCTCCCAAAGTGCTGGGATTACAAGCTTGAGCCACTGCGCCCGGCCTGATATCTGACTTTATATTTTGCTTTGTTTACCACTCTCTTTCTCTCTTTGTTTGTTCTCACCAAAAACAAATTCTGTTTTAATCAAAAAGCCTGACCGCCAATGAGCGCTGTCTAAAGCAGTGCATAGAGGGTGAGCATATGCTTTAGACTTAGATCAATAGGGTTCAAATCTCGGCTCTGCCCCTTACTAGCTGTGTGGTCTTGGGCAAATTAGGTAGGTACTGTGTATTTGAGCTTCTAATCGTAAGTGGGGGTAATACCTGATAGCACTGCATGAAGACTAACTGTATCAATGCAGGTAAAGCATCAGGGCAGCACCTGGTTCATTGTCAAGTCTCCGTAAGTGTTGGTGGTAGTGAGGTTTGTGTCTGGGGTCTGAAAGTGCATCTTGAGGAATGTTTCAATACGATCTGAGCCAGGGCAGTGTCTCCACCTGGAAGGGTCTGCATCCTTAGCTGGGGGAGGGGTCTCATCAGATGAACTGTTAGATGGTGCCTTTGATTGCCTGTGGCCCCACAGCTCAGTGACTACACAGTAATTGCCACCAATACCATGCTGACCTTCCTGCCCAGACACTTCAGGAACCTTGGGAAAAGGGTAGGGAGGGCTTTGAAAGGTACTTTGTTTTTAAATTTTAAAAATAATTTTAGCTTTTATTTTAGAATCAGGTGGTACATGTGCAGGTTTCTTACATGGCATATTACATGATGCTGAGGTTTGGGGTATGACTGATCCCATTATCCAGTTACTGAGCATAGTACTCAACAGTTAGATTTTCAACACTTGCTCTCCTCCCTCTTCCCCCATCTGATGGTCCCAATGTGTCTGTTGTTCCCAATTTTATGTCCATGTGTACTCAGTGTTTAGCTACCACTTACAAGTGAGACTATGTGGTATTTGGTTTCTATTCCTGCATTAATTTGCTTAAGATAATGGCCTCCAGCTGCATCCATGTTGCTGCAAAGGACATGATTTTGTTCTTTTTTTAATGGCTACGTAGTATTCCATGGTGTATATGTACTACATTTTCTTTATCCATTCCACTGTTGATGGGCACCTAGGTTGAGTCCATGTCTTTGCTAATGTGAATAGCGCTGTGATGAACATAGGAATACATGTGTCTTTCTCATAGAATGATCTATTTTCCTTTAGGTATATACCCAGTAATGGGTTTGCTGGATTGAATGGTACCTCTGTTTTAAGTTCTTTGAGAAATCTTCAAACTGCTTTCTACAGTGGCTGAACTAATTTACATTCCCACCAACAGTGTATTAGTGTTCCTTTTTCTCTGCAACCTCACCAGCATCTGTTATTTACTGATTTTTTAATGATAGCCATTCTGACTGGTGTCAGATGGTATCTCATTGTGGTTTTAATTTGCATTTCTGTGATGATTAGTGATGATGAGCACTTTTTCATATATTTGTTGGCTACTTGTATGTCTTCATTTGAGCAGTGTCTGTTGATGTCTTTTGCCCACTTTTTAACAGGGTTATTTGTTTTTTACTTGTTGAGTTGTTTAAGTTCCTTATAAATTCTGGATATTAGACCTTTGCTGAATGCACAGTTTGCGAATATTTTCTCCCATCCTGTAGGTTATCTGTTTACTGTATTGATAATTTCTTCCACTGTGCAGAAGCTCGTTAGTTTAATTAGGTCCCACATGTTAATTTCTGTTTTTGTTGCAATTGCTTTTGAGGACTTAGTCATAAATTCTTTTCCAAGGCAGATGTTCAGAATGGTGTTTCCTAGGCTTTCTTCCAGGATTATTACAGTTTGAGGTCTTACACTTAACTATTTAAACCGCCTTGAGTTAATTTTTGTATATGGTGAATGGTAGGGGTCCAGTTTCATTCTTCTGCATATAGCTAGCCAGCTATGTCAGCACTATTTATTGAGTAGAGAGTCCTTTCCCCATTGATAATTTTTGTCAACTTTGTCAAAGATCAAATGGCTGTAGATGTGTGGCTTTATTTCTGAGTTCTCTATTCTGTTCCATTGGTTTATATGTCTGTTTTTGTACCAGTACCATGCTGTTTTGGTTACTGTAGCCTTATAGTATACTTTGAAGTTGAGTTACACGATGTCTCTGGATTTATTTAGGATTTTGCTTTGGCTATTCAGGCTGTTTTTTGGTTCCATATGAGTTTTAGAATAGTTGTTTCCAATTCTCTGAAAAATGACATTGGTAGTTTGATAGGAATAGCATTGAATCTGTAGATTGTTTTGGGCAGTATGGACATTTTCGTGATATTGATTCTTCCAATCCATGAGCATGGAATGTTTTTCCATTTGTTTGTGTCATCTCTGATTTCTTTTAGCAGTGTTTCTTAGTTCTCCTCAGAGAGCTCTTCCGCCTCCTTGTTAGATACAGTCCTAGGTATTTTTTTAGTGCGTGTGTCTATTGTAAATGGTATTATGTTCTTTATTTGACTCCCAGCTTTAATGTTATTGGTGTATAGAAATGCTACTAATGTTTGTACGTTGATTTTGTACCCCAAAACTTTACTGAAGTCTTTTATCAGTTCCAGGATTTTTTTGCAGAGTCTTTAGGGTTTTCTGGATATAGAATCATATAATCAGTGAAGAGAGATAGTTTGACTTCTTTTCTGATTTGAATGCCTTTTGTTTCTTTCTTTTGCCTTATTGGTCTGGCTAGAACTTCCTGAAAGGTACTTTAAATATTGCTCTCTATCACTTTACAAGTAACATTTCTGTTTTTTTCAGATTGTTACAAAAGGAATCTTTCTTCTTTCTTTCTTTCTTTTTCTTTCTCTCTCTCCCTCCCTTCCTCCCTCCCTCCCCCTTCTTTCTCTCTCTCTTTCTTCCCTTCCTTCCTTCCTTCCTTCCTTCCTTCCTTCCTTCCTTCCTTCCTTCCTTCCTTTCTTTCTTTCTTTCTTTCTTTCTTTCTTTCTTTCTTTCTTTCTTTCTTTCTTTCTTTCTTTTTTCTTTCCCTTCTTTCCTCCCTCCACCTTCTTTCCTTGCTTCCTTCCTTCCTTCTTTCCTCCCTCCCTCCCTTCCTTCCTTCCTCCCTTCCTTTTGAGACAAGGTCTCACTCTTTCACCCAGGCTGGATTGCATTGGCATGATCATAGCTCATTGCAGCCTCGAACTCCTGTGCTCAAGTAATCCTCCTGCCTTGGCATCCCAAAGTACTGGGATTACAGGCATGAAGGAATGTGTTTTCTTTATGGCAAAATTGGAAAATCTAGAAAAGCACAAAAAGTAAAATAAAAACCACCTCTATCCTGTCACCTAGAGATAACCACATGTAGCAAGCATGTAATTCCAGCACTGTTTTTATGGGATCATTAATAGCTATATTTATTTAGTGTTAGCTATGTGTTTTATTAACATATGTGTTTCCTATTTTGGTCTCATTTATTCTCATGACTGTGAAGTAGGCATCTTTTTTTTCATTTTACAGATAAACAGGCTCAGAGAAATGTGACTTGCTTAAGGTCACTGTTCATTCTGTTGTATAAAATACTTTTTCCTTTTAATAATATTAGGTTTTCCTCCACAATTCAACATATTTCTACAACATTATTAAGGTTTTTAAAAGTTTAATTTTGTAAGTAGGTTATAATAGGTTCATGAGGTTAAAAATATATGAACAGGTTGGTGGGAATGTAAATTAGTTCAACCATTGTGGAAGACAGTGTGGCGATTCCTCAAAGACCTAGAACCAGAAATACCATTTGACACAGCAATCCCATTACTGGGTATATACCCAAAGGAATATAAATCATTTTATTATAAAGATACATGCACATGTATGTTCACTGCAGTACTATTCACAATAGCAAAGACATGGAATAAACCCAAATGCCCATCAATGATAGACTGGATAAAGAAAATGTGGTACATACACACTGTGGAATACTATGTGGCTGTAGAAAGGAAGAAGATCATGTCCTTTGCAGGGACATGGATGGAGCTTGAAGCCATTATCGTCAGCAAACTAATTCAGGAACAGAAAACCAAACACCACATGTTCTCACTTATAAGTGGGAGCTGAACGACAAGAACACATGGACACAGGGAGGGGAACAACACACCCTGGGGCTTGTTGGAGGGTGTCGGGGGAGGGAGAGCATCAGGATAAATAGCTAATGCATGTGGTGCTTAATACTTAGGTGATGGGTTGGTAGGTGCAGCAAACCACCATGACACACGTTTACCTATGTAACAGACCTGCACGTCCTGCACATGTATCCCAGAACTTAAAATAAAATTATATATATATGGGTTTATAGTAAAGAGTTTCCTTTCACTTTTGTGCCCCATCTAACAAGTTCTCCTACCAATAACTTGTTCTTTTGTTCTTTCTTGAGTCTGTTTTCAGAATCTCATGATTATATAAAGAAATAAACATATGTGTTTTTATTTTTCTGCAAAATATTACATGCTATAAACACTGCTCCTCACCTTGTTTTTTCACTTAACAAAGTATCTGGGAGAATTTTCTATATGAAATATATGGAGAATTTTCTCATTTCTTCGTACCACTCTACAGCAGTCTATTATATGAATATACTGCCATTTATTTAACCAGTTCAGTATTGATGGACATTTGAATATTTTCCTCCATATTTTGCCCTTTGAATAACGCTGTGATGCATAACATTGCAAATGAGCCATTTCATATTTTTAAAAGGCTCCATGATACTCCTGTTGAGTTACGTGCTGCAATTTATTTAACCAATCCACTAAGGGTGGATATTTAGGTTATTTCTGGGCTTCCCTTATGATAAATAGTGCTGCTGTGAACATTCTTGCCCATAAGCCCTTGTGCTCATTTTTTATCTTTCTTTAAGGGAAATGTTATGAGCATCATTAAGACTTTCAATACATACTGCACACCTGCCTCCTGGAAAAGCAGTGACAATTGCTGGTGGCCGGGTCTGAGAAGGCTGATGTCTGGTAAAAGTACCCCAAAAGGACATTCTTGGGAGATGGCAGCTGGGGGTGTGTGAGAGAAATGAGGAAGTGTAGCTCAAGCCACAGGTCAGGAGCAGCCAGAGCTGGAAAGCCCTTCAGACATCTTTACCAAGAAAGTAACTATGCTCAGTTTGAGGAAAAGCCTTGCCTGAGTTCATATGGGCTGGAGCTGGGACTGAGTCTTGGAACTTCTGAGTCACTGCTCAGGCCATAGCTCAGTGATTAGGGGCATGAGCTCTGACCTCAGACTACCTGGTTTTGAATTCTCTTAAATCTTTGCTAGCTTCATGCTTTGGCACAGGGTACCATACCTCTTTCAGGCTCTCTTTGTTAGCTTCGTGCTTTGGCACATGATACCATACTTCTTTCAGGCTCAGGTTCCTCATCTGTAAAACAGGACACACTCCATTTAACTGTTGTAAGGAATTAAAGTAGATAATCTGGTATAGCACAGTGGCCAGCACATATTTATTGTTTTTTATGTTATTAAATGTATCTGCCATCATTATCATTATCAATCTATTCCTGGTGTCTCTGAGTTAATCCAAATAAAAATGAGCAGCATGGGAGATACTTTCTAGGTGCCAAGTAAGACTCAGGCTGCTGATTGATAAATACACTTTGATGGCTGTAGGGATGTCCTAATATCTCCATAGGTCTAAGCACTTATTCTGCTATAGGCCTCTTCTCCAAGCCTTGAAGTTCTGGAGGCAGAGGTCTTGGGGCGAGCAGGCAGAAAGATAGTTTCCATCCATTTCTTTTTTTATTGATACAAATATTTGTACACATTTATGGAATGCATATGATAGTATATTATATTTTGTTACACAGACAATGTAGTGATCAAGTCAGGGTATTTGGGGTGTCCATCACCTCGAGTATTTATCATCTCTATGTGATGGAAACATTTCAAGCCCTTTCTTCTAGTTATATTGAAATATATGATATATTGTTGTTAGCTATAGTCACCTTACTCTGCTATCGAACGTTAGAACTTACTCCTTCCATTTAACATCTAACTGTATGTTTGTATCCATTTGCCAACTTCTCTTTATCCCTCCCCCTAATGCCTTTCCCAATCTCCCCATTTCTTCTTTGCTTATCTCCTAGAAGGTTGGACCACTCTGACTGATTAGAGGTACACTTCACTTTGTGAAACCCCAATGGTCCCCTGATAGTGCAGGGCTTTCTGGCTGCTAGTGTAGCCTGGTCCCCTGATAGTGCAGGGCTTTCTGGCTGCTAGTGTAGCCTGGTCCGCTAATCATTCATTAATTCAGCAAATATGTATTAATATTAAGGGTCCACTATGTATAAGGTAGTAAGGATTCAATGTTGAACAAACATTTGATGCTTGCTTAAACAAAGCTTAGTATATAGTGGGGGTGTATCAGTCAATAACAAAGAACTCCAACATTTTAGTAGCATGCAGCAATAAGCATTGATTTTGCTTATGCCTCTGTGGTTGGCTAGGGTATGACTGATCTAGCTGGGCTCAGTGGGGCATTCTAAGTTGCAGGGTGAGTCTGGGCCTGATCCACACAACTTTTGTCCTCCTTGTGCCAGAGGACTAGCTGGGAATGTACTTCTCATGGTGATGGCAGAAGCACAACAGGCCTCTTAAGTTCTAGATTCAGAAGTGGCACATCATCACTTCCACCTGCATTCCATCAGCTAAAGCAACTCATATGGCGGAGATCAAGGTTACGGGGTGGAGATTGCAAAACCACATGGCAAAAGGTGCAGGCACAGGGAAGGATAAAGAACTGGGGACGGTTTTTCAGTCTGTCACAGAGGAACACAGACATTAATCCAATCATCCCACAAAAATGTAATTATAAACTGCGACTCATTCTGTGAAGAAAAGTTCCTGAGTATGATAGACAGAACTGACCTGGTTAGAGGCACTAGGGACAAGTCTCCTGAAGAAATGATGTTTAGGATGAGAGTTGAGGATGACAGGGAAAGACATCCAGGAAGAGGAAACAGCACATGCAAAGTTCCCAGGTCAGGTGGAAGCCCATGTTCTGAGCAAGGGAGAGGGAGTGACATGAAGTTAGAGAAGTGGGCAGAGATGATATTATCAAAACTCTTGTATTAGTCTGTTTTTGCACTTCTATAAAGAAATACCTGAAACTGGATAATTTATAAAGAAAAGAGGTTTAATTCGCTCACAGTTCTGCAGGCTGTACAGGAAGCATGGCTGGAGAGGCCTCAGAAAACTTACAATCAAGGTGGAAGGCAAAGGGGAAACCAGTATGTCTTACACGGCCAGAGCAGGAGGAAGAGAGAGAAGAGGGGAGGTGCCACACACTTTTAAACAACCAGATCTCATGAGCACTCACTCACTATCATGAGAACAGCACAGAGAAATAAATCTGCTCCCATGACCCGATCACCAGGCCTACCTCCAAATGGGGATTATATTTCAACATGAGGTTTGGGCAGGGACATAAATCCAAACCATATCATCCCTGAAAGCTCTGCCAAGGATTTTGATCTTGGTCCTAAGAGCAGCTCATGTCTTGGAAATGAAGAGCACTGCTTATTGTCTGTTCCTTTGCTATGCCCACCCTTCTCCTTGCACAGTCCTGTTCATCCCTCAGGGTGCATCAGGAATATCACCTTGAGAAGCATTTTAGTTTCTCTGGTGTTATGGACTGAGTGTTTATGTTCTCCCCACCAAATTCACATGTTGAAATCCTAATGCCTAATGCGATGGTATCAGGAGGCAGGGCCTTCAAGACACAATTAGGTTTTGAGGGTGGAGACCTCATGAATGGGAATAATGTCCTTATAAAAAGGGCTCCAAAGAGCTCTCTTATGCCCTCTTTTCACTGTGTGAGGGTAAAACAAGAAGTCATCAGTCATCAGTCATCAGCTAAAGAAAGCCCTCATCCCTATCTGACCTTACTGGCACCTTGATCTTGGACTTCCAACCACCAGAATTGTGATAAATAAATTTCTGTTATTTATAATCCACCTAGTCTGTCACAGCCATACCTCATTTTATTGCATGTCGCTTTATTGCACTTCACAGATTATTGCACTTCCTACAAATTGAAGGTTTGTGGCAACCCTTGTGAGCATCAAGCAAGTCTACCAGCCCCATTTTCCCAATAGCATGTGCTTACTTTTTGTCTCTGTGCAAAATTTTGGTAATTCTTGCAATATTTCAAAAGTTTTCATTATATATATATAATATATAATGTATATATAATGATCTATAATAAGTGATCTTTGATAAAACTATTGTAATTGGTTTTGGGCACTGTGAACCCCACCCATATAGAAGGCAAACTTAATCAATAAAAGTTGTGTGTGTTCTGACTCCCATCAACCAGCCATTCTCTGGTCTCTCTCCTCCTCCTTAGCTCTTCCTATTTCCTGAGACAAAACAATATTGAAATTAGGCCGATTAATAACCTTACAACGGCCTCTAAGTGTTCAAATGAAAAAAAGAGTTGCATATCTGTCACTTTAAAGCAAAAGCTAGCAATGATTAAGCTTAGAAGGCATGTCAAAAGCCAAGACAGGCCAGAAGCTAGGCCTCTTGAGCCAAACAGTTAGCCAAGTTGTGAATGCAAAAGCAAGGTTCTTGAAGGAAATTAAAAGTTCTACTCCACTGAGCACATGAATGATAAGAAAGTGAAACAGACTTATTGCTGATTTGAAGAAAGTTTTAGTGGTCTGGATAGCATATCAAACAGCCACAACATTCCTTTAAGCCAAAGCCTAATCCAGAGCAAGGCTCTAACTCTCTTCAGCTCTTACAAGACTGAGAGAGATGAGGAGGCTACAGAAGAAAAGTTTGAAGCTAGCAGAAGTTAGTTCTTTAGGTTTGAGGAAAGAAGCCATCTCCATAACACAAAAGTGCAAGATGAAGCAGCAAGTGCTGATGGAGAAGCTGCAGCAAGTTACCCAGAAGCTCTAACTAAGATCATTGATGAAGGTTGCCACACTAAACAACAGGTTTTCAATGTAGATGAAACAGCCTTCTATTGGAAGAAGATGCCATATAGCTAAAGAGGAGAAGTCAATGCCTGGCTTCAAAGCTTCAAAGGACAGGCTGACTTTCTTGTTAGGGGCTAATGCAGCTGGTAACTTTAAGTTGAAGCCAAAGCTCATTTATCATTAAAAAAATCCTAGGCCTCTTAAGAATTAATACTAAATCTACTCTGCCTTTGCTGTACACATGGAACAACAAAACCTGGATGACAGCACATCTGTTTACAGCCAGGTTTACTGAATATTTTAAGCCCACTGTTGAGATCTACTGCTAAAAACATTCCTTTCAAATTATTTCTGCTCATTGACAGTGCACTTGGTCACCCAAAAGCTCTGGTAGAGATGCACAAAGAGATTAATGTTGTTTTCATGCCTGCTAACATAGCATCTACTTTGTAGCCCAGGGACCAAAGACTTCCAAGCCTTATTATTTAAGAAATACATTTTATAAGACTATTGTTGTCGTAGATAGTGATTCCTCTGATGTGTCTGGGAAAAGTCAATTGAAAACCTTCTGGAAAAGATTCTTTTTTTTTTAGACAGAGTCTTGCTCTGTCACCCAGGCTAGAGTGCAGTGGTGCCATCCTGGCTTACTGCAGCCTCCGCCTCCCAGGTTCAAGCAATTCTCCAACCTCAGCCTCCTGAGTAGCTGGAATTACAGGTGTGCACAACCACACCTGGCTAATTTTTGTATTTTTAGTAGAGACGGGGTTTCACCATGTTGGCCAGGCTGGTCTCAAACTCCCAACCTCAAGTGATCCACCTTCCTCGGCCTCCCAAAGTGCTGGGATTACAGGCATGAGCCACCACACCCAGCCAGGATTCGTCATTCTAAATGTCATTAAGAACACTTGTGATTCATTGGAGAAAGTCAAATATCAACTTTAGGAGGAGCTTAGAAAAAGTTGTTTTCATCTCACATTGATAATTTTTGAGGGGTTCAAGACTTCAGTGGAGGAAGTCACTACAGATGTGGCGAAAATAAAAAGAGAACTAGAGTTGGAAGTGGAGCCTGAAGATGTGACTGAATTGCTACAGTCTCACAATAAAACTTTAGAGGATAAAATGTTGCTTCTTATGGATGACCAAAGAAAGTGGTTTCTTGAAATGGAATCCACTCCTGGTGAGGATACTGTCAACGTTGTTGAGATGACAACAAAGCATTTAGAATGTTCCATAAACTTAGTAGATAAAGCAGCTGGCAGGATTTGAGAGGACTGACTCAGATTTTGAAAGAAGTTCTGCTGTGGGTAAAATGCTGTCAAGCAGCATCGCATGCTACAGAGAAATCTTTCATGAAAGGAAGAGTCAATTTATGTGACAAACATCATTGTTATCTTATTTAGAAAAATTGCCACAGTCATCTCAACCTGCAGCAACCACCACCCAAATCAATCAGCAGCCATCAACATTGAGGCAAGACCCTCCACCAGCAAAAGGATTACTACTCACTGAAGGCTGACATGATTGTTAGCAATTTTTAGCAATAAAGCATTTTAAAATTAAGGTGTGTACATTTTTTTAGGCATAATGTAATTGCACTCTTAATAGACTATAGTATAGTGTAAACATAACTTTTATATGCACTGGGAATCCAAAGAGTCTCGTGTGACTTGCTCTATTGCAATATTTGCTTTATTGCAGTGGCCTGGAAATGAACCCACAATATCTCTGAGGTATGCCTGTACTTTGTTGTAGCCCAAACTGTCTAAAATACCTGAGCTGCTAGTTGCTGTCTCTCTGCCTCTCCCTGTGCTGGGTAAAAATGTCTTCTGTGACCATGCTGGGCTTTCATTTCAGTGGGCTGTCTTCACTGCAGGGCTGTGTGCTTATGGAAGGCTGAGATTATTCTGTATTATTCTCTGCCCCTCCTGTGCTTGGCAACAGACATTGGCCCAGATCAGTTGCCCAGGAAATGGTTATTATTTTGAAAACTAAATAGGATAATGAATGCAGGAGTGCTTTGTAAAATATGAAGCATCACCACGTTATTACCATCCATGTCATCTAAATGCTGCTGTTGCTATCTTCCCTGGTGGGAGGAGTGCTTTCAGTTATAAGAGGGGATCTGGCATGGTGGGCGACAGAGAGTAGCAAACTCAAACCCTCCCAGGGGCCAGGGAGGTAAAACAAATGAATAAAGCAGGGCTCGTGTAAAACAGTAAGGAGTGGTGGGGATTGGGGCAAACTGTAATAAAGAGCCTATATTCAGCTGCAGCCAATTATGTCTAGGCAGAATTGTGGGCTCTAAGCTAACAGATCTTCTGATTATTTTCAAGAGAAGCTAAAAATCCAGATTGTATTTGGTGCAATAGACATTCTTACATATTGGCATTTAATTAAACTTAAAAAAACAACCACCACCACCCACTATGTAGGTCAAATGACACAGAGCCAGTGGCCCTTTAGGCCTATGGTCTTGAGTTTATGATCTTTGGAGTTAACAGAATGTGTCTTGTAGCCAGATAAAAGCAGGTCTAAATCCCAGCTTATTTTCTTACCTGCTTTGTTACATCAGGAGGATAATCTGAACTCTCTGATCTTCAGTTTCCTGTTTTCCAAGATGAAGACAATAATAGAATATACTGCACAGGGTTGTAGTGTAATGTATTTAGTATAGGACCTGATATACCATAAGCACTCCATAAGGATCCACAGTAATCACTCAATAATGATGTACAGTAAGCACTCAATAAGCACTCAGAATATCACTGTTGCTGCTGATTATTGTAATTATTACCTCCCACCAGGCAGCTTGGAACATGGGTTTGTGGCCAGGAGCAATCCTGTGGAGCTGGGGGAGAGAAGTTGGTGGTTGTGGTTAAGTTGACTTAAAATTCCCTGAAGGTTTTGGTGCTGAGAATGAATGCCATTGGTAATGCCCATCTTTGAGGCTCAGGTAGAATAACATGAGAAGGGATCCCTGGGCAGGTGAATGAATGACCTGCCCTATCTGGAAGATCCAGGCAGCTGCTGAACAAGTATGCAGGCCATTCATTAATTCATTCATTCACTCATTCATTATTTCCCGAGTCCCTGATGGATGCTACGTTGTAAGTAAAGTGCTAGGGTGCCAAAAGGAGCAACAATAGTTCCTTCCCTAAAGAGCTGTCATCTAGGCAAAGAGTTGGGGTAAGAGAATGACAGGAAAGCAGTATGGTCACCATATGCCTGCGCCATTCATCAGCTGTGTGATGTTGGGCAAGCTACTTGACCTTTCTTTAGATCATGTTTTCTTATCTGCAGAATGGGGATCATTGAAGCACCAGCCCATGGGTTTGTCATGAGGAATTCCTAGGTTAAAACAAGTAAAAGTTCTTAGAGGGCCAGGGACAGTGTCCTAGAGGGACCGACAATTGAGCTGATGTCTTGGCTATGTTCCCCAGAAGCAGACTCTGAGATCAGGACTTGAATGCAAGTGATCTATCAAGGAAGTGCTCCTAGAGGAACTGGTAAGGGAAGGGGAGGTAGGTCCAGTGAGGAAAGGCTGCCAAGCAAGAGTGCAATTTTAGACAAAGTGCTGTGGAGGGTGGCTCCTGCTTGATCCTGAAGGGGATGTCTGGAGTGTAAATTACACCTCAAAGTTGTCTTGAAAACAAGGGTGTTAAGTTTAGCCTAAAGCTTCCTCCTTACATGTTCTAAGTTCAGTCCAAAGATTTCCCCATACACAGTGAACTGTAACCTAACTGAATGTGTAAACAGATTGTAACCTATTCTTGTGCCAGTCTCCGAGTTTTGGCCAATCAAAGGGGTCCAACTGTTCAAACTGTGTTCAAATGAGGCAATCACTGGGCTACAACCAATCCAGCTGTTTCTATACCTCACTTCCGTTTTCTGAACCTCACTTCCATTTTCTGAGCACCACTTTCCTTTTTCTCTCCATAAATCTTCTTCTGCCACATGGCTACACTGGGGCCTCTCTGAACCTGTTCTGGTTTGGGGGATGCCTGATTCATGATTCCTTCTTTGTTCAATTAAACTCAATTAAATTTAATTTGCCTAAGTTTTTTTTTGTGGGGGGAAGTAAGCTCCCAGGAGGTCACAGCTCTCTGCCTGAGCACAGAAAACAGCCCCAGTAGCCCAAGGGCAGTCCTTGAAAAAGGAGGTGCAGGCCCAGGCCATTGTAGTCAAAAGAACATCCAATCTGGGGGTACACACATGAAAAAATGGATCTGTGGGAATTTGGATGGCGCTCCAATAGTGTCAGCTTCAGCTGAAAGGAAGCAAGCACGGTTCTGAGCAGTAAAAGGTATTTGCTGGAAGTTGGTGCAGTGATTCCGAAGGTGTGGAAAGACCACTGAAATGTCAGACTTAAGGTATCAGTTTGATTCCAGCACAGCCACGTACTTCTTTGAGCAATGCTAATAATAATCGTAGCAGCCACAGTTTATTGAGTACATACAGCTATGAACTGAATTCCATCCCCCTCAAATTCATATGTTGAAGTCCTAACCCCCAATGTGACTGTATCTGGAGATGGGGTCTTCAGGAGGTAATGAAGTTTAAATGAGGTCATAAGGTTGGGGCTCTGATCTGATAGGATTTGTGTTACTGTAGTAAGAGACACTAGAGAGCTCATTCTCTCTCTCCACCATGTTAGGACACAGTGAGAAGCAGCTATGTGCAAGCTGGAAAGAGAAATATCACAGGAACTGAACCTTGCTGTAACCTTGATCTTGGAGTTTCCAACCTCTGGAACTATGAGAAAATAAATTTCTGTTGTTTAAGCCACCCAGTCTATAGTATTTTGTTATGGCAGCCTGAGCTGACTAAGACACACACTATGCCAGGCACTGTTTAAATCACTACATACATCATCTCACTTAACCCTTACAATCAGCCCAGGAGGCAAATTCTATTAACATCCCCATTTACAGATTGGGGCTATAATAATATTAGCTACTATTTATTGAACATTTGCAATGTGCCAGGCACCATGCTTAACACTTTACATTTCCTTCCTTCCTTCCTTCCTTCCTTCCTTCTTTCCTCCCTCCCTCTTCCTTCCTTCCTTCTTTCCTCCCTGCCTCCCTTCCTCCTGCCTTTCTTTCTTTCCTTCTTTCTTTCTCTTTCTTTCTTTCTTTCTCTCTTTCTTTCTCTCTCTCCCTCCCTTCCTCCCTCCCTCCCCCTTCTTTCTCTGTTCCTTCCTTCCTTTCTTTCCTTCCTTCCTTCCTTCTTTCTTTCTTTCTTTCTTTCTTTCTTTCTTTCTTTCTTTCTTTCTTTCCTTCCTTCCTTCCTTCCTTCCTTCCTTCCTTCCTTCCTTCTTTCTTTCTTTCTTTTTCTTTCTTTCTTTCTTTCCTGACAGATTCTTACTATGTTGCCCAGGCTGGCCTTGAATTCTTAAGCTCAGGACTACAGGTGTGTCCCTCTGCACGTAGCTTACACTTGTTTTCAAACTGAATTCTCTGAACACACCTGGAAGGAGAAGAGGACACTAAAGTTCATAAAATTAGGTAATTTATTCAAGAACACAGGGCTGTAACACAGTGGTAGAGCTAGAATTAAAACCCAGGGTATTCTAAATCTCTGCTCAATAAATTTGCAAGACAGGTTGTACAGCTAGTAAAGGGTGTGGCCACTTGGATTTCAGAGCCATGGAAGTCGTCTGCATCTCAAAGTCTTCTGCTTACCTATAAAGGGGATGGTGCCTCCCTCCATCCTTTCTTCTCAAGGGAATCAGGAGAGTGCCTCATTATTGAGAAAGGCTATGTCTGGTGATTCAGGACTGCCTTTCCAAGCCACACAGCAGATCTCTCTAAAGTATCCGTGGAAGAGCATCATTACATCTGTCCTTCATGCTTGTAGAATCTGAAGGAGAAAACCTGTTTCCTCATACGCTCTTTCTTGCTGTCTGTCACTGTTTCAGAAGAAAATAATTTCCTCCCCAATGTTCAAACTAGATGAGCATGTGAAGCCCTGAATAGAAGATTATTAAAGGAGCCCACAGTCTGCCTTCCAGTCTGCAATCTAATTAGCTGAAAGAGGCCCCTTAGGGTCAGCCCCAGAGAAATCTTCTACGGCCTAGAAAGCCGTCTAATGAGAGAAGACAGCCCATCGAGGAAGAGGGAAAAGCCTATGTTTGTGTGTCTGTGGGAAGGAGGAGAGACTCTGGTGCCTGTGTGTACTTCCATAATCACTTCCATAGGTACCTCCAACCAGAAGACTAAAAAACATAATCACAGAGCTCTCAGTAAACACAGCCTGGGTGGTTGTCACCCTGTAGCCTGGCACAGAGGACACCTCCTAGGGTTTTTCAGAGAGAGGAAGATTGGTTTTATTTAGAGCTACTGCAAGCCTCAGGTAGCCAGCCTCTTCTCACCACTATAATAGACCAGAGAGGAAAAAATAGACTAAAAATAGCCTGCGATTGTGTCAGGGAAGTCTCTCACATTCGGAGAGTCACAAGTGGCTGGTTAGAGGGGATGGAAGGTAACAGGTGATGCCAATCAAGTATCCAGGGAGTCACTGCTTCAAGAACAGTAGGAAACAGGGCCTGCCCTTGGGGACTTAACAACTCTGCCATTCATATTCAGTCACCACCCATTCATGCATTCAGCAAACACGGACTGAGTGCCACTATGAGGCAGGCATTGTACTAGGTGCTGGGATACGGAAGTGAAAATGCCAAATGATTTCCCATTCCCATGAAGCTTCTATTATGGGGCCAGAGACAGACAGCATGCATGAAAAAAACTAACAAGATAATTATAGAAAGTGAGAAGTATGTTATGAAGTGAAATAAAAGAGGAGCAGCTCTACAGGGCCCCTCCAACTCCAAGTTCACAGTGGGATCAGTGGAGGCCTTCACTGTGATGCATCTCAGCTTAACTCCTCCCTCTGCTTGGTTCTGCTTCCTTCACTCCCCCATAGGTGCTAATCCTAAGGGCAGTCCCTAGAGGCTTCCTGCAAACAGCTCTCTAACTCAGAGTATGGGTTCCAGAGAATCCAAACTAAGGCAGTGAGTGATGGAAGGAGAACCACTTCATACAGTGTTGATAGCGAAGGCCTGTCAGAAAGAGTGACGTTGGGGCCTGAATGATGGGGAGGACCAAGCTTTGAGAATATACTTGGAGAAAGTGTCTCAGGAATAGGGGATGACTGTGAGATGGGAACAAGGTTGGTGTATTAAAGGAATAGAAAGATGGCCCGTGCAGTTCAAGCACAGTGATGCTTGAGGAAAGAGGAGTGAAAGGATAGAGGACAGCAGGGCCAGGTCTTGCAGGGACCCACAGGTTGCAGTGAGGAGTTTGCATTTTATTCTAAGGGGGTGAGAAGTCATTGGAGAGGGTCAAGCACAGGAATGATAGGATCCAATTTACATTTTAAAAAGATCACTGTGGCTACTGTGAATTCAATTTCATCAGGAAGACAAGACTAACTGATGTGGAAAATTAGAGAATAACCCCAAAGCTATATAATTCTGTACCTATAAAGGGCACTGAATAAGGCTCATTGGCATGGGTATATCTCATATTCATTGAATATATACTTAGCAAATGTAATAGTTGAACACCTGTTATATGCCAGACACTGTGCTAGGCTCTGGGATACAACAAATAAATGAGATAAATAATAGCCTGAACCCTCATGGAGCTTGCATTTGTAGTGGGAGGACTGTAATAATAAAGTGCTCAATAGGGTTGCATAGACTTAAAGCAGGTCATTGGAAATGAAATACAAGGTAAGGGCTTTCTGAAGAAGATAGGACTTGGAACAGGTGGGGAAATATGTAGGAAGCAGCCATTGTAGATAGAAAGAACTCCAAGAACAATACCAGGGTAGCAGTGGTGAGCATGGTCAAACAGTGTCAATAATTGCCATCTATTGAGTACCTGCTATGTGTCAGATATCGTGCTAAGAATTTTGCATCTTTTATATTGTGTAATCTTCAGAGATATCACATAAGGCAAGCATTATTTTTCTCTCATTTTATAGATGATGAAACCGAGGCTTACAGAAATATCTTATTCAAGATCACATATCTAGAAAGAGGGGGATCTGGATTTCCTCCCATGCCTGTCTGACTCAGAAACTGAATCCTATGCCCTGAATCCCTGCACTACAGTGACGTTCCAATAGGTGGGGTGCACCATAGAGAGCATCTTGATTGGCCAGAAGTGGCCCCTAGCTGTCTAAACAAGTCTCCTACCGTTTCCCAGGACAAGTTCTGTGCCAAGACTTGCACGTCTGCTGTCGTGTGGACACAGCTCTTGGTTCTTCACTTTTCTGCCAATGACTTTCTTCACCATCTCTTTCCTGTGTCTCATTTGGCAGAGATTGCTAAATGGTCACCAATATCAGGTTCTGGTTTTTATGACACATGGTTTAATATATTTCTTAACATCCTTTACAGTTATTTGTGGCAGATGACTGAATTCTGGCCAATGGAGCATGAGTGGAAGCTGGTGTATGGCACTTCCAGGTCTGGTCCTTAAAAATCTCCTACTTATGCTTCTTTCACCTCCTGTCCATCTTGGAAGACATTCATTGAAGATGTCAGAGTCACTCTTAACCTGTGTCTTTGAGTAACTGTGTGGGGAAGGGACCACTCACCAACCTGGACCTACCTTGGGCTATTGTGTGAGAAAGAGATAAAATCTATTGTTTTGAACCATTACATGACTGGGTCTGTTTGTTACTGCAGCCCAGCCTACACTAACTCATACACCTACTTCCTGTCATGACTCCTGAGGACCCAACTCTCCTTTAAAATATCATTTCAGCCTTTGTTTAGGATTTCTGGAAGAGAAAATGGTAATTTGGACCATTCCAAAAAATTTAGTTAAACCAAGGAGTCTATAGACAAAAATCAAAGAGTGAGTGGATGAAAACTTCATGTTTTCTGTAGTTATAGCGATAATATGATAAGTGACAGAATTTTTTAAAAAGGGAGAAATAGAGAGAAAGAATCATTCCACCCACTCTGGAAGGCACTGGGGTGTGTGGCAGCAATGGCGGAGGTGAGGGGATCTTGTGGTAGCTCCTCATGGGTTTCTGTCTTGAAGGTTTCCTTCTCTGCCTTAACTTTGTGTTCAACCAGGAGTAAAAGCAGTTCAACCAGTAAAAGCCTGGTGGGGGCAAGAAAGAGAAGATGAGAGGGCATCGCCCTGTGTGATGTCAGATTGGGGCAGGTGTGAGGGGAACAGCTGTCTTGCAATTAGCTCAGGAGTACGAGCCTCCCTAAGGACTGTATGAGTTCTGGACACTTCAGGAGTCTTCAGCCAGTGACATGGTTGATATGGATCAACTCATAAACAACTTGGAGGTGCAACTTAATTCAGAAGGTGGCTCAATGCAGATATTCAAGCCCATCACTGGCCCTACTCAGAGCACAGATCCCCCTGAGATAGAAGCAGAAATAATGTGACTTCTCCACCACTCCTGGATGCCAACCCCATGGAGAACCCAGCATTGTTTAATGACATCAAGTTTGAGCCCCAGAAGAACTTTTGGCGAGTGATTTCAGCCTGTCCCCAGTGGAACCAGTTGACTTCTCCTCTCACAAGCCCAAGGCTCCTCTCCACCCTGTTAGCATGCTGCAAGCTCCAGGACATCCTCCCAAGCCACAGTCTGCTCCCGAGACCCTTGTGGTGTTCACTTCAACATCAGCAAACATTCCTGCTATTCTGACCACAGGATCTGTCCTGACTCCCTCTCAGGGCACTGGTGGCTAGCAGATCTTACATGTCATTCACAGCATCCCCTCAGTCTGTCTTCCAAGTAAGATGGGTTACCTGAATGCCATCCCAGTCGTGGTGCAGTCTCTGCCCATGGTGTATACTACTTTGCCTGCAAATGAGGGCCCTGCACCCAATACAGTCCCACTCATTGGAGGAGATGGTACAAATGCTGGATCAGTGAAAGTTGACCCCGCTTTCATGTCTCTACTGGAGATTCCAAGTGACAGTGAGGAGAGTGCAATTAAGAGTGGATCCTCAATCTCACAGAGTCTGCAGGGACTAAAGCAAGAACCAGCAGCAATGGCCCAAATGCAGGGAGGAGTCGCTTGACTTGAGAAGAAGACGGATGCACCAATGTGACTTTGCAGGATGCAGCAAAGTGTACTCCAAAAGCTCTCACCCGAAAGCTCACCACAGAATTCATATAGGAGAGAAGACTTATAAATGCACCTGCGATGGCTGCTCCTGGAAATTCGCTCACTCAGATGAGCTCACTAGCTCTTTCCTCGAGCACACAGGCATCAAGCCTTTCCACTGCACAGACTCCAACTGCAGCTTTTCTGGTTCTGACCACCTGTCCCTGCACCACTGTCGCCATGATACTATGTGAGCTGCACAGGTCACACTAGAGAAGCTTCACTGGTATCTTTCCTGTTTGTGTATTGAGGTTAGGACCACTTTTTTCTCTTTGACTTCAAGTTGCATCTGGAATTGACTTGAAGCAGCCCACTGAGCCAAGTTGAGGAGACTGGAGGAAAACATAGCTGGTCTCCCGTGGGGCTCTTCGTATTCCACCTTCACCTCTCCACTGTCCAGACCTGGTTTTTTCAACCTCCACATGGGTTGAATTCCAGTGTGACATACATGGCTGCCCTCCCATTCCCCCTGCCCTGAAATAGGACATTTTTCCTGAAGTAACAAAACAGGAATCAAATTCAAGGCTGTGAACAAACATACGCTGCTTTTTTCTTTCCTATTTTTTTCTTGTTTTCTAGAACGCTTATCCATATGTTTCTAAAATAAGTACCTAAAGGTGGTTTGATAGTGTCCTAAATTACTTTTCTTGAGTTCCTAGATGGAAGGAGTGTAACAATGTAATTGACTGTTAAGATTTACAGGGATTCGATTCCTGAGTATGAGGCACATTTCCAGTGAATAAGCTGAGTCCCACACCAAACTCAAAGGTTTAGATAAATCGAATCCTATTTCTTCTTAAAGTTTGGTTTTCAAAAAAAGAGGGAGAAATAGGGATAGAGAAAGAAGAGATCTGAGAAATAAAAAGAAGAGGAACTAGAAATATGAGAGAAAAGATAGGAAAGAAGAGAAAAGGAAAGAGAGGAAACAAGATAGAAGATACAGAGAAGAAAAAGCATATGTACAAAAGGACTGAAGGAGCAAAATTAAAATTGAATCACTCCACAGTTCTGAGAAGATAAGGCTCTCCTAGCTTGACCTCCCAGGAACCGATCACACCCAGCCTCTGAGGTAAAAAGATGTTTCTTTCATGGTCTAGGACCAGGTGTATTAGGCCTACTGCCCTGCTATCTTGCACACCTGCAAAGCATCTGGATATGGCATTGTGATCAGCGGCCTGGGATTAAGTCCCAATCAAACTCAAGAAAATTGTGCTTCCTCCCAGCAGGTATAAAAGAAGAGGGATAAAGGTTACATCAACAGGGGACAACCTCAGTTTCAGTAACTTTATATTTAGATTGCAGTGACTGGGAGTTAATTAGGCTTGGTCTTTTTTTCACTCTCCACTCCCCATCTTTTTCTCGACTAATTAGTTGGAAAATGGGTTCTAAAGAAAAGCAGAATGATCCTCGGGATTGGTAATGGGGTGGTGGTAATGGAGTAGTTAGGAAGAAAGCCCCCTCAAAGCGCTTTGGCTCTAACAGGCCTTTTAAGAAGTCAGTATGTTTGTCAGGACTACGGACAGCTCCAGGCCTGCCTGTGGGAGGGCCATTGAGGAAGCAGAGAAGGTGGCTTTAATAAAGGAGCCCTGGAAACTCCTGGATAGCGGGCGCCTGCAACCTTATTTAATTACGCAATGATCAGCAACCTTTACATTTTAATTCGGAGTTACCATAATGAAGCCATCGTGCTTCTACTTGGGGCAGGCCTGCTCATTCTTCCGTTGCTCCGGAAAGGTCTTCAGCACTAATTGGCTGTTTAGTAGCTGGATCTTGACAGTATGAAGTAGGTAGCGATCCCCTTGCTTTCCTTCTAATGCATTCTCTGGTCTCTCTGCCCTCCTCCTCTTTGATTTGCCTAATTAGTGCTAATAATTTAAAAGATGCATGGCCCTCTTTTGATCCTGCTGTCGATGGCAGACAGAGCCATTCCATTAGCAGATATTAAATAGTGCTAATATGTGGTGACACACAGTTGGAACTGGCTTGCACACAGTTCCAGCCTGGGACCACAGGGTTGCCTTACACACACACACACACACACACACACACACACACACTTCATTCACTTTATTCCTAGAGAAAAGTCATCGTAGGCAGTAGCAGCTTTAAAGCACTGTGTCTTAATAACTGTTTGAGGCCCCCTTTATCGTGGGCTGGCATTGAAAAACCACATGATTTATTTCAGGGTTTTAATGATTAATTCATGAATGTGTCTGCAAGAATGCCAAGGTCTCCAAAATAATGAAAGCCTTTTTTTCCCCTAAAGTTGTTTGTTTTCATTTCAAATCAAAGCAATCTGTCTTGAGCATTCATTTCTCTCTCCCTTCACTCCCTTCACCCTGAAAAAAAAAAAAGACTGCTCATTTCACTGGGGTCTTGATAACATTTTGACAAGTAATAGAATTCATTTACATTTATCAAAATAAATAGATAAGTCTTCCATCTTCTCTCTGTTTAGCTGACATGGACAGGCCTTTCACCTCCAGCAGGCATCAATAAGCTCGAGGTCATGTGCAATGATCCAGCCTGTGTGTTCCCAAATATTCTGAAACTTTTTTTGAAATGTAAAGAGGTGCTCAGACTGAGAGATTTTGGATGCTCTTTCAGAAGGACCCTTCCCAGGTCCTGGGAAAGCAGACATTGTAGCTGTCAGTGTGGCCTGGGCTCGTAAGTCATAAACCATACCTTACTTATTTAAAGGCAGTAGGATGCCATGGTTAATAATGTTGGTTCTATAATGGGATTAGTTAAGTATTAATCATAGCTTTATCATTTTCCCATCAAGTGTGTGACTTTAGGCAACTCAATCGTAATAGTAACAGCTACATTATAGAGTTGTTATCAGGATTAAAAGAGGTAATACATGTAAAAGGCTCAGCACTGCAACTGATCATAGTAAGTGCTCAAAAAAAGTCAGGGATAATGATGATAATGGTGATTGAATAGCCTTGGTCATTGCACACTGGGCAAGAGCAAACAAACCCCTTGGACCTGGGCCTCTGCACAATGGTCTGGATGAGAGGGTTGGTGACTGTGAGAAATGACATTTAGAACCTGTGGGGTTACCAATAACTTTCTCTTTGGGCTCCTATTTGCTTTATGTTTTTAAAATTTCATTCATTTATTGGTAAACTAACAGCCACACTGCATAAAGTTCAAATGGCACAAAAGGAGATGCAGCCAAAATTAAGTTTCCTCCCCATTTTGTTCTTTCCTGGAGATGGTCCTTATTATACTGATCTTGTGTATCCTCCCAGCAATTTTAAATACAGATACAAGACACAAGGACCATATTCTGCTTACAGTTTTTTCTTTAAAAACTTGTGGTGTGTCCACCAATCCCACAGAAATATAAGCTACCATCAGAGAATGCTATAAACACCTCTATGCAAATAAACTAGAAAATATGGAAGAAACGGATAAATTCCTGGACACATACACCCTTCCAAAACTAAACCAGGAAGAAGTTGAATCTCTTAATAGACGAATAACAGGCTCTGAAATTGAGGCAATAATTAATAGCCTACCAACCAAAAAAAGTCCAGGACCAGACGGATTCACAGCCGAATTCTATCAAAGGTACAAACAGGGGCTGGTACCATTCCTTCTGAAACTATTCCAATCAACAGAAAAAGAGGGAATCCTCCCTAATTCATTTTATGAGGCCAGCATCATCCTGATACCAAAGACTGGCAGAGACACAACAAAAAAAGAGAATTTTAGACCAATATCCCTGATGAACATCGATGCGAAAATCCTCAATAAAATACTGGCAAACCGAATCCAGCAGCACATCAAAAACTTATCCACCACGATCAAGTCAGCTACATCCCTGGGATGCAAGCCTGGTTCAACATATGCACATCAATAAACGTAATCCAGAAACAAAGACAAAAGCCACATGATTATCTCAATAGATGCAGAAAAGGCCTTCGACAAAATTCAACAGCCCTTCATGGTAAAAACTCTCAATAAACTAGGTATTGATGGAATGTATCTTAAAATAATAAGAGCTATTTATGACAAACCCACAGCCAATATCACATTGAGTGGGCAAAAACTGGAAGCATTCCCTTTGAACACAGACACAAGACAGGGATGCCCTCTCTCACCACTCCTATTCAACATAGTGTTGGAAGTTCTGGCCAGGGCAATCAGGCAAGAGAAAGAAATAAAGGGTATTCAATTAGGAAAAGAGGAAGTCAGATTGTCCCTGTTTGCAGATGACATGATTGTATATTTAGAAAACCCCATCATCTCAGCCCAAAATCTCCTTAAGCTGATAAGCAACTTCTGCAAAGTCTAGGATAAAAAATCAATGTGCATGAAATGGAATACTATTTAGCAATGAAGAGAAATGAACTAATAAAAACAACAGCTTCAATAAATCTGAAAAGCATGCTCTGCAAAAAAAGCTTAACACTACATACACCATAGTTCATTTCTCTGAAATTTTAGAAAAAGCAAACTTATCTCTAATGACAGAAGTCGCCTGAGGTCAGGCATGAAGGGATAACTGCAAAAAGGCAGGAGGGAAGTGTTAGGGGTGCTAGAAATATTGTATACCTGTATTAAGGTACCTCATGTACCTCATAAATACTTACACCTACAATGTACCCACAAAAATTAAAAACTGTAAAAATGAAATAAAACTCTATAAACTGTAAAAAAAAATCAATGTGCAAAAATCACAAGCATTCCTCTACACCAATAACAGACAAACAGAGAGCCAAATCATGAGTGAACTCCCATTCACAATTGCTACAAAGAGAATAAAATACCTGGGAATGCAACTTACAAGGGATGAGAAGGACCTCTTCAAGGAGAGCCACTGCTCAACGAAATAAAAGAGGACACAAACAAATGGAAGAATATTCCATGCTCACTGATAGGAAGAATCAATATTATGAAAATGGCCATACTGCCCAAGGTAATTTATAGATTCAATGCCACCCCCATCAAGCTACCAATGACTTTCTTCACAGAATCGGACAAAACTACTTTAAAGTTCATATGGAACCCAAAAAGAGCCCGCATAGCAAAGACAATCCTAAGCCAAAAGAACAAAGCTGGAGGCATCATGCTACCTGACTTCAAACTATACTACAAGGCTACAGTAACCAAAACAGCATGGTACTGGTACCAAAACAGATATATAGACCAATGGAACAGAACAGAGGCTTCAGAAATAACACCACACATCTACAACCATCTGATCTTTGACAAACCTGACAAAAACAAGAAATGGGGAAAGGATTCCCTATTTAATGAAAGGTGCTGGGAAAACTGGCTAGCCATATGTAGCAAGCTGAAACTGGATCCCTTCCTTACACCTTATACAAAAATTAATTCAAGATAGATTAAAGACTTAAATGTTAGACCCCAAACCATAAAAACCCTAGAAGAAAACGTAGGCAATACCTTTCAGGACATAGGCATGGGCAAAGACTTCATGACTAAAATACCAAAAGCAACGGTAACAGCAGCCAAAATAGACAAACCGGATCTAATTAAACTAAAGAGCTTCTGCACGGCAAAAGAAACTATCATCAGAGGGAACAGGCAACCTACAAAATGGGAGAAAATTTTTGCAATCTACCCATCTGACAAAGGGCTAATATCCAGAATCTACAAAGAACTCAAACAAACCCTTTATGAGAAAAAAACAAATAACTCCATCCAAAAGTGGGCAAAGGATATGAATAGATAATTCTCAAAAGAAGACATCTATGCAGCCGATAAACACATGAAAAAATGCTCATCATCACTGGCCCTCAGAGAAATGCAAATCAAAACCGTAATGAGATACAATCTCACACCAGTTAGAACAGCAGTCATTAAAAAGTCAGGAAACAACAGATGCTGGAGAGGATGTGAAGAGATAGGAAGGCTTTTACACTGTTGGTGGGAGTGTAAATTAGTTCAACCATTGTGGAAGACAGTGTGGTGATCCCTAGAACTAGAATTACCATTTGACCCAGCAATCCCATTACTGGGTATATACCCAAAGGATTATAAATCATGCTACTATAAAGACACATGCACACGTATGTTTATTGTGGCACTATTCACAATAGCAAAGACTTGGAACCAACCCAAATGTCCATAAATAATAGACTGGATTAAGAAAATGTGGCACATATACACCATGGAATACTATGAAGTCATAAAAAGGATGAGTTCACGTCCTTTGTAGGGACATGGATGAATTAGGAGAAATACCTAATGTAAATGATGAGTTGACGAGGGCAGCTAACCAACATGGCACAAGTATACCTATGCATCAAACCTGCACGTTGTGCACATGTACCCTAGAACTTAAAGTATAATAAAAAAAATTGTAGTGTGTTCTTTTCTTTGATCCTTGGATGAAACAATAAAGCCTAAGACCATGGCACATCACTCCATTTAGCTTTAGTCATTCCCCATTGATGGATGTTTAGGTTGTTTCTAGTCTTTCTGCAACATAACACAGTCTTGAAATCAGCTAAGGAATAGAGATTTGTTGGTTTCTTTTGCAGGAGAGACAATGAAAGGAATGTGTATCATACCCTTGCTTTTTTCCTCTCTACAACATTCATTCCTTATACTTTTAAAAACAGAATCTTGTTTTTCCTTTGGAGAACTACCCTTCACTCACTTTCTGGCTGACCCTACTTCTGGTTTCAAGGATGAGATGTGACTAAAGCCCAACCAATCAGAAGCACTATTTTTACATTTATCAAAATAAATAGATAAGTCTTCCATCTTCTCTCTGTTTAGCTGACATGGACATGCCTTTCACCTGTCCAGTGATTGGTTCATGGAAGATCATGTGACCAAGCTTAGGGAAAGATAGTCAGACCTGAGACTTCTGCAGAAACTGCTGGGACCAGGGCTCCATCTTCCCAATGAAAATGTGGAGCTAGTGGGCGGGCTGGAAGGGAAGAGGTACTAGAAACAGGAAGACCAGGTATGAAAGGAATGTACTGCAATGGTGGCTGCAGTGTGGCTATACTGCAATGGTGGCTGTACTGCAATGGTGGCTGCAGAACTGTGGAAGAGGAGTTAACAAGAAGTTTATTTTACAGAAAATTCAGAGCAGTTGGCTAAACTGCAGAGAGGGCCAGAAGAAGTAGGAGGAAGAGATTCAGCATGACTCTGAAGGTTTTGGGTTTGGAGAACTGAAGAATGAAGCTACTTGAATGAATGTGGGTATTGAGAGATGAAGCTTGCTGGGTGGGTAAACTGGCTGTTTGCCTGTCCTTTTCCCATCTGATCTTTGTCACAGGGAGCTACATTTCCCAGCGTCCTTTGACATTTAGTTCAGGAAAGCATTTTTGGAAGACTGAAGAGTGAGGGAGAGGAGAAGCTGGAGAATATTCCTCCTCCTCTCTCTGTTTCTAGTAGAATGGCTTGAGGTGTCTACCTCTCATCTCTGATTCCATTTGTAGCCAGACAGCCTCTCTTTACTTGGTTTTATTTCCAACAGGCAGCTCCTGCCATGATTTTAGGGTCTGCTGGACAGCTGCAGCTTTCAGGCTCTGGTAATTCCAACCTTTTTTGCTGTCCCTCCATCCTTAGGGTTGGTGTCATATTCCTTCTGTGGTTGATCTCTGGGTTGCCTCAATGTCTTCTGCTTGACTTCTTGGACCTTCCATCACTGGAGTAGTCAATTGCTTGTATTAAGTTCTCTCCATTTGGAACACCTAGTAGGGTTTCTGTTTTTGCTGGATGAATCCTAATTGATAGATTGAAGAAGCGGAAGGAGGGAGAAGACATGGGCGGAATGTGGGTTGGTGCACAGACAAGAAGGAAAGGTATGAAAAAACACAGGTCTGGGACTTACTTGCAAGATGGGAGGTGCTCAAGGAGAATGAGTTTAGAAGGGGAGGAAGGCAAGGACGGGACCTAGGGATAGTTCCACATAACTCATGAATGATGCTGAGGCATTAGCCAAGGTGGCTTAGAAGTGATAGCTTTCAGAGATGTAAGAGAACCAAATGTAGTCTTACTGTAACTAGGGAAGAATTTTAAGGAAGTTCGTGAGAGAGGAGGGTAAGAGTCACGGTCAGAAAGATCACTTGATTGATATGTGGGGGTCAAAAAGAATGAGGGCATTAAACAGACAGTCTGGTTCTAGTCTAAGTTAACTTGACCATAGTGCTATACCATTTAAAGCAAGAAGTTAGGAAGGGAAAAATGTAGAGAAATGGGAAATTCAAGGTTGATATTGGGGAGATGACTAATACTTTTGTTATGGGGTAGCTACATTATGAAAACTTTTTGCTATAAACTATGTGGAAGAGTGTGACTTGGCTCATGGTGCTGCCAAATTCACTTAGTCATGAACTCTGGCTTTGAAAAAATATGAAGAAGTCTTTATGACCTCTGGTTCATTGTCTGCTATAGAAGCTTAACTGTAGAGATTGACACCTGTCTTAGTCTGTTCAGGCTTCTGTAACAAAATACCTTAGACTTGGTGTTTTATAAAGAATGAACGTTTGTTTGTCACAGTTCTGGAGGCTGGAAAGTTCAAGATTAAGATGCAGTGGATTCAGAGTCTGGTAAGGGGTCACTCTCTGCTTCCAAGATGGTGCCTTGTTGCTGTGCCTTTGCATAGTGGCAGATGAATACTGTGTCCTCACATGCAAGGAGGGCTAAAAGGGGCATACTTGGTCCCTCAAGACATTTAATAAAGGCAATAATCTGGTGGGACCTTCATGACCTAATTACCTCCTAAAGGCCCCACTTCTTAATACTATTGCATTGAGGATTAAGTTTCAACAAGAATTTTGGAGAAACGCAAACACTCAAACAATAGCAATACAAAAAGAAAGCTACCATAAGTCATAGGCCCATGGACTCTTGGAGATGGAAAGGGTCATTTTACAAAGGGTCAAATGGAGGCCCAGAGAGACTCAGGCATTTGAGACCACGTGGGCTGCACTGAAGAAAAGTCATTTTTAACATAATCCAAAGTCATGGAACCAGAAGAGCTGTCTCTCTCTCTTTTGCACATAATCTTGACTTCTTCAGAACTGGGATTCATCTTTCCAATGCAGGACAGTGGGAAGCCCAGTACAAGACTCAATAAATGTTGGGTGATTTAATACACAAATGGTGAGGAAGAGGTGATGAGTCTGACAGCCTGTGGACTTCAGAGTTGGAGGATTCCATGGAAAGACATCTCAGGGAAAAAAGTGACACCATTTCCTGAATTGAAATCTTCCATAGCATTAAACAAGCCTGGGCAGCATAGATAGACCCTGTCTCTAATATATATATATATATATGTATATATATATATAATTTTTTTTAAATAGCTAGGCATGGTTGTGCATGCCTGTAGTCCCAGCTACTTGGGAGGCTGAAGTGGGAGGATCACTTGAGCCTTGGAGGTTGAGGCTGCAGTGAGCTGAGATAGCACCACTGCATTCCAGCCTTGGTGACCAAGCGAGACCCTGTCTCAAAAATAAATAAATAAGCTTTTCTGGGGTAGCCACAGCATGCATAGTGGGAGAAAATGGTGTTGATGGATAGTGAGGCTAGATGATGAATCAGTTGGAAAGATTTTGAGCTCAAGAAACAGAAAACTCAACTTTCTTTGGTTGAAGCAATAAGGATGTTTATTGACTCACAGAACCAGAAATTTAGGTGCAAGGTAAGCTTTATAGTTGACCAAATTTTGTAGCTCTGTGTGCATTTCTCAGTAGTTCTCTTGGCTCTGTTTCCTGTGTGGAGCGGTTTCACACTCAGATGAGTATGGAGAGGCAGTAGTTCTCCTCACATCTCACATCTACTCATAATGACATCAAAGGACAAGAGAGAGGACTTTTGGAAGCTCTCCCAGAAGATAGAGGATGAACTCTTTCAGCTCTTGTCCTTGCTTTCTCTTAGTCTGTTTCCTAAACAGCACCCTAAGGGATCCTGTTGAAACATAAGCCAAATCATGACACTGTTCTGCTCAAAACCCTCTGGCAGCCTCTGTATAAAAGCTGGAGTCCTTTCCAGACCTACAGTGCCCAGCAGGATCGGCCTCAGTGTCACTTCTTTGACTTCCTCTTCTGCTCTTGTCCCTCTTGTCCACTCTACTCCAGCACACTGACCTCCCTGCTGCTTCTCAAACATGCTAAGCCCATCCTGCTCTAGGATCCTTTGCCTGAAATGATCTCCCTACAGACTTCATTATGACAAATCCCTCACCTTCCCCGGATAGTCTTCCCTGAGGACCCTATTTAAAAATGCAGCCCTTGGACTTTCATGCTTTCCATCTCTGCTCTACTTCACCTTGTTTCACTGATCGTCGTCAAATACTATACATATTTTATGATTTATTTTGTTTATTGTCTGTCTCTCTTCACAGAGTCATGACTTCTTTCTTTTCCCTGCCCCTTAATTTCTATATTCCCAGCATTTAATAGCAGTGCCTGGAACATAGTAGGTGCACAATAAATATATGCCAAATAAATAAACAAAGGTCTCGCCCAAGCTTCTCCTTTTCTTTCATTGGCTCAGTTTGGTCACATGACCTTCCTGAGTCAATCATTGCAAGGGTTTTGGGATTACTTCCAAAGCAATCAGTCTCATCCCTGGAGCTGGGGGTGGGGTTAGTTTCCTGTGAAACACATGGCTTCATGCAGACCTGGACAAAATCTGGATTCTTTTAGGAAGAAGAAGGAGGGGGAAATGTGTTGGTTAGGCCACCCACAGTGTCACCCACAGATGGTGCTATCCCTTTCTGAAGGCCTCACTGTGGCCTCCTGTATATGTCCCAACTCCCCCTCAGAGTGCTTTTTACTCTCTGAGTGAAAAGATGAGCATAATGGTGAGGACCTTCCCTCTGGGAAGTACGGCTGTTGGGAGCAGATGGGGGGATGACAAGGGGAAAAGAAGAAAATTTGCAATGAAAAAACACCTTTGAGAAGCGGCAATAAAGTCTGCAAAATGAGAAAATCACATGCAAACCCCAGATTGCAACTTCAGAGGTGCTAATGGCAATCCGAAGGAAGCACTTTTCTTGAATGACAGTCTAATTTTACCATTATTGCAGAGAGACCCACTTAAACATAGGAGCTCCTCTGCATAGGCTTCTGCATGTTGATGTCTGTGAGTGATAAAGATCTGAGATGTCCATTCATAGCATGGTACCCTGTGAGGACCTCTGGTGTGTAGGGCCCTGAGCCTGCCTTAGGAACCACCATCAAACCTGGGGCTCATCCTAACAGTTCAAGCACCATCAGCAGCTAGAGTCTGTGAGGACATTCACTTTTGCTCAGTAATGGCCATAGAAAGAGAGGATCTAAAAGAAGCTAAACTCATATCATGAATGGCTCCATTCAGCAACAGAGAAGTTTCAGCATATTCATTCTTTGATTTCATAGTAGATTATTTAATACCTGCTATGCAGTAGACATGATTCTAGGCACTGAGGATACACTCTTGCCTCTCTACAAAAGCAGCCAGGGTGCTCGTGTAAAAATGAAAACCCAAATCCTGTTCCCTGCTTAGAAGTCTCCTTATAAGGATTCTATGTCTCCTTATCACACTGAGAAGAATCCCCAAATCCCATAGGCGGCTCCTGCCCACCTTGTCTCCTTGTCTCCTGCCCACCTGGCTGGCCTCGGAGGTTCCTGTGCTCCAGTGTTACCCTGGCCGCCCTCTTTCTGCTGCTCTTTTACTTCATGCTAGTTCCTGCCACAGTTCTTTTGCACCTTTTGGTTCTGTTTCTCGGAGCATGCCTGCCCTACATCTACTCATGGCCAACCTCTCCTTATGCAGCTCTTGCACAGTGCTATGCTGTTAAAGATGCCTTGCTTGACTAATGCTGTACCATACACCAGGGGCGGCATTCAACTTTTCTAATAACAGGGTTGGTACCATCACTGGGTAATCCAAACAGATGCTAGCCATTTACAACTGGGACAGCATACGTGTATACCAGCTGAATGCCACCCAATCACACACAACTTCCCAGTCAGTAAATCAGTCAGTTACATTCATTTCTGTCACACTACCTGCCAGTCTCTGACATTATCTTGGTGGGGTTGTTTTACTCTCCCTTTTCCCCTCACTTTCTATTTCTTTTTCTTTCTTTCTTTTTTTTTTTTTCTTGAGATGGAGTCTTGCTCTGTCACCCAGGCTGGAGTGCAGTGGCGCAATCTCGGCTCACTGCAAGCTCTGCCTCCTGAGTTCATACCATTCTCCTACCTTAGCCTCCCACTTTCTATTTCTTAATTGCATACACCCATTAAAGCAAGTTTGTCTGTTTTGTTCTTTGTACATTACAGCACTGGCAGTGGCTAGTTCTGAGTCGGGCATAAAGTAGGCTCTCTGTAAATATTTGCTGAATGAAAGACCAAAACATCCCAGCCCTCAGGCAGCTTACATTCTGTGAGATAGGATTAGTGGTGGCAGTTTCAGAGGTGCACACCTGGACAACTAAATGGCCTTAGAATTCTGAATTCTGAAATCAGAAAGTAACTCTGAATTGGAGTGAATGATTATGACCCTGTGAGTGCCTGGGAGAGGGCAGATCTGCATAGCTTCTGGAATGATAAATCTGGGGCAATGTCTTCAGGATAGATGATCTACAGAAAAGACTATAGTTCTTGAGGACTTTTGCCACATCAGTTTGACCCTGAACTGCAACAGCACTCACTGTCTTCCTGCAATGTCGCTTCTTTTGTAGAGTCTGAAATGAATACGGCTCTTGATAGCTTAAATACCATCTTTAATAATCCTACCTAGAATGTCTTATTTAATTCTTTTTTTAAAAAATATGGAACGTTTCATAAATTTGTGTGTCATCCTTGTACAGGGGCTAGTTTTCTCAGTATTTTACCAATTTTAGTGTATATGCTGCCAAATGATGTCCTTGTGAGACAGGTAGGTGAAATTAGTTTCATTTTGCAGACTAAGAAACTGAGAGCTGAGCACAGTGGTGTGCGCCTGTAGTCCCAGCTATTCAGGAGGCTGAGGAAGGAGCATCACTTGAGCTTACGAGTTCAAGGCCAGCCTGGACAACATAGTGAGACCCCCATCTTTAAAAAAAAAACCAAGGCACTGAAACCCAATGAGATTAGATGACTTGCCCAAGGACACAGAATGAGGAAGAGGCAGAGGCAGAGGCAAAGCCCAAGCATTGTAGCATTATATTTCCACTGCACCCAAATGTGAGCTTTTTTGTTTTGTTTTTGAGATGGAGTTTCGGTCTTGTTGTCCAGGCTGGAGTGCAATGGCGCGATCTTAGCTCACTGCAACCTCTGCCTCCTGGGTTCAAGTGATTCTCCTGCCTCAGCCTCTGGAGTAGCTGGGATTATAGGCATGCGCCACCGTGCTGGGCTAATTTTTGTATTTTTAGTAGAGACGGGATTTCACTATGTTGGTCAGGCAGGTCTCGAACTCCTGACCTCAGGTGATCCACCAACCTCAACCTCCCAAAGTGCTGGGATTGCAGGTGTGAGCCACCGAGCCCAGCCACATTAGGGCTTTTAGGGTGTCCATCACCCAGCTGATCCATTTCTGGTCTTCTCTAGGGAGATGTTTATTTTGTTTTCAAGTGAGGCTCGAGTGAGAGTGGTTTGTGAGCCAACCACAGCACTGTCTTGACTGGATATACCATTTTATGCCATTTTGAAAATCCTCCCGTAGTCTTAAAATTGACATTATATTGAGATAATTGTAGCTCCACATGCATTTGTAAGAAATAATAGAGTGATCTCATATGCCCTTTACCCAGTTTCTCCCAATGATGGCATTTTGTAAAACTATAGTACAATGGGATATCGACTCTCACGTTTTTAAGAGAATTTAAAAAAATGCATTCAGTGAGTTCAGGGGCCAGGGCACACACCTCTGCCCCTGGGCTGTGGCAGCACTGCCCTGTGGGCCCAGAGTCAGGGGCTTGGGAGGCAATCTGACCTGCCTCTGTCAGTGCTCCCTGTGGGGGCTCCCTGGGGCTCAGCTTCTTCACCAGTGTAGCCAATGTGAGCTTCTTGATGGCAGGGGCCGTGTGTCTCTTGCCTTGTCTCTGGTCCCTCATGTGGAGTAGACTCAGGTAGACTTCCTGCTTCCACGGACTCAGTAAGGAAAGTGGACAGAGCCATGGAGCCTCCATATGGTGAGGTATGTCAAGGAAGCAGTGCTGCCAGGCTCTGGGTGACCTTGGGCAGATTTCATCGCTTCACAAGCCTTAGCCTCCTTAGCTGTAAAATGAAGGGCTGGATAATGTCCGTAAGAATCTTTCCAGTTTTGATGTAGGATTCTGTGATGTCAAAAATAAGAGAGATTGTATTATTGCGGATTGAAAAATAATTATCTTTTATGTGCCACATGTAACTTTCTATTTCTCAGGCTACCTGTTATGTAGCATCAACATTGCCTCATATATCAGACACTGCTGTAATAAGTATGCAATTTGTAGCTGCAATTTCCATTTTCTGGCAATATCTGATTTACACGAGGTGTTTTTAAAGCATGTCACTTATAACATACACACCTGCCAAGAGCCTGCTCTTTCATCATGACTTTTCAGCGAGGTCAGAGAAAGCGCCCAAATTCAAGTAAACAAACAGCAGGCAAGCTTTCAACACTAAAGCTTCTTTTCCACCTTGGGGAAGGATGTTGTCTCTCAATAGATGATGGTGACAAACCTCCCATATTCAGACCGGCTTATGTGGATCGGGACTGAACCTCTTTCTAACAGGTGCTTTGAAACTCCAATTGTAGAACAGGAGAGTGATTCACAAGCCTGTGTATGCAACAGGTGAGGGGCTGTTTGTGGAAAATTAGTTAGCTAAGAATCAATTCACTGAATGACCAGTTCATTGAGTGTTCAATTCCATTGATCATTTTGATAGAAATTTGAAGATGAATATTCAAGTGGTGGAGACAGAAGCAGGGTAATATGTAGGGGCATCTAGAAAACAAAGGATGAATTTGGTAAATTTTTCAACTGTTTATTGGACTTTTGGAAAATTGGTTATTTTGCATGTTGGCTGTTGGCAGATTGATTTTTGGCAAATTTTTCTGTTTCTGGAGGGTCAGTTCAGCCTGTTGGAGATCTGAAAAGTTTACCTTTTAGTGTTACTGATGCAGATTTTAGGCCCACTTTGTCCATCCCTCTGCGGCCAAGCAGAACATCCCTGAGCCAGCTTGATCTCAGGAAGAGAAAGAGGCATAGTAACACAGATTGTGCATGATGGACCTAATCTTTGCCTAATCCTGGCACACCTTGAGTGAAAAAGATTTTGAGGAATCTCTCTCCTTAATTCTGGCAGGAATTTAGTGGCCTTTGAAGCAGAGCCAAGCAGACACAAGCTTCATGGAAACTTGATCCTCTTACAAGCCTCTGAAGCCTTTTCAGCCAGCCCTTAAACACCACTGCTCATATAATTATGCTACCAGGATTTTTTTTCCAGCTTCTGACACTGGTGCAATAATGGTGAAAGCACTCAGGGACCAGGAAAAATAAGGGCAGTGAGGATGTCTTCAGATAAAGCATCTGCTGACTCAGCCTCTCTTGGACACCCTGAGGTCCAGTTAAACAACTTGACATGGTTGGCTGCCCACCAGGACAAAGACTGGCTGAGAAGAGGATGGATTTCTGCCCCAGTGATTTGGCCACTAGTTCAAAATCTTCCTAAAGATCAGTCATATGGCTAGGATTTCTTCTTCAGCCTTGGCTGCCTGTGCAGCTTCTATTTGAGGCAGACTGGCCTGTGAAGCTTGTAGCACAAGCCTGCAATGCCCTACTAGTCATCACTATAGCCCCAGGGCCAGTACAGAGCTAGACTTGGTAAATAGACTTAATTAAGATTTGTAGAATAAATACTAGCCTTGAATGGCATGTGGCCCCCAAGGTGCCTGCCTTTCTCCTCCCACTCCTGGCTACTTTATTGTAATGGAGGACTTTCTTGGCCCAGTTATATGGTGTAAGAAATTACAAGGGATTTCTCATTCCTGTGATGTGGCCCATTTCCTGGTGGTGTGGCACTGCCCATCATGCCCTTGAATATGCCACCTTCTTAGCTAGGAATCCCCTCTCCTTGTCTATTAGCTTGTCTGAACTTCTCCATCTTTGATATCCAGCTCATTTGTTACCCTGGATGTAACACCTTTCCAGTTCCTCCAGCTCAGATTACTTTGAATTGTAATTGTTTCTGCATGTCAGTCACCTACTATATTGTAAAACCTTCAGGGACAGACACTTATCTTTATTCTCATTTATTCATTTACTTGTTTAGAAACAGTGTAACAAAATGGTTAAGGGCACAAACTATGGATTTATAGTTTAGGTTGGCTGTGTGACTTATTGATTATGTAATTTACAGTGAGTGACTTAAACTCTTTAAACTATTTTTCTTTCTTTCTTCTTTCTTTATCTCTTTCTTTCTCTTCTTTCTTTCTTTCTTCTTTTTCTTTCTTTCCTCTTTATCTCTTTCTTTCTTTTCTTTTTGTTTTTTTTTTTCTTTTTTTTGAGATGGAATCTTGTGCTGTTGCCTAAGATGGAGTGCAGTGGCAACTTCTTGGCTCACTGCAACCTCCATCTCCCGGGTTCAGGAGATTCTCCTGCCTCAGCCTCCTGAGTAGCTGGGATTACAGGCACACACCACCATGCCTGGCTAATATTTGTATTTTTAGTAGAGATGGGATTTCACCGTGTTGGTCAGGTTGGTCTTGAACTTCTGACCTCAAGTGATCCGTCCGCCTCGGCCTCCCAAAGTGCTGGGATTATAGGCATGAGTCCCCATGCCTGGCCTCTATTTTTCTTATATGTAAGGATGAATATTGTGGTAGTATTATGTTTTAGAGCAATTGGAAGAATCAGACAGATATAGCATTTATTGGACACTTACCATACACCAAGCATTATGCTGATAATAGTAATTAATATGATTATTTATTTATTCAACTTTTTTTTGGCACAAATACTGGGGCCTGATGCTGTTCTAGGTGCTGCCTCTAGGATCTAGCAAGATGTTTGGTATAGAGTTGGGCCTTGGCAAATGTTCACTGAATGAGTAAAGCTAGAACAAGTTGTGGACTTCGTTTGTAAATATTTGTATCTGTCAACTAAGCTGGATTATGCTGTGTAACAAATACCTCACCCCAACATCTCATGGGCTTACTTTAACAAAAATGTATTTATTGCTCCTCTTATATGGTTAGTGTGGGATAGCTGCAATTCTCTTGTCTTCAGAGGTCAGGTGGTTTCATCTCAACAGATGCTTTCATGATCTCTGTGGCAGAGGAAAAGGCATGGTGTGCACTGGGTCTTAAAGTGACACATATCATCTCTGCTTACATCTTTTTGGCTAGAGAAAGTTACATGGCCTTGTCTAACTTAAAAGGGGAGAGAGAATTGCAATTGTAATCCTACTCTGTACCCAGAAGGAGAAAAACCACAATATTTGCAAATATCCTTCATGGTTACCACAGGCTGGAAGCTGATGATATAATCTTCTAACACACAGTCCAGTTTTGGCCTACAAAGACCCCCTTTTTCAAAGTCTCAAAGTCAGTGTCAGCAGCTACCCCCAGGCCTCTGGTTTGGAATTAAGTTTTCAGACTAGGTATTTTATTTTCTTCTCACTTCCCTACTCAATTATATTTTAAGCAGATGGGTGATCCTGTCAACCTTAAGAAAATAGCAGGAAGAAACAAATTTATGTGAAACACCCCACATTCTAATTAAATTTTTCTGCCACCCCAAGGTTTGAGCTTGGATGCTGATTTGCACTTAAAGAAAATCAAAATACAAGCCCAAATTCAAGAAAGCTTGCAAAATGCTTTCATGTTGTTCTCCTCAGTTGACATGTAAATGAAAAGAACCCTTTTATTTTCCCCCACAGCAAACACCTTTTTTTTTTTGTTGCTTGATGGCTTGGAACACGATTCTGTTTAAAGACAATTCAAAGCAGCTTCTAAATGCAGAAATCCAGTGAAGCAGGCCAAGCAGAAGATGTAGATGGAAGGTTAAGTGGGGCAAATCTTAATCAGGCTAGAGAAATGTGGCCAGGACTGCAACTTGAGGCTCAACCCAATACTCCAAAAGATCTACCATCACAACCCTCCACTCTGTCCCATTTCCACCAAATAAAGTGAGGCTATGTTAGTTGTCTGTTTCAGTATAGCAAGTAACTCCAAAGCTCAGCTACTGCAAACAACAAATGGCTATTATTTCCCACAGTTTCTGAGGGTCAGGAATTCAGGAGTGGCTTCGGTCAAGCTTTTGGCAAGGGCTGCAGTTACCTGAAGGCTTGACTGGGGTTGGAGTATCCTTCCAAAGCCCACGGTTGTGATTGTTGGAGGGTGTCAGTCAGTTCCTTGCAGGGTTTCAGCCAGAGGGCCTCAGTTCCATGCCATGTGGTCCTCTCCATAGAGTCATTCACAACATGGCTGCAGGCATCCTCAAGTGATCAAAAGGTAGGTCAAAAGAACAATCAAGACAAAGTCACAGTGTTTTATAACCTGATCTTGGAAATAAAATACTTCACTTCTGCTGTGTTCTGTGGGTCACACAGACTCTAGTACAGGTCGGAAGAGGAATACACAAGGATGTGAACATCAGGGGGTAAGGATTATTGGGGGTCATCTTGGAGAATGGTTACTGTATGCAGGATATGTCTATGTATGCATACACACACACACACACACACACACTTTTTCTTTTTCTTTTTTTTCCCTTAAATCAGGAAATAAGAAAACAAACAACATAGTACCTACTACGGCCAAGAACTGGGCCGGATGATCTGTACAGGTTCTCTCAGTCCTTACAATAACTGCAAAATGGCTGCTGTTATAATACCCATTTCACAGTTGAAGACACTGCATTTAGGAGTGATTAAGTAGCTAAATGCTATCTGGGTGGGAAGTGGTAGAGCCAGGGCACTGCCACTGGGAAATCTGTCTCATGCAATACACTTTCTGGAGCTATTTGATTGCCAGGTAAGGGTAAGGAGAGCATCATGTAATCCTGAGAGTAGCCTTGGAAGTTAGCCCAGTTGGGCCTCAACTCTAGATGCAGCCACTCACCAGCTGTGTGGACTTTGGTAAGTTACCCGATGTCTCCCAGCTTCTCCGTCCTCATCTGTAAGATGGGGATGAAATTAAAAGTGCTCACTGCACAAGGTTGTTGTGAAGATTAAATCGGGTGAAGATGTCGACTGCCTAGCTTAGTGCCTGGCATGGAGTGAGGGTTCAGTAAATGCTGGGTGTTACAGTTTTGAGCCCTAGGCACTGCTACAGGCTAAAACAAATCCCTTCTCCCTGCTGTACCTCAGTTTTCCTATCTGAGAAATGAAGGAGTTACATAATATGCCCAAGGTCACTTCTAATTCATAGTCCATGAAATTTTGTTTTAAACATACTTTTTATCTGAGCCTTGGAGCTGTGCTAAGTAGTGGGAAACCAAAGTATCCTCTAATTATGTCATGCTGACAGGTTGAGGTTTTCTTCACTTTAGCTAGAATTCGAGGGAAGTGGGTTTTAGCTTTCTCCCTAATATTCTATATTTGAAATGTCAAAAGGAGGCTTTGAGGAATAGGGGAAAGCATGCTGGGAAAAGGACTCTGGAGTCTAATCTTGATATGGGCTCTGACTGGCTGTGTGATCTCAGGGAAAGTTCTTGTCCACTCTGTTCTTGTGCTTGCTTATTTTTTCAGATGAGGACAAAAACTTTTGCCCTGGTTCTTTAGAGGGATGCCTTATGGCCAAATGAAATTGAGACACACAATACAAATGGAGCAAATCCTTAGAGATGGAAATATCTAAGGAGGCATTGGGGCTGGGAGGCTCTGGAGGGTGGTTCCTCATGCCTTTCCCTTCATAATGAACATTCTGGGTCTTTTGCACACACAGAGGTGGAAGAGTTGTGGCAATTAACTTCTAGAAAAAAAAATCACCATTCGAAAATGCCAAGGACCTTTTAACACACCTTTTTCTAATGGATCTCTCAGAGGAAGAGGCAGTGAGAAAACAATTTTACATTGTCTTTAACCTCTGAGGGGAAGAAATGCTGGCTGTCTTGGATGAATTTCGTCGACTTGGTGCAGAGCAGAAACCAGGGCTCAGGACATAGTGGAGAATGAGAGGAAAGGAAAGTGAATTGTGAGCGTGTGCATTTTCCTTCTCTGTGTTCATTCCTCTAAGTTGGACAGTTCAGAACCAGCTCTTATATTGGCTGCTTTGAACTCTTGTACTGCCTGGTTATCACATATCCTGTTTTGAACTGATGGCTGTGGGTTGCCCTTGTTTCTCCAGCTACTCTGTCTGCATTTTGTTATCTGTACCAGCCCTTATGAGTGTAGAATTGTGACCCACCATGGATGAGTGGGTCTGATGCAGCCCCTATTTCATGTCGTGAGCTGGTTTGAAACCCTTCTGTTGTTATGTGGTGATTGCATTCCTAGACACCTCTGTCACCTCCCATACCCAGACGCAGAGTACAATAGACCCATGGCTCTAACAACGTCTTCATCCTATCCCTTATAGCTGTGTCTGAAACACTTTTAAAAAAATTTATTCAGTTTTTTTATTTGTACAAATGCATGGCATACATGTGCAATTTTGTTTCATGCATAGGTTGCATAGTGATCATATTAGGGCATTCATTTATTTATTTAGGTAGAGTCTCACTCTGTCACCCAGGCTGGAGTGCAGTGGCGTGATTTGGCTCACAGCAACCTCTGCCTCCTGGGTTCAAACTATTCTCCTGCCTCAGCCTCCTGAGTAATTGGGATTACAGGCACGTGCCACCATGCCCAACTAATTATTTCTTTTTTAAAATTTTTAGTAGGTGTGGGGTTTCACCATGTTGACCAGGCTGGTCTTGAACTCATGACCTTAAGTGATCCACCTGCCTCAGCCTCCCAAAGTGCTGGGATTACAGGTGTGAGCCACCATGCTGGGCCCCATTAGGGTTTTTGAGGTCTCCATCACCCAACCGGTTCACTTCTGGTCTTCTGTAGGGAGATGTTTATTTTGTTTTCAAGTGAGGCTCGAGTGAAGTGGTTTGTGAGCCAATCACAACACTGTCTTGACTGGATATACCATTTTACGTCATTTTGAAATTCCTCTCACAGTTCTTAAATTGACATTATATTGAGATAATTGTGGATCCACATGCATTTGTAAGAAATAATAGAGTGATCTCATATGCCCTTTATCCAGTTTCTCGCAGTGCAGTATTTTGCAGAACTGTAGTACAATAGGATATTGACTCTCATGTTTTTAAGAGAATTTTTAAAAATGCACTCAGGGAATTCAGGGGGCAGGGCACACACCTCTGCCCTCAGGCTGTGCAAGCACTGGCCTGTGGGCCTGGAGTCAGGGGCATGGGTAGCAATCTGACCCGGCTCTGTCACTGCTCCCTGTGGGGGCTCCCTGGGGCTCAGCTTCCCCACCAGTAAGATGAGGGGTGGGATGAGAAGATTACTGAGGTTTCTTTTAGCTCTACCATTTTATGATTTTACACTTCACTCATGAGAGCCCCTGGGGTCAGCCTGCCCTGGTCTTTTTATTAGATAAATTGTATCTTACTTTGAGCCTACAGAACCAGAGTCAGATGAGTCTGAATTGGACATCTGTTTCTGGGATCTTCTCAGCATCCACACTGCATTTCCTTAAGGGACTCATCTCCTGCCCTCCTTGGCTCTTGTGATTTAGCTGGGGCAGACCCTGCTTCCCGGGCTCTAGGATTGGCTCTACGATTGGCTTATTGTTCTAATTAGATATTTTCGTTCTATTTGTGGATAGGTTCATGTTAGGAGGCATGACCTAAGCCAGCCCATGAGAAGCCATCTAAGGAGTTTTATGAAAACAGTCGAGAAGGGAGAAGGGTTTTCCCCTATGAGGATATTTCAGGGGTAGGGGTTAGGATGGAGACCTGGTGCTTCAGGCAGTCATTTACCACCTCAATGAAAGAGCTTGCTCAGAACTAGATCAAAGCAGAGGAATGTGGGGCTGACAGATGAAGAGAGAGACATGGACAAACAGTCCCAGAAATATCAATGCATCTGCTGGAGGTCGCGTAGCTATTCCCAGTGGCCCTTGAAGTAAAGGAAGCCTCACTTTACCCATTAACTCAGGTGAGTAATGGTTATTTCCAGGCGAGAAGAGAGATCTGCTGACTTCATGCATTTGGTTCTGGGGGTGGCTCTGCAAGGAAGGCTAGATGGGAGGGGGAAAGTTTGCATGCACCTGCAGGCTTGGGATTCACAGTGAACTGGTGGGTTTTTCACTTTCTTTGAAGAGCCCAAAGGCATTTACTGACATGATCTCATTCGTTTTCAGCTGCAATTGAGTGAAGTCACCTTGATGCAGAAGTGTTTTCTCTTCTCATTCCTGTTAGGAAACCAAGTTACAGCTGAAGCCAGGGCCTTCTCCTACCCGACTCCCGCGGCCCATTAAAACCTACGTGAGCTTATCTGATACCTTCAAGCCCTGTTTTGTGGCCCCATCTCCTCTTCAGGTATTGTACAGAGTGACTCACAGATAGCATCCCTGAGCCATTTCTCAGGGAGACAGTGATTTATTGAGATAGAGGCAATAATGTGCTAATTCTAGCAGCCAGTCCAGGCCTCATTAGCATCTAAGTTTCCTGGAGTTCAGCTTTAATCACACATGGGAAGAGTTTACCACCAAGGGGTTCTCATACCTCCTGTTCCTTTTGCATGAGTCTTCTGGAAAGCCTTGGCACTTGTTGAGGTGGTGATGGTAAAGTCAGGGCAGAGGGTTTCAACTGGGGGTGTGAATTATGTTCACCTGGAGAAACTTAAATCTGTCTACTTATCCATCCATCCGTCCACCTATACATTCGTTCATCATCTTATTATTTACTTAAATAGATAAGACAAGCGTGAAGTAAAAATGAAAACAAAGCTTTCTAGTCTGTAAAATAAGCATAATGATAACATCTACCACATAGAATTGTTATAATAATGAATTAAATTATTGTATATAAAGTGCCTAGAATAGGGCTTGGTTCATAGTAAGTTGTAATAGACATGGTAGCTATTATTATTAATGTGAATCTTACATCCCATCCCTCAATCACCTAGTACCCTTCCCATTGCAGATTCTAGAGATTATCTGCATACATAAATATGTACACACACACACACACACACACACACACACACACACTCCACCTCTGGACAGACTGACTCTAAAAGCTATAGAAAATTTCAAATGCCATCCAGGGTTGGGAATCTCAGGATTGGAAGCTGAGCAAGACTCTGGGGAATGTCAGGAATTAGAGTGTAGAGCCACTAAGGTAAGAAGGAAGTGACTGTTTTTCTACAAGGGCAAAAGCTAGGAGGACTGCCTGGAAGGGGAGCTCCTTAACTATGTTCGGTATGGCTGTGAAAGAAACAATAACAATCATCACAACAGCTAGAGTTGTGAGACATTATCCTGTTATCTCAGAACTCTAGCTAAAGCCTTACACTCAGGAAAATAGGCACTAAGAACTTCCACAGCCTAAAGACAGCAGCAAGGGAGCCACCAGACTCATTCCCCAGGATAAACTAAGAGGTGACAGAAATGCTTCTGCTGCCGTCACCACCCTGCCCTCCTTCTCCATGCGAAGAAATTTGTAGGAGCCATGAGTCATCAGTCTAGTGGGGGTTATGTGTTGTTTTGATAGTGGGCTTCCCCCCTTGGTACTTGCAAGAGGGCATAAAAAAACTCTGTATAAAGAAAGGGAGGCAGGCATCTCATTCCCCGACATGGCACTTGCTGATTTGATAAAACCTGTGGTCCCTTCTGGAGTTGCCAATGCAAGAATCCTTGGATAGCCCAGCCAGTATCCTCAGGAGCTTGGGAATATACAGCAATGGAGAGACTGGAGCCAGCTTCTGTCTAGAGAACTCTGGAGGTGGGAGGCCAGTGGGAGCAGTTCGCACTAGCAGGGAGGGAGAGAAGGTAGTCATGGTATAGGCACTTTGCTCCATTCGGTGTGGCAAGCATATGCTTCCTATGGGCCCAGAGATGCTGCAGAATGTAGGTGGGCTTGGGTCTTGGCAGCAGGACTTAGCCAAGGAGACCACCTGGCAGGTAAGGGGCCTTGCCAGCCAGAGACTAAAGAGTGGGAGCTCAGGGGTAGGAATCTGAGAGTGGGTTGGGAGAGGTCAGCTGGAGGGCATTGTCCATGTTAGAGACCAGTGCAGTGGCTTCCTGACTCCTCCCCATGAAACCCTAAAGAATGACAATATTCAGATGCCTATGGAGAGGATTGAGGGGGAAAAGAAGACTTACAGCAGCTTCAGTTAGGAGAAAAGACTCTGCATCTCTTTCCCTATTTGTCTACAAGAGAAGCTAGAGCCCAGAAGAGGAATGTGGGGAGAAAGGAGAGTGGCCTATTCTGTCTTTCTGCACTGGTTAGGCCTGAGCAAGAGGACAGGGAGGTTCCTCAGGTTGGGTTCCTGTAGAGGCCCACTCAGGTCAAGGATTCCAATGTAAGGAGTTTATCTGAGGGGCGATCCCAGGAAGTGTGGATAGGGAAGTGGGAATCCAGTCAGTCAGGGAAGGAAGCCAGGGAAAGGTGCCATGTTTAGCAGGTTACTGCCATGGATCATGTAGCTCAATCCACCTGAGAGTTGTCCACTCAAGGGCAACTGGATATTTATCTTCCAACCACCTTCTGTCACTGAGGGTTGCTCCTACAGCTGCCACCCATTCCCACATCTGGTGTACCTAGTATGTGAAAGTAAGTCCTCAGGCCCTTGGGTGCTCATGGCATGTCCTAGAACCATAAATTCTGGGGAGAGGGGACGCTGACAGCCTATTGCAGGGAGCAACCTTACATAGGGTATGGGTTAAAGTTTTGAACTGGACTGAATCGGACTGAGCCAGACTGGATTGACAAGGAAGTGGTGAGATTAGCTGGTGAGGTCAATAAGGGATAGTAAAGGGAGATTCAGCAGAGTGTCTGTGAAGGCAGTCCCAGGAAAAAAGTAAAGCTATTGCAGGTCACCTGCTGAGTCCAGATGGTGAAAGGTACTGAGATCACTGGCATTAAGTACAAGCCTAATGCTGTGTGGGTCACCCTAAGTGCTCATCTCATGTAATCCTTACTGTGACCCCATGAGGCAGCTTTGCTTCTCTTCCTGTCTTACAGATGGGTCAGCTGGGCTCTGGAAGGTTAAGTAACTTGCCCAAAGTCACTCAGCTACTCAGTGGCAGAGTCAGGTCCTGAGCCCAGGTTTGCTTCCAGAGCCCACACTCTTAACCACTGTGGCAGAGACTCCTGACTGCCTGTCAAATATGCATTTCCTCCTTCTTTCTTAGTAACGAAACTTTGGTTTTATTTCAGATGGCAATGTGCCTAGCTACACTACATTTCCTGCCTCCCTTGCAGCTAGAGGTGGCCAATGAGATATAAACAGATGCTGTAAGGTGAGACTTGAAAGAAAACCCCTTGAGAAGTAAATGTATGGATAGCATGTGCCTTTTGTGCCCATTTTCTTATTCTACTCCTGAACTAGATGTACTAGGCTCATTTTCCTTTTGTTTCTTCCCTCACATTGACACAGACATGATGTCTAGATCCCTAGCAGTCATCCCAGACCATGAGATAACTTTGAGAAGGAACACCATGTACAAAGGACTGTGCAGAAGAGGGTTGGCAGGAGCCTGGATCTCTGATGACTTCACCCTTGACTGCCCACCTCACCAGGCTGTACAAGCCACTGTTACTGGCAGATGAATGCAAGTTCTAAAACATACAACTACTGACCTACTGAATTTTCCAAGGAGCACATTTCCACTGGAGACATTTGGTGCCTGCAGAAAATACTTACTGAGGAATTTCTATGGGACCAGCCTGAAGTAGAAGCCACTGAAGAGAGGCCCTGAAGCAGCTTTTCTTCCTTATCCCAGAGACCAACATGGTTACCCCAGCCCAGAGTCACCCTCCTTCCTCTAAGCTGTCAAAACCCTGGCTGCCTTTACAATGATTCTGACAATGAATCCCACCCTGCTGGTGATGTCTATTGCTTTACTGTTAAACTTTTTAAGGGTTAAAATTCCTTTTTATTTTTCTTTTTAAATTGATTAATAATAGTTGTACCAATTTGGATGGTACCTGTAATATTTTGATACCTACATACAATGTGTGATGAACAAATCAGAGTAATTGGGCTAGCCATCACCTCACACATTTATCTAGGGCTGAAATCCCTGAAGGACAGGATTGTGTCTTACAAATTGTGTATTCTAATCTGCATTTACATTTCAGAAATTCTGGACTAAGTAGGCAAACCAACAGAAACTCTTGCTATGAAGATCTGGAGGTTTCCTGGAGGAAGTGGTGAATAGGGCCTTGGGACTGATGTTAAAAGCCCTGGAACACAATAGGGAGACTCCTGAACTAGGAAGAAGTCAAAAGCTCTGGTAGCAGCCCCCACAAATTAAGAAACCTACTCAGAGTAAAAGAAACAGGCCATGGTGGGTGGCCGGGGAGCAAGGAATATTTGTGAGTAACCCCAGATGGTGGCAATCATTTAATGCCCTCCATCCCTCTCAGTGTATATTAGGTTATGTTTTTTTTTTAGAAAATGGAGGAAGGGTTTTACTATGTTGCCTAGGCCAGTCTCAAACTCCTAGGCTCAAGCGATTCACCTGCATTGGCCTCCTAAATTGCTGGGATTACAGGCATGAGCCACTGTGCCTGGCCCAAGAAGTCTGAGCCAGACGTTGCTGCATAGGTCAGAACTCTGTGGGCTATGAATGTAAGATATTCACGAGTCACATCTATTCCATTCATTGGCAAACACTTACCTGAAACCATACAGCAAAAGAGATTCTGGAAAATGTACCTTCCAGCCTTAGAAGAAAGTGATGGTGGTGCCCAGTTGACCCCAGGCAAGCCGGCCCAGGAATGCAGACATTTTGGACTGCTCATCTTTTACTACTTTGTGTAGCCTTTCACAGAAGAATTACACAAGAACTTGACTCTTGATTCCAAGGATTCTGGAAGAATGCCAACCAAACTGAAGTCTACAAGCCTAACCATGTTATGAAAAGGCTGGATGTGACATGGTGAATCCTCCTTAGATGTGTTAACTAGGGTTAGGGTACCAGTGACATGCAAGGGGTTGGCCATTTGATTAAGTAGAGGAGGCATGAGTGAAAGCAGCACACCTCCACCCTGCTCAATGGCCATCATCACCTAGCCAGGCTGTGAGCCTCCATGGAGTGGGTAGCTGAGAACCCACAACCCACAATATATCTTCTTTCTGGCCCTGTTAACATGGACCTGTCTCTATGAGGTGATGGTTGATATCCAGCTAAGTATGGCCCTCTTAATAGTAATGTGGGTGGCTTTATTCATATTGGCTTCATGATAAATGGTATCACTGAGCTGACTTCTCTATGTTTTAGATAAAACAAAAATAAAAGACAAAAAAAAAAAAAAGAAAAAAAGCAAAATGACACAGGCAGTCTTGCTGCCAGACACATCTGCAATCAGAAAGCTTGGAAAATTAGACTTGGAAATGGCTTGAAAAAACCTTTAAACTTTTTCTGAAGAGCAAGTACAGGTTTGTCTCTGGGGTCAGTTCTAATTCTTTGACCAGCTAATTTTAAGTGGCTGTATCTCGAAAAAAGTGACAGTGACATTTTGGTACTCCAGCTGAACTTTTAGATTAGTCACTGATACAACTGCAACTTTTGGCCTATTTGAAGGATTTTAAGGGCAGGATAAATAACAAAACCCAACAGTCTTAGCCTGAGTTTCCCAGAAATCAGAGCCTGAGACAAAGGCTTGCCTTTTAAGATTATCTGAGAATGTGATCTTAGGTAGCAAGAGTACAGGGTAGGGGAGTGATCAGGGAAGGAGGGAAAGCTAATGCAACATGGATTATTACGTTGTCTACTACTATGGACAATTGTTCATGTGGACTATGCTGTGGACTACCATATGGACTACCACTATCACTATGGATACAAGTCCTGCTTGGAATTTTTGGGGAGATTTATGGAAAGTACTAGAGAACTGTTTGTCCAAAGGACCAAAGATGGAAACATTTATCCATTGGCTCCAGGTCCCCATTGGTCAAGGATGACTTGGTTGCATTTCTAAGTAATGTATGCTGAGCACAGAGCAGATTCAAGTGGTTGCCCTGAGCTGCAGATACCTCTGGGCAGGAAATGAGAGATACTCAGTGCAGACCTAGAGTGAGACCCGTGATCTGATTGCACCAGCATAGAGATGGTCAAAACCTAGGTGGAAGCAGTTTCTTCAGTTGTAACTGGAGATAGAGGTGGGATTGAGAGGATTTTAAAAAGGGGCCCAGGAGTTATCTAAAGCACCAAACAGTAAGTATACATTAACTATGTTCTGGGTGTTGGGCACAAGCATGGGAGGTAGAGCAGTGACATGATAAAGCCTTTACTCTTCCCCAAATATCTATACTTTCTCTAATATAAAAAATCTTAAGTATATGAAAAATATCACATTTATTATAAAATGTAAACTGCAATGACATCTGAGAGAGTTATATGTTGAAATTTAAATTCACATTGAGATATAAATGTTAGATACAGGTATTTTACCCCAAGTAAGGCTTTACTAGGGGAAGGAGGAAGTGCACAAGAATTCTGGGAGTCTGATGTAGTTGTGAATCAAAATTTCCAATCCTTATATATATTTTTATTATCAGCCTTGCTTTGCCTAGTGCCTATAATCGTGTGAGAACTTGCCCTGTAGCCCCCCATGAGTGGCCCTTTTCCCTAGTCATCCTTCTTTGGCTTTAGCCATGAGGAGCCTGATGTGAGGAGAGAACTCAGCAAATATTTAAGTAAATATTTATGGAATGACATGAATGAATACAAAGTTATAAATAGAACATTATCTTATTCTACTCCTGGACTAGATGTACGACCAAACAAACTAGAATAGATTTTGCATAGATTAAATTTCACCTTTCTGACCTCCCCAAGCAAGTGCTTCTCTGTTTTTTTCCAGACCACCATGTATATTCAGTAGCTGTAGCCCTTATTTTCTGTTTTAGTTATTCAAAGCTTGCTGGAATATGAGCTCCTGAAGGGCAGGGGCCATTTCTTATTAATCTTTCTGTTGTCAGTACTGAGCAAAGTCTACGGTGCCTAGAAATGTTTAATTAATGAGAATCTGAATCAAGACTATAACCATACAACCTCAATAATGCAATTAAAATGAAGAATCTGTGGAATAAAATGACTGAAAAGCATACCTTGGGAATACATATCCCAGCTGAGAGACTATAGGCAAGTCACTGAATTTCTGTGTCTCAGTTTCTCCAAGTGAAAAATGAGAGACCAATCAGGGTTAGAGGATATGTGATGTGCATACTGTCACTCTGTTTTCTGTGTCTTGGTTGACATTTCTAATAAATCATGACTTTTCTTCACACTGATTTCAGATATAAGCTTAGTAGTCTCAATTCACTTCAGTCAGCTTCTTTGAAATTCATCAGAAATATTTTTAAAAGCATAAATCAAATGATATCTTTCCCCTGCTTAAAACCCTCTAAGAACTTCTAATTCCATCCTGATGGCAAACTAGGGTCATCTAAAAAATCTCCAGCTATATGTCCTTAGAAATGCTACCCAAACTATAGCAACAAGTCAAAATGCATGGTGGATCCTTTAGTAAAGAAAGGAAAATCACCAGGTGCCAGAAAAAGGAATGAAACTGAAAAACATAGGGAAAAGCATATGAGCTTATGCTGTGGCTACCCTGGAAGAAGTGTGGAATGAGTGGTTTGGTGTATTATTACACCGGGTAATTAAGGTTTTGGTCAAATTAGAGGATAAGAGATGCAGTCTTCAGTTTAAATGAATCAGGGAGTTGGAACTGAAAACTCTACATGAGCTAGGATGCTTGAAGGGCTGACCTATAGAGAGGGTGCTAGAGAAAAAAATTACAACTGTTAACATGAAGAAAAAAGGAAGTGTTTCTTTGCTTTGGCTCTGGGCAAATAATGATAATAATAATTATTCTTGAAAAATTTACAACTTTATTCTGTGCTTTATGGAAAATTAGAATTCAAATATGTTCTTTCCCAGTTCTCCATGAAACCAAAACTGCAGAATTAATATACAAATTGTTCTTAAGTGAATGTTACTCCTTGGATTCCTGGCAAAAAAAACACACAATTCTTGTGGAGGAACATTTCCATTACTCCCATGCCACAGGAGCTCCACAGATTAAGCACAACTGAAGATGAAACCACAACCCAAAATTACAAAACTCACAAAAAACAAAACAACATTAGAGAGCCAACAGACACAACAATATTAGATAATTAATATTTCTAAGTACCTGGGACATAGTAAGTTTTATATAACGTTTGACTGATAAATAAATATTAAAAAATGAACATACCAGGAATGTAGGTTAATGGAGAAATTCGTAATAAACTTTAAAGTAGGAGGAATTAAAATGATTAAAGATATAAAAGCAGGAATAATTTACATAAAAAAGACACTATGATAAGATAATAGGCAGGCTTGAAGATCCATATAGAACTTCTAGAAAAAAATGTTATTTGAAATAAAAAGCTCAATAAAGAGTGGTTTGAATAGAGCTGAGAAAATTGAGTGCATCACAGAGAGGTTAAGATATAGTAATATGAAAAAGGTTAAGAGATGTGAACAATAGAATTAGGAAGTGTAATGGGAATTTCAGAAGAAGAGAATAGATAATGAGAAAGAGGCAATATTCAGGAATAATGGTCCAGTTTTTCAGAATTAATCAAAGACAGAATTGAAGAAGTACATACAGTCATGAGTAGGAAAACTATAATAAATACACATTGTAATGAAATTATAGAACTTAAGAACAAAAAATAGTTTGGTAAATTCCCTCTTTTAAAAGATAGAGACCTACTGAATGGATAAAAACAGAAGGACCTCATTATATGCTGCCTACAAGAAGCTCGTCTCACCTGTAAAGACACATGTAGATAAAAGTGAAAGTATAGAAAAAGATATTTTATACAAGCAGAATCCAAAAGTGAGGAGGAGTAGCTATACTTATAATATCAGACAAAACATGTTCTGTAAAACTTCATGTTCTGTATCAGACTTCATGTTCTGTAAAAAAATGAATGACATTATAAAATAATAAAGAGATCAATTTAGCAAGAGAATATAACAATTAGAAAATATATGTACCCAATACTGGAGCACTCAGGTAAATAAAGCAAATATCATTAGATCTAAAGGGAGAGATAGGCCATAATACATGTAATAGTTGGGGATGTCAATATGCCTCTATCAGCATTGGACAGAGCATCTAGACTGAAAATCAACAAAGAAACATCAGATTTAAACTGCACCATAGACCAAATGGACATAACAGACATTATAGAACGTTTCACACAACAGCTGTAGAATATATATGTTTTTCATCAGCATATTGAACATTCTCCAAGATTGACCATATGTTAAGGCATAAAACAAGTCTCAAAAAATTTTAAAAATTAAAATCATATCAAGTATTTTATCTAACTACAATGGAATGAAACAAGACCAGTAATAAGAGGAACATAACAAAACTACACAAATAAATGGAAATTAAACAGCATACTCTGGGATGACCAATGTGAGAAGGAAAAAATTAAGAATAAAATTCAAAAATTTATTGAACCAAATGAAAATAAAAACACAACATAGCAAAACCTATGAGACACAGCAAAAATAGTATTAAGAGGAAAGTTTATAGCAATAATGCCTACATCAAAAAGATTTTAAATAAACAACATAATGATGCACCTCAAAGATCCAGAAAAGCAAGAACAAACCAAACCCGAAATTAGAAGGAGAAAAGAAATAATAATGATCAGAGCAGGGCTGGATTGTGTGGCTCACACCTGTAATCTCAGCACTTTGGGAGGAAAAGGCAGGAGGATTGCTTGAGCCCAAGAATTTGAGACCTGCCTGGGTAACATAATAAGACTCCGTATCTACAGAAAAAATAATGAAAACAATTAGTCAGGGATGGTGCAACACACCTGTAGTGCCAGCTACTAGGGAGACTTAGGTGGGAGGATTTCTTGAGCCCAGGAGGTCAAGGCTGTAGTGAGCTATGATCACACCACTGCACTCCAGCATAGGTGACCGAGTGAGACCCTGTCTCAAAAAAAAAAAAAAAAAAAAAAAAAATTAGAACAGATATAAACAAAATTGAGACAAAAATTGAAAATTGAGAAAAGATCAATAAAACAAAAAGCTGTTTTTCTGAAAAAAGAAACAAAATTAACAAACTATTAGCTAGATTAAGAAAAAAAGAGGCCGGGCGCAGTGGTTCACGCCAGTAATCCCAGCAATTTGGGAGGCCAAGGTGGGCGGATCACGAGGTCAGGAGATCGAGATCATCCTGGCTAATGTGGTGAAACCCCGTCTCTACTAAAAAATACAAAAAACTAGCCAGGTGTCGTGGCAGGTGCCTGTAGTCCCAGCTACTCAGGAGGCTGAGGTAGGAGAATGGCATGAACGTGGGAGGTGGAGTTTGCAGTGAGCCGAGATCACACCACTGCACTTCAGCCTGGGCCACAGGTGAGACTCTGTCTCAAAAAAAAAAAAAAAAAAAAGAAAAGAAAAGAAAAAAAGAGAGAAGACACAAATAAATAAAATCAGAAATAAAAAGATGTTACAATGAAAACCACAGAAATACAAAGGATCATTAGAAACTACTATGAACAACTGTACACCAATACATTAAAACACCTAGAGGAAATGGATATGTTTTTAGATGCATGCAACCTACCAAGATTGAACCAAAAAGGAACAGAAAACTGGAATAGACTGATAACAAGTGTCAATACTGAATTAGTAACAAAAAGCCTTCCAACAAAGAAAAGTCTAAGACCAGATGGCTTCTCTGCTGAAAACCGCTAAATACTTAAAGAAGACTTAATATCAACTATTCTCAAATTATTCTGGAAAATTTAAAGCAGAGACAATTCTTCCTAATTCATCCTATGAGACCAACATAACCTTGATACCAAAAACCAGACCAGGACACAACAACAGCAACATCAACAAAACTACAAGCCAATATCCCTGATGAACAGAAATGCAAAAATTCTCAACAAAGAATTAGCAAACTGAATCAAACAACACATCAAAAAAAAAAAAAAAAACACACAAGAATCAAGTGGAATTTATCCAGGAATACAAGGATGGCTCAGTGTACAGAAATCAAAAACCATCATACATCACATGAATAGAATGAAGAATAAAATCCATGTGATTATCTCAATAGCCACAGAAAAATTTTTTGATAAAACTCAATATCCCTTCATGATAAAAACTCTTAATAAGTTAGGTATAGAAGGAAAATACCTCAACATAATAAAGGCCATATATGACAACCCAAAGCTAACATTTTACTGAATGAGAACAAGACAAGGAGGCCAACTCTTACCACTTTTTTTCAACATAGTACTAGAAGTCTTAGAGCAATTAGGAAAGAGAAAGAAAGAAAGGGAATCCAAATTGAAAAGGAGTAAATGAAAATGTCCCTGCTTGCAGATGACGTGTTCTTATATATAGAAAAACCTAAAGACTCTACCAAGAAACTCTTAGAACTGATAAATAAATTTGGTAAAGTTGAAGAGTACAGAATTAGTACACAAAAATCAGTAGTGTTTCTATATATGAACAACAAACTGACTGAAAAAGAATTCCAGAAGGCAATGTCACTTACAATAACTACAAAAATATACCTATGAACAATCTTAAGGAGATGAAAGCCTCTACAAGGAAAACTACAAAACATGGATAAAGAAATTAAAGAGGATACAAATGAATAGAAAGACATACGATGCTCATGGATCAGAGGAATTAATAAGGTTAAATTGACAACACTACCCAGAGCAGTCTACAGATTCAATGCAATCCCTATCAAAATATTAAAGACATTCTTCCCAGAAATAGAAAAACAGTTCCAAATTTGTATGAAATTACAAAAGACTCACATTAGCCAAAGCAATCCTGAACAAGAAGAACAAAACTAGAGGTATCATATTATCAGAACTGCTACAAAGCTATAGTAACCAAAACAGCATGGTACCAGCATAAAATCAGACAAAATGACCAATGGAACAGAATACAAAACCCAGAAATTAATCTACATATGTATAGCCAACTGATTTTTGACAAAGATGCCAAGAACACTCATTGAAGAAAGGACAGTTTTGTCAATAAATGGTCCTGGGAAAACTGGGTATACATACACAGAAGAATAAACTAGACTTCCACCTCTCACCATCCCCCAAATCAACTAAAAGTGGACCAAAGATGTAAATGTAAGACCCCAAATAATAAAACTGCTAGAAGAAAACATAGGCAAAATGCATCAGGACATTGGTTTGGGAAATGATTTTATAAGACCTCAAAAGTACAGACAAAAAAGCAAAAATAAATAAATGGGATTAAATCCAACCATAAAATTTCTGCACAGTACAGAAAACAATCAAGAGAGTGAAAAGAACACCTACAGAAAGTGAGAATATTTGTAAACTACTCATCTGACAGGGGATTAATATCAAGAATATACAAGGAACTCAAACGTCGCAACAGCAAAAATATAAAATACATCAATAAAATAAGTAAACAAGTTGGTTAAAAATGGGCAAATGATCTGAACAGACATTTCTCAAAAGAAGACATACAATGGTAAAGAAATATATTAAAAATGCTCAACATTATTAATCATCAGGAAAATGCAAATCAACACCACGATGAGGTATCATCTCACCCCAGTTAGGATTGCTATTATAAAAAAGACATAACGTAACAAATGCTGGTGAGGGTATGAAGAAATGGGAACTCTTTTTCTCTCTTGGTGGGAATGTAAACTAGTACAACCACTATGGAGAATAGTATGGCAGTTCCTTGAAAAACTGCAAATAGAACTACCGTATGATCCAGCAATTCCACTATGGGGAATTTATCCAAAGGAAAGGAACTAATTGTATCAAAGAGACACCTGCACCTCCATATTTATTGCAGTACTATTCACAATAACCAAGATATGGAATCAACCTAAGTGTTCAACAACAAACCAATGAATAAAGAAAACATGGCATATATACACAATCGACTATTATTTGGCCCATTAAAAAGGAATGACATCTTGTCATTTATGGCAACAAAGACGGAACTGGAGGACATTTTGTTAAGTGAAAGAAGCCAGAAACAGAACGTTAAATATTGCATGTTCTCACTCATATGTGAAAACCAAAAAAAGTTGATCTTATAGAATTAAAAAGTAAGATAAAGGATACTAGAGGCTGGCAAGTGTTGGGGGAAGGGAGGGATAGAGAAAGATTTGTTAAAGGATACAAAATTACAGCTAGATAGGAGAAATAAGTTCTAGTGTTCTACACCACTGTAGGATGACTATAGTTAATGGTAATATACAGTTTCAAATAGCTAGAAGGAGGATATTGAACATTTCCAACACAAAGAAGTGATACATGTTTGAGATGATAGATATTCTAATTACTCTGATCTGATCACTATACATTACATGTATCAAAATATCATGGTGTACTCATGAATATGTACAATTATTATTTGTTGATTTAAAAAATAAAATAATTAAAGGAAAGCTGGAAAAATCCTTAAAAATAAAAAAATGTTTAAAGCAGTCAAAGAGAAAAGACAAACTCGTTATATACTTACAGCAGGTATTTCAACAGCAAGAATAGAGGCCAGAGAACATTGAAACAATACATTTCAAGTATAAGGAAAAATGTCAACCTAGACTTCTTTTAAAAAATAAAAAAATTAATTGTGATAAAATACACATGACATAAAATTTACCATTTTGGCCACTTTTAAGTGTATAGTTCAGTAGTGTTAAGTATATTTACATTGTTGTAAAACCAGTCTCCAGAACTTTCTCATCTTGCAAAACTGAAATCCTGAGCCCATTAAACAACTTTCCATTTCCCAATCCCTCCAGTCCCTGGAAACCACTATAATACTTTCAGTACCTTTGAATTTGACTACTCTACATACCTCATATAAGTGAAATCATATGATAGTTGCTTTTTTGTGACTGGCTTATTTCATTTAGCGTAATGCCCTCAAGGTTCAGTCATGTTGAGCATGTGTCAGAATTTTATCACTTTTTAAGGCTGAATAATATTCTATTACATGTTTATGTCATATTTTATTTGTCTATTCATTTATTGATGAATTGGTTTTTTTCTAACTCTTGGCTGCTATGTAAATAATGGTGCTATGAACATGGCTGCACAAATATCTTTTTGAGAACCTGCTTTTAATTTTTTTGGATATATACTCAGAAGTAGAATTGCTGAATATATGATAATTCCATTTTTAATTATTTGAAGAACCTCTATTCTGTTTTCCTAAGCAGTTGCACCACTTTACGTTTCTACCAGCAATGAACATGTTTCCAATTTCTAGATATCTTCACTAACACTTGTTATTTTCTGTGTGGTTTTTTAAAATCTTTTAAGAGTAGCCACTTCATGGAACTAGAAAAAGCAATCTTAAAATTCACATGGAACCAAAAAGACCCCATATAACCAAAGCAAGACCAAGCAAAAACAAAAACAAAAACCCCCCAAAACAAAACCAAATCTGGAGGCACCACATTACCAGACTTCAAACTACACTACAAGGCTATGGTTACCCAAACAACATGGTACTGTATCAAAATAGGCACATAGACCAATGGAACAGAATAGAGAACCCAGAAATAAGGCCAAATACATACAGCCAACTGATCTCCGAAAAAGCAAACAAAAACATAAAGTGGGAAAAGACACCCTATTTAACAAATGGTGCTGGGATAACTGGCAAATGAATAATAACATGAATGGGATAACATGTCACATGTAGAAGAATGAAACTGGATCCTCATCTCTCACCTTATACAAAAATCAACTCAAGATGGATCAAAGACTTAAATCTAAGACATGAAACCACAAAAGTCTTAGAAGATAACATCAGTAAAACTCTTCTAGACATTGGCTTAGGCAGAGTTTATGACCAACAACCCAAAAGCAAATCCAACAAAAACAAAAATAAATAAATGGGACCTAATTAAACTAAAACGCTTTTGCACAGGAAAAAAATCAGGAGAATAAACAGACAATCCACAGAATGGCAGAAAATGTTTACAAACTATGCATCCAATAAAGGACTAGTATCCAGAATCTACAAAGAACTCAAACAAATCAGCAAGAAAAAAAAAATCCCATCAAAAGTGGGCAAAGGACATGAATAGACCGTTCACAAAATAAGATATATAAATGGTCAAAAAACATACAAAAAAAATCTCAACATCACTAGTTATCAGGAAAATGCAAATTAAAACCACAATGTGATACAATCTTACTCCTGCAAGAATGGCCATAATCAAAACATAAAAAAAAATAGATGTTGGTGTGGATGTGGTGAAAAGAGAACACTTTTCCACTGTTGGAGGAATGTAAACTAGTACAACCACTATGGAAAACAGTGTGGAGATTTCTTAAAAAACTAAATGTAGAACTACCATTTGACCAAGCAATCCCACTGCTGGATATCTACCCAGAGGAAAATAAGTCATTACATGAAAAAAAAAAGCCACTTGTTTATAGCAGCACAATTTGCACATGCACACACATGTTTATAGCAGCACAATCTGGAATTGTGAAAATATGGAGCCAGCCTAAAATGCCTATCGACCACTGAGTGAATAAAGAAAATGTGGTATATATACACCATGGAATACTACTCAGCCATAAAAAGGAATGAAACAATGGCATTTACAGCAACCTGGATAGGGTTGGAGATCATTATTCTAAGTGAAGTAACTCAGGAACAGAAAACCAAATGTTCTCACTTATAAGTGGGAGCTAAGCTATGAGGATGCAAAGGCATAAGAATGATATAATGGACTTTGGGGACATGGGGGAAGAGGTGGAGAGGGGTGAGGGATAAAAGAGTACCCATTGGGTACAGTATACAATGCTCAGGTGATGGGTACACCAAAAATCTCAGTAATTACCACTAAGTAACTTATTCGTGTAACCAAAAACCACCTGTTCCTGAAAAACAATTGAAAAAAAAAACAAAACCTCAAAAAAAAAAAAAAAGAGTAGCCATCTGAGGGTATATGGTGATATTTCATTGTGATTTTGATTTGCATTTCTCTAATGATTAGTGATATTGAACACCTTTTCATATGCTTGTTGGCCATTCAGGTATCTTGTTTGGAGAAATGTCTGTTTAAGTTGTTTGCCTATTTTTAAATCAGGCTACTTTTTTCTTGTTGTTGTTGAGTTGTAGTTCTTTATATATTCTGATTTTTTAAAATAATTTTTATTTTTACCGTTTTTCTTTTAACAGTCTCAAGAAAACTAAATTCTGAATATTGATCTCACATTACATGTATAATGTGAAAATGTTTTTCACATTCCAGAGGTTGCCTGTTTACTATGTTGACTGTATACTTTGATGCAGAGTCTTTCATTTTGATGTAGTACAATTTATCTATTTTTGTTTTTGTTGTCTTTGTTGCTTGAGCTTTTGGTGTCATACCCAAGAAATTATTGCCAGATCCACTGCCATGGCGCATTTCCCCTGTGTTTTCTTTTAAGATTTTTATAGTTTTATGTCCTATATTCAGGTCTTTGATGCCTCTTTTTTTCCTTTTTTCTTTTTGAGACCGAGTCTTGCTATGTTACCCATGCTAGAGTGCAGTTGATATTCACAGGCGTGATCATGGTGCACTGTAGCCTTGAACTCCTGAGGGCTCAAGCAATCCGCCCACCTAAGCCTCCTGAGTATCTGAGACTACAGGGATGCACCACTGTACCTGGTTTCATTTTTTAACCTCAAATTTTTGTTTTCATTTCACACCAAGAATTTTTTATTCAACAAGTATATGGGTGAACCCTAAGAGTGAAAGTAAAATGGAGATATTTTAAAATAAACTTATTAAGACCATCACTGAAAAGTAACTCTAAAGGGTAACCTCAAGAACAAAAAAATAAAAGCTATGTGGAAGGAGCATAATACAAAAAAAAATTCGCTAACAAAAATGTTGGCAAACAGAGTGGTAAATATAAACAAAAATTAGGTAAAAACAAAGTGTACATAAAATACCAGATGACAATAACATGTAAGAAAGAAGAGGTTGGTGAATGTAGTTAACATGGTCTGAAACCCTAGTATCATTTGGAAGAAGGTAGAGGTACTCATTAATCTTACATTTTGTTAAGTCAGATATGCATGTGTATTAGGCAGGGTTCTATGTAGAAACAGAACCAATAGGATACACATTTTATGAGACTTGACTCACATAATTAGGGAAGGCAAACAGTCCCACAATCTGCCATCTGTAAGCTGGAGAGCTAGGAAACCTAGTGGGATAATTCAGTCTGAGTCTGAAGGGCTGGGAACCAAGGAGCTTATGTCTGAGAAGAAGAAGGGTGTCCTGGCTCAAACTGACAGCAACTTTGCCCTTTCTATCCATACTTTCAATGGCTTGGATGATTGGATTATGAGTGTTCTATCCATGCTCTCAGTGGATTGGATTATGAGTGAAATCTTTAATCGGGGTGATGATTCAAATAATAATCTCTTCCAAAAACAGCCAGAGAGACACATGGAGAAATAATGTTTTACCAGCTTTAAAAGCATTCCTTAGCCCAGAAAGTTGACACATAAAATTAATCATCACAGCATGTTAAAAGTTAAGAGAAAACACAAAAATAATAGAAATAGAATATTAGGGAGCCAGTTCCAAGATGGCCAATTAAGAACAGCTCCAGTCTGCAGCTCCCAGCGTGATCGACGGAGAAGATGGGTGAGTTTTGCATTTCCAACTGAGGTGCCTGGTTCATCTCACTGGGACTGGTTGGACAGTGGATGCAGTCCACAGAGGGCTAGCCAAAGAAGGGCAGGGCATCGCCTCACCCAAGAAGCATAAGGGGTTGGGGGATTTCCCTTTCCTAGCCAAGGGAAGCCATGACAAACTGTAGCTGGAAAATCAGGGGTCAGGGACCAACTTGAGGAGGCGGTCTGTCACTGCCACCCAAATACTGCAATTTTCCAATGGTCTTACAAATGGCACACCAGGAGATTATATCCCGTGCCTGGCTCAGTGGGTTCCACACCCACAAAGCCTTGCTCACTGCTAGTGCAGCAGCCCAAGATCGAGCTGTGAGGTGGCAGCCTTGCTGGGGAGGGGCCTCCAAAATTGCTGAGGCTTGAGTAGGTAAACAAAGTGGCCAGGAAGCTCAAACTGGGTGGGGCCCACCGCAGCTCAACGAGGCCTGCCTGCCTCTGTAGACTCTACCTCTGGGGACAGGGCATAGATGAACAAAAGGCAGCAGAAACCTCTGCAGACTTAAGCGTCCCTGTCTGACAGCTCTGAAGGGAGCAGTGGTTCTCCCAGCATGGTGTTTCAGCTGTGAGAATGGACAGACCTCCTCCTCAAGTTGGTCCCTGACCCGCATGTAGCCTAACTGGGAGACACCTCCCAGTAGGGGCTGAATGACACCTCATACAGCTGGGTGCCCCTCTGAGATGAAGCTTCCAGAGGAAGGATCAGGCAACAATACTTGCTGTTCTGCAATATTTGCTGTTCTACAGCTTCTGCTGTTGATACCCAGGGAAACAGGGTCTGGAGTGGACCTCCAGCAAACTCCAACGGACCTGCAGCTGAGGGATCTAACAGTTAGAAGGAAAACTAACAAACAGAAAGGAATAGCATCTACATCAACAAAAAGGACATCCACACCAAAACCCCATCTGTAGGTCATCAACATCAAAGAAGAAAAGTAGATAAAACCACAAAGATGGGAAGAAACAAGAGCAGAAAAGCTGAAGATTCCAAAAAACAGAGCACCTCTTCTCCTCCAAAGGATTGCAGCTCCTCGCCAACAAGGGAACAAGACTAGACAGAGAATGACTTTGACAAGTTGACAGAATTAGGCTTCAGAAGGTCGGTAATAACAAACTTCTCCAAGTTAAAGGAGGATGTTTGAACCCACTGCAAGGAAGCTAAAAACCTCAAAAAAAGGTTACACAAATGGCTAACTAGAATAAACAGTGTAGAGAAGACCTTAAATGACATGATGGAGCTGAAAATCATGGCATGAGAACTTCATGATGCATGCACAAGCTTCAATAGCCAATTCGATCAAGTGGAAGAAAGGATATCAGCGATTGGAGATCAAATTAATGAAATAAAGCAAGAAGACAAGATTAGAGAAAAAAGAGTGAAAAGAAACTAACAAAGCCTCCAAGAAATATGGGACTATATGAAAGGACCAAATCTATGTTTGATTGGTATACCTGAAAGTGACAGGGAGAATGGAACCAAGTTGGAAAACACTTTTCAGGATATTATCCAGGAGAAGTTCCCCAACCTAGCAAGGCAGGCCAACATTCAAATTCAGGAAATACAGAGGACACCTCAAAGATACTCCTCGAGAAGAGCAACTCCAAGACACATAATTGTCAGATTCACCAAAGTTGAAATGAAGGAAAAAATGTTAAGGGCAGCCAGAGAGAAAGGTCGGGTTACCCACAAGGGAAACCCATCAGACTAACAGTGGATCTCTCAGCAGAAACTCTACAAGCCAGAACAGAGTGGGGGCCAATATTCAACATTCTTAAAGAAAAGAATTTTCAACCCAGAATTTCATATCCAGCCAAACTAAGCTTCATAAGTGAAGGAGAAATAAAATCCTTTACAGACAAGCAAATGCTGAGAGATTTTGTCACCACCAGGCCTGCCCTAAAAGAGCTCCTGAAGGAAGCACTAAACATGGAAAAGAACAACTGGTACCAGCCACTGCAAAAACATGCCAAATTGTAAAGATCATCAAGGCTAGGAAGAAACTGCATCAACTAATGGGCAAAATAACCAGCTAACATCATGACAGGATCCAATTCACACACAACAATATTAACCTTAAATGGGCTAAATGCCTCCAATTAAAAGACACAGACTGACAAATTGGATAAAGAGTCAAGACCCATCAGTGTGTTGTATTCAGGAGACCCATCTCACATGCAGAGACACATATAGGCTCAAAATAAAGGGATGGAGGAAGATCTACCAAGGAAAGGGAAAGCAAAAGAAAGCAGGGATTGCAATCCTAGTCTCCAATAAAACAGATTTTAAACGAATGAAGTTCAAAAGAGACAAAGAAGGCCATTACATAATGGTAAAGGGATCAATTCAACAAGAAGAGCTAACTATCCTAAATATATATGCACCCAATACAGGAGCACCCAGATTCATAAAGCAAGCCCTTAGAGGCCTACAAAGAGACTTAGACTCCCATACATTAATAATGGGAGACTTTTAACAACCCACTGTCAATATTAGACAGATCAATGAGACAGAAGGTTAACAAGGATATCCAGGATTTGAACTAAGCTCTGCACCAAGCTGACCTAATAGACATCTACAGAACTCTCCACCCCAAATCAACAGGATATACATTCTTCTTAGCACCACATCGCACTTATTCCAAAATTGATGACATAGTTGGAAGTAAAGCACTCCTCAGCAAATGTAAAAGAACAGAAATCACAACAAACTGTGTCTCAGACCACAGCTCAATCAAATTAGAAAACAGGACTTAGAACCTCACTCAAAACTGCACAACTACATGGAAACTGAACAACCTGCTCCTGAATGACTACTGGGTAAATAATGAAATGAAGGCAGAAATAAAGATGTTCTTTGAAACAAATGAGAACAAAAACACAATGTACCAGAATCTCTGGGACACATTTAAAGCAGTGTGTAGAGGGAAATTTATAGTTCTAAATGCCCACAAGAGAAAGCAGGAAAGATCTAAAATCAACAGACTAAACTCACAATAAAAAGAACTAGAGAAGCAAGAGCAAACAAATTCAAAAGCTAGCAGAAGGCAAGAAATAACTAAGATCAGAGCAGAACTGAAGGAGATAGAGACAAAAAACCCTTCAATAAAATCAATGAATCCAGGTGCTGGTTTTCTTTTAAAGATCAACAAAAACTGATAGACCGTTAACAAGACTAATAAAGAAGAAAAGAGAGAAGAATCAAACAGATGCAATAAAAAGTGATAAAGGGGATATCACCACCGATCCCGCAGAAATACAAACTATCATCAGAGAATACTATAAACACCTCTACTCAAATAAACTAGAAAATCTAGAGGAAATGGATAAATTCCTGGACACATACACCCTCCCAAGACAAAACCAGGAAGAAGTTTAATCTCTGAATACACCAGTAACAGGTTCTGAAATTGAGGCAATAATTAATAGCCTACCAACCAAAAAAAAAGTCCAGGACCAGATGGATTCATAGCCAAATTCTACCAGAGGTACAAAGAGGCACTGGTGCCATTCCTTCTGAAACTATCCCAATCAATAGGAAAAGAGGGAATCCTCTCTAACTCATTTTATGAGGCCAGTGTCATCCTCATACCAAAGCCTGGCAGAGACACAACAAAAAAAGAGAATTTTAGACCAATATCCCTGATGAACATCGATGCAAAAATTCTCAATAAAATACTGGCAAACTGAATCCAGCAACACATTAAAAAGCTTATCCACCACTACCAAGTTGGCTTCATCCCTGGGATGCAAGGCTGGTTCAACATACGAAAATCATAAACGTAATGTGTCACATAAACAGAACCAAAGACAAAAACCACATGATTATCTCAGTAGATGCAGAAAAGGCCATTGACAAAATTCAACAGCCCTTCAAGCTAAAAACTCTCATAAAAACCCTAAAACTCTCAATAAACTAGATATTGATGGGATATATCTCAAAATAATAAGATCCAATATCATACTGAATGGGCAAAAACTGGAAGCATTCCCTTTGAAAACTGGCACAAGACGGGGATGCCCTCTCTCACCACTCCTATTCAACATAGTGTTGGACGTTCTGGCCAGGGCAATCAGGAAAGAGAAAGAAATAAAGGGTATTCAATTAGGAAATGAGGAAGTCAAATTGTCCCTGTTTGCAGATGACATGATTGTATATTTAGAAAACCCCATCATCTTAGCCCAAAATCTCCTTAAGCTGATAAGCAACTTCAGCAAAGTCTCAGGATACAAAATCAGTGTGCAAAAATCACAAGCATTCCTATACACGAATAACAGACAAACAGAGAGCCAAATCATGAATGAACTCTCATTCACAATTATTACAAAGAGAATAAAATACCTGGGAATCCAACTTACAATGGATGTGAAGGACCTCTTCAAGGAGAATTACAAACCACTGCTCAAGGAAATAAAAGAGGACACAAACAAATGGAAGAACATTCCATGCTCATGGATAGGAAGAATCAATATTGTAAAAATGGCCATACTGCCCAAGGTAATTTATAGATTCAATGCCATCCCCATCAAGCTACCAATGACTTTCTTCACAGAACTGGAAAAAACTACTTTAAAGTTCATATGGAACCAAAAAAGAGCCTGCATTGCCAAAACAATCCTAAGCAAAAAGAACAAAGCTGGAAGATTCACGCTACCTGATTTCAAACTATACTACAAGGCTATAGTAACCAAAACAGCATGGTACTGGTACCAAAACAGAGATATAGACCAATGGAACAGAACAGAGGCCTAAGGAATAATATCACACATCTATAACCATCTGATCTTTGACAAACCTGACAAAAACAAGAAATGGGGAAAGGATTCCCTATTTAATAAATGGTGCTGGGAAAACTGGCCAGCCATATGTAGAAAGCTGAAACTTGATCCCTTCCTTACACCTTATACAAAAATTAATTCAAGATGGATTAAAGACTTAAATGTTAGACCTAAAGCCATAAAGGCCCTAGAAGAAAACCTAGGCAATACCATTCAGGACATAGGCATGGGCAAGGACTTCATGACTAAAACACCAAAAGCAATGGCAACAAAAGCCAAAATAGAGAAATGGGACCTAATTAAACTAAAGAGCTTCTGCACAGCAAAAGAAACTACCATCAGAGTGTACAGGCCACCTACAGAATGGGAGAAAATTTTTGCAATTTACCCATCTGACAAAGGGCTAATATCCAGAATCTACAAAGAACTTAAAAAAATTTACAAGAAAAAATCAAACAAACCCATCAAAAAGTGGGCAAAGAATATGAAGACAGTTCTCAAAAGAAGACATTTTTGCAGCCAACAGACACATGAAAAAATGCTCATCATCACTGGCCATCAGAGAAATTCAGATCAAAACCACAATGAGATACCATCTCACGCCAGTTAGAATGATGATTAAAAAGTCAGGAAACAACAGGTGCTGGAGAAGATGTGGAGAAATAGGAACACTTTTACACTGTTGGTAGGAGTGTAAACTAGTTCAGCCATTGTGGAGGATAGTGTGGTGATTCCTCAGGGATCTAGAACTAGAAATACTGTTAGACCCAGCGATCTCTTTACTGGGTATATACCCAAACGATTATAAATCATGCTACTATAAAGACACATGCACATGTATGTTTATTGTGGCCCTATTCACAATAGCAAAGACTTGGAACCAACCCAAATGTCCATCAATGATAGACTGGATTAAGAAAATGTGGCACATATACCCCATGGAATACTATGCAGCCATAAAAAGGATGAGTTCATGTCCTTTGTAGGGACATGGATGAAGCTGGAAATCATCATTCAAAGCAAACTATCACAAAGGCAGAAAACCAAACACCACATGTTCTCACTCATAGAGGGGATTGAACAATGAGAACACTTGGACATAGGGTGGGGAACATCACACACTGGGGCCTGTTGTGGGGTGGGGGGATGGGGGAGGGAGGGCATTAGGAGAGATACCTAATGTAAATGATGAGTTAATAGGTGCAGCAAAGCAATATGGCACATGTATACATATGTAACAAACCTGCACATTGTGCACATGTACCCTAGAACTTAAAGTACAATAATAAAAAAGAAATAGAATTTTACTGTCCAATAGAATGCTAATAGAGTTCAAATTTTTAAATTAGGCTAGAAAAAGGAAGAAAGAAAACTCAGGTAATTCCATTGAAAATGTGCAGGTAGAAAACAATAAGGAACAATTATAGTAAATAGGAACTAAAGATAAAATAGTATATATAAATGGAAATAAACTGGTAATTATAATAATGGTAAATAAACCTTTACCAGTTAGAAAAAACATATACTCACATGTTGGAGTAGGAAACTCAGAAAATCAGACTAGAATTATCAAAAGCAAAGGAAATGTAAATATTGGTATATTCACATAATAGAGAAATATTATCTAAAAGTAACCAGCATAGTAATATTAATATCAGACCAAATATATAGGTGATAATATAAAAAGCATTGTTAAACAGGCACTTATCAGAAGAAGACACATACGTGGCCAAAAAACATATGAAAAAATTCTCAACATCACTTATTATTAGAGAAATGCAAATCAAAACCACAGTGAGATGTCATCTCATACCCATCAGAATGACTACTATTAAAATGTCAAGAAATAATAGATGCTGGCCAGGTTGTGGAGAAAAGGAAATGCTTATACACTGTTGGTGGAAAGGTAAATTAATTCAGTCACTGTGGAAAGTAGTTTGGCGATTTCTCAAAGAACTCAAAGCAGAACTAGCATTTGACCCAGCAAATGCATTATAGTGTATATATCCAAAGGAATATAGATCGTTCTACCATAAAGACACATATACATGTGTATATTCGTTGCAGCACAATAGCAAAGACATGGAATCGACCTAAATGCCCAATGATGGTAGAACGGATAAAGGAAATGTGGCACATACACACCAAGGAATACTATGCAGCAACATGGTTGGAGATAGAGGTTATTATCCTAAGTAAACTACCATAGGAACAGAAAACCAAATATCACATGTTCTCACTTTAAGTGGGAGCTAAACATTGAGTACATATGAACACAAAAAAAATGGAAAAATAGACATCGGAGCCTACTTGAGGATGGAGGCTGGAAGGAGAGTAAGGATTGAAAAACTACCTATCAGGCTCTATGCTTATTACCCGAGTGATAAAACAATCTGTACACCAAACCCCTGTGACATCCAATTTACCTATATAACAAATCTGCACATGTACTCTTGAACCTAAAATAAAAATTTAAGGATAAAGAGTTTTATGATATAATTGAAGGAGTATTTTCCTTACATATGCCTTATACTTACATAAATCTAATGATATAGCCTTCCAGACAAAGCAAAAACAAAAGAAAAAAGAATTACAGAAAAAAGTTGACAAATCCACAATAAATATAGAATGTTTTAATGCATTACTGTCATTAATTGGTTTTTCGATTAAGCCATGAAAAATTTAAACAACACAATTGCCTTCATTTGCTATTATGATTGTGGATATAATAGGTCTATAAGGAACACTGGACCTTTTGCAACAGTTCTAGAATATTCATTCTTTTCAAATACACCTCAAACAGTTACAAAACTTGACCAAGTACTAGGTTACAAAACAAGTCTCAAAATATACCAAACAACAAATGTTACACAAACGACATTCTCTGACCATATGTAATAAAATGATTAATCATTAACAAAACAATAATCCCATATCACTTGTACATTTATAATTTTTCTAAAAAGCACATTTAAAAATAATTCATGGGTCAAACAACAAGATAGAAACTAGGAAAGATTTAGTACTAAGCAACAATGAAAAAAATTGCACATGAAAATTGATAAGATGTAGCTAAAGCAATACTTAGGAATTTATAGCTTTAAATCTATGTACTGAAGGAAGAAGAAACAAATAGTATTTCAAAAATCATATTGGCAAAAATGTAAAACTTAAAATTTCAAATGCAGTCTAGAATTTGAAATGATAGAAACTTTCATAATGGAGCTGGAAGGAGTGTAAATTGATACTACTATTTTAGAAAACATCTTGGTAATAATTGTAGAGTTGGTTCTTTAGGACCCAACAATTCCACTACAAGGAAATAACATATCCTAAAGTAACTCACACTAGGCACAAAAAATTTACAAGAGTGTTCATAGCTACATTATTTATTATTGCAAAAAATTGAGACTCAACCTATGTGTTTATCAATGAGAAAGTAAACAAATAAATTGTGTATGTGTAAATAATAAATGAATGAATTGATACTATACACCAGTTAAGCAAACCATAACTGAGTTTATTTAGTTTAATCTCAACCACTTAATGTTGAGTAAGGAAAAAAGGCATCTTAGAAGGATATGTACTGTGTGATTCCATTTGTTTTTTAATTTTTACTTTAAAAATATTGGCTTTATTTTCTAGAGCAGTTTTAGGTTTACAGCAGTATTATAGCAATATCTGCTATAAATTTGAATTACATTTATTTTCAAGACATCAAAATAAGAAAGCAAACAAGAATATTTTGCATTAATTGTCAAAATAAGATTAATATTAGAACGTATATTTTATTATATTTTGTCTTGTTTATTTTTTTTAAGAAAGGGTCTCACTGTTGCCTAAGCTGGAGTGCAGTGACATGATTACTACTCACTGCAGCATCAATCTCCTGGGCTCAAGTAATCCTCCCACCTCAGCCACCCAAGAAGCTGGAACCACAGGTGCATACCACAATGCCTGGCTAATTTTTTGTATTTTTTGTAAAGATGGGGTTTTACCATGTTGCCCAGGCTGATCTTGAACTTGTGAGCACAAGCAATCTGCTGGCCTCAGCCTCTCAAAGTGCTGGGATTATAGGTATGAGCCACCATGCTGGGCCTGAAATATTTTATTAAAGACTTAAAGTTACTAAGAGGTGAACAAAATTATTTTTAGGACAGTGTTTAAAAAATACTGTTTTTTTTTTTCTTCTTATAAAACAGATTTTGAGGTTCGATCAATCTTCACTGTGGAAAGGAAGACTACCACTGGGTCTTCCTTTATGGTGAGTTTTATATTTTTATATTGTTAGTTAGCATCATTTTGTGTCAACTTGAAGAACTCCTTTTAGCATTTCTTATAAGGCAGGTCTAACAGTGATGAACTTCCACAGCTTTTGTATTTCTGGGAAAGTCTTTATTTCTCTTCTTTCTGCAGGAGTGCTTTGTTAGGTATAATGTTCTTGGTTGGCAATTTTTTTTCTTTTAGAACTTTGAATATATCATCCTACTCTCCTGGCATGCAAGGTTTCTGTTGAGAAATCTGCTGATATTCATAGGAAGATTCCTTTGTATGTGACAAGTCACTCTTATCTCGCTACTTTCTATTTATTTTTATTACTTTTTATTTAGTTTTTTTTTGAGATGGAGTCTCGCTCTGTCACCCAGGTTGGAGTGCAGTGGCATGATCTTGGCTCACTGCAAGCTCCACCTCCCAGGTTCACACCATTCTCCTGCCTCAGCCTCCTGAGTGGCTGGGACTACAGGCACCCGCCACCATGCCTGGCTAATTTTTTTTGTATTTTTAGTAGAGATGGGGTTTCACGGTGTTAGCCAGGATGGTCTCGATCTCCTGACCTTGTGATCTGGCTGCCTCGGCCTCCCAAAGTGCTGGGATTGCAAGCATGAGCCACCGCGTCTGGCTTATTATTATTATTATTATTATTATGTTTGTTTTTTGTTTTTTAGGGGCAAACTTTGCAACTTACTTTATTGATTTATTTATTTTTATTTTTTAATTTTTTAATTTTTTTTAAATTATACTTTAAGTTTTAGGGTACATGTGCACATTGTGCAGGTTAGTTACATATGTATACATGTGCCATGCTGGTGCACTGCACCCACTAACTCGTCATCTAGCATTAGGTATATCTCCCAATGCTATCCCTCCCCCCTCCCCCCTCCCCACCACAGTCCCCAGAGTGATATTCCCCTTCCTGTGTCCATGTGATCTCATTGTTCAATTCCCACCTATGAGTGAGAATATGCGGTGTTTGGTTTTTTGTTCTTGCGATAGTTTACTGAGAATGATGGTTTCCAATTTCATCCATGTCCCTACAAAGGACATGAACTCATCATTTTTTATGGCTGCATAGTATTCCATGGTGTATATGTGCCACATTTTCTTAATCCAGTCTATCATTGTTGGACATTTGGGTTGGTTCCAAGTCTTTGCTATTGTGAATAATGCCGCAATAAACATACGTGTGCATGTGTCTTTATAGCAGCATGATTTATAGTCATTTGGGTATATACCCAGTAATGAGATGGCTGGGTCAAATGGTATTTCTAGTTCTAGATCCCTGAGGAATCGCCACACTGACTTCCACAATGGTTGAACTAGTTTACCGTCCCACCAACAGTGTAAAAGTGTTCCTATTTCTCCACATCCTCTCCAGCACCTGTTGTTTCCTGACTTTTTAATGATTGCCATTCTAACTGGTGTGAGATGATATCTCATAGTGGTTTTGATTTGCATTTCTCTGATGGCCAGTGATGATGAGCATTTTTTCATGTGTTTTTTGGCTGCATAAATGTCTTCTTTTGAGAAGTGTCTGTTCATGTCCTTTGCCCACTTTTTGATGGGGTTGTTTGTTTTTTTCTTGTAAATTTGTTTGAGTTCATTGTCGATTCTGGATATTAGCCCTTTGTCAGATGAGTAAGTTGCAAAAATTTTCTCCCATGTTGTAGGTTGCCTGTTCACTCTGATGGTAGTTTCTTTTGCTGTGCAGAAGCTCTTTAGTTTAATTAGATCCCATTTGTCACTTTTGGCTTTTGTTGCCATTGCTTTTGGTGTTTTGGACATGAAGTCCTTGCCCACGCCTATGTCCTGAATGGTAATGCCTAGGTTTTCTTCTAGGGTTTTTATGGTTTTAGGTCTAACGTTTAAATCTTTAATCCATCTTGAATTGATTTTTGTATAAGGTGTAAGGAAGGGATCCAGTTTCAGCTGTCTACATATGGCTAGCCAGTTTTCCCAGCACCATTTATTAAATAGGGAATCCTTTCCCCATTGCTTGTTTTTCTCAGGTTTGTCAAAGATCAGATAGTTGTAGGTAAGCGGCGTTATTTCTGAGGGCTCTGTTCTGTTCCATTGATCTATATCTCTGTTTTGGTACCAGTACCATGCTGTTTTGGTTACTGTAGCCTTGTAGTATAGTTTGAAGTCAGGTAGTGTGATGCCTCCAGCTTTGTTCTTTTGGCTTAGGATTGACTTGGCGATGCGGGCTCTTTTTTGGTTCCATATGAACTTTAAAGTAGTTTTTTCCAATTCTGTGAAGAAAGTCATTGGTAGCTTGATGGGGATGGCATTGAATCTGTAAATTACCTTGGGCAGTATGGCCATTTTCACGATATTGATTCTTCCTACCCATGAGCATGGAATGTTCTTCCATTTGTTTGTATACTCTTTTATTTCCTTGAGCAGTGGTTTGTAGTTCTCCTTGAAGAGGTCCTTCACATCCCTTGTAAGTTGGATTCCTAGGTATTTTTTTCTCTTTGAAGCAATTGTGAATGGGAGTTCACTCATGATTTGGCTCTCTGTTTGTCTGTTGTTGGTGTATAGGAATGCTTGTGATTTTTGTACATTGATTTTGTATCCTGAGACTTTGCTGAAGTTGCTTATCAGCTTAAGGAGATTTTGGGCTGAGACCATGGGGTTTTCTAGATAAACAATCATGTCGTCTGCAAACAGGGACAATTTGACTTCCTCATTTCCTAATTGAATACCCTTTATTTCCTTCTCCTGCCTGATTGCCCTGGCCAGAACTTCCAACACTATGTTGAATAGGAGCGGTGAGAGAGGGCATCCCTGTCTTGTGCCAGTTTTCAAAGGGAATGCTTCCAGTTTTTGCCCATTCAGTATGATACTGGCTGTGGGTTTGTCATAGATAGCTCTTATTATTTTGAAATACGTCCCATCAATACCTAATTTGTTGAGAGTTTTTAGCATGAAGGGTTGTTGAATTTTGTCAAAGGCTTTTTCTGCATCTATTGAGATAATCTGTGGTTTTTGTCTTTGGCTCTGTTTATATGCTGGATTACATTTATTGATTTGTGTATATTGAACCAGCCTTGCATCCCAGGGATGAAGCCCACTTGATCATGGTGGATAAGCTTTTTGATGTGCTGCTGGATTCGGTTTGCCAGTATTTTATTGAGGATTTTTGCATCAATGTTCATCAAGGATATTGGTCTAAAATTCTCTTTTTTGGTTGTGTCTCTGCCCGGCTTTGGTATCAGAATGATGCTGGCCTCATAAAATGAGTTAGGGAGGATTCCCTCTTTTTCTATTGATTGGAATAGGTTCAGAAGGAATGGTACCAGTTCCTCCTTGTACCTCTGGTAGAATTCGGCTGTGAATCCATCTGGTCCTGGACTCTTTTTGGTTGGTAAACTATTGATTATTGCCACAATTTCAGCTCCTGTTATTGGTCTATTCAGAGATTCAACTTCTTCCTGGTTTAGTTTTGGGAGAGTGTATGTGTCGAGGAATGTATCCATTTCTTCTAGATTTTCTAGTTTATTTGCATAGAGGTGTTTGTAATATTCTCTGATGGTAGTTTGTATTTCTGTGGGATCGGTGGTGATATCCCCTTTATCATTTTTTATTGTGTCTATTTGATTCTTCTCTCTTTTTTTCTTTATTAGTCTTGCTAGCGGTCTATCAATTTTGTTGATCCTTTCAAAAAACCAGCTCCTGGATTCATTGATTTTTTTAAGGATTTTTTGTGTCTCTATTTCCTTCAGTTCTGCTCTGATTTTAGTTATTTCTTGCCTTCTGCTAGCTTTTGAATGTGTTTGCTCTTTCTTTTCTAGTTCTTTTAATTGTGATATTAGGGTGTCAATTTTGGATCTTTCCTGCTTTCTCTTGTGGGCATTTAGTGCTATAAATTTCCCTCTACACACTGCTTTGAATGTGTCCCAGAGATTCTGGTATGTTGTGTCTTTGTTCTCGTTGGTTTCAAAGAACATCTTTATTTCTGCCTTCATTTCGTTATGTACCCAGTAGTCATTCAGGAGCAGGTTGTTCAGTTTCCATGTAGTTGAGCGGCTTTGAGTGAGATTCTTAATCCTGAGTTCTAGTTTGATTGCACTGTGGTCTGAGAGATAGTTTGTTATAATTTCTGTTCTTTTACATTTGCTGAGGAGAGCTTTACTTCCAACTATGTGGTCAATTTTGGAATAGATGTGGTGTGGTGCTGAAAAAAATGTATATTCTGTTGATTTGGGGTGGAGAGTTCTGTAGATGTCTATCAGGTCCGCTTGGTGCAGAGCTGAGTTCAATTCCTGGGTATCCTTGTTGACTTTCTGTCTCGTTGATCTGTCTAATGTTGACAGTGGGGTGTTAAAGTCTCCCATTATTAATGTGTGGGAGTCTAAGTCTCTTTGTAGGTCACTCAGGACTTGCTTTATGAATCTGGGTGCTCCTGTATTGGGTGCATATATATTTAGGATAGTTAGCTCCTCTTGTTGAATTGATCCCTTTACCATTATGTAATGGCCTTCTTTGTCTCTTTTGATCTTTGTTGGTTTAAAGTCTGTTTTATCAGAGACTAGGATTGCAACCCCTGCCTTTTTTTGTTTTCCATTTGCTTGGTAGATCTTCCTCCATCCTTTTATTTTGAGCCTATGTGTGTCTCTGCACGTGAGATGGGTTTCCTGAATACAGCACACTGATGGGTCTTGACTCTTTATCCAACTTGCCAGTCTGTGTCTTTTAATTGGAGAATTTAGTCCATTTACATTTAAAGTTAATATTGTTATGTGTGAATTTGATCCTGTCATTATGATGTTAGCTGGTGATTTTGCTCATTAGTTGATGCACTTTCTTCCTAGTCTCGATGGTCTTTACATTTTGGCATGATTTTGCAGTGGCTGGTACCGGTTGTTCCTTTCCATGTTTAGCGCTTCCTTCAGGAGCTCTCTTAGGGCAGGCCTGGTGGTGACAAAATCTCTCAGCATTTGCTTGTCTGTAAAGTATTTTATTTCTCCTTCACTTATGAAGCTTAGTTTGGCTGGATATGAAATTCTGGGTTGAAAATTCTTTTCTTTAAGAATGTTGAATATTGGCCCCCACTCTCTTCTGGCTTGTAGGGTTTCTGCTGAGAGATCCGCTGTTAGTCTGATGGGCTTCCCTTTGAGGGTAACCCCACCTTTCTCTCTGGCTGCCCTTAACATTTTTTCCTTCATTTCAACTTTGGTGAATCTGACAATTATGTGTCTTGGAGTTGCTCTTCTCGAGGAGTATCTTTGTGGCGTTCTCTGTATTTCCTGAATCTGAACGTTGGCCTGCCTTGCTAGATTGGGGAAGTTCTCCTGGATAATATCCTGCAGAGTGTTTTCCAACTTGGTTCCATTCTCCCCATCACTTTCAGGTACACCAATGAGATGTAGATTTGGTCTTTTCACATAGTCCCATATTTCTTGGAGGCTTTGCTCATTTCTTTTTATTCTTTTTTCTCTAAACTTCCCTTCTCGCTTCATTTCATTCATTTCATCTTCCATTGCTGATACCCTTTCTTCCAGTTGATCGCATCGGCTCCTGAGGCTTCTGCATTCTTCACGTAGTTCTCGAGCCTTGGTTTTCAGCTCCATCAACTCCTTTAAGCACTTCTCTGTATTGGTTATTCTAGTTGTACATTCTTCTAAATTTTTTTCAAAGTTTTCAACTTCTTTGCCTTTGGTTTGAATGTCCTCCCATAGCTCAGAGTAATTTGATCGTCTGAAGCCTTCTTCTCTCAGCTCGTCAAAATCATTCTCCATCCAGCTTTGTTCCGTTACTGGTGAGGAACTGCGTTCCTTTGGAGGAGGAGAGGCACTCTGCGTTTTAGAGTTTCCAGTTTTTCTGTTCTGTTTTTTCCCCATCTTTGTGGTTTTATCTACTTTTGGTCTTTGATGATGGTGATGTACAGATGGGTTTTTGGTGTGGATGTCCTTTCTGTTTGTTAGTTTTCCTTCTAACAGACAGGACCCTCAGCTGCAGGTCTGTTGGAATACCCTGCCGTGTGAGGTGTCAGTGTGCCCCTGCTGGGGGGTGCCTCCCAGTTAGGCTGCTCGGGGGTCAGGGGTCAGGGACCCACTTGAGGAGGCAGTCTGCCCATTCTCAGATCTCCAGCTGCGTGCTGGGAGAACCACTGCTCTCTTCAAAGCTGTCAGACAGGGACATTTAAGTCTGCAGAGGTTACTGCTGTCTTTTTGTTTGTCTGTGCCCTGCCTCCAGAGGTGGAGCCTACAGAGGCCGGCAGGCCTCCTTGAGCTGTGGTGGGCTCCACCCAGTTCGAGCTTCCCGGCAGCTTTGTTTACCTAAGCAAGCCTGGGCAATGGCGGGCGCCCCTCCCCCAGCCTCGCTGCCGCCTTGCAGTTTGATCTCAGACTGCTGTGCTAGCAATCAGCCAGATTCCGTGGGCGTAGAACCCTCCGAGCCAGGTGTGGGATATAATCTCGTGGTGCGCCGTTTTTTAAGCCGGTCTGAAAAGTGCAATATTCGGGTGGGAGTGACCCGATTTTCCAGGTGCGTCTGTCACCCCTTTCTTTGACTCGGAAAGGGAACTCCCTGACCCCTTGCGCTTCCCAGGTGAGGCAATGCCTCGCCCTGCTTCGGCTCGCACACGGTGCGCACACCCACTGGCCTGCGCCCACTGTCTGGCACTCCCTAGTGAGTTGAACCCGGTACCTCAGATGGAAATGCAGAAATCACCCATCTTCTGCATCGCTCACGCTGGGAGCTGTAGACCGGAGCTGTTCCTATTCGGCCATCTTGGTTCCTCCCCTATTATTTTTTTTTTATTTTTTGAGATGGAGTCTCACTATGTCACCCAGACTGGAGTGCAGTGACATGATCTTGGCTCACTGCAACCTCCACCTCCAAGGCTCAAGCAATTCTCTTGCCTCAGCCTTCCAAATAGCTGGGGTTACACACACTTGCCACCATGCCCAGCTGATTTTTATATTTTTAATAAAGACGGGATCTCACCATGTTGACCAGGCTGGTCTGGAACTCCTGACCTTCAGTGATCCATCTGTCTTGGCCTCCTAAAGTATTGGGATTACAGGCATGAACCACTGCACCTGTCCTATCTAGCTACTTTCAAAGTTCTCGCTTTGTATTTAGCTTTTGAGAATTTGATTATGATATGTCTCAATAAAGATCTTATATTTAATATTTGCAGTTCTTTGGTCTTTATGGATCTGGATATTCATTTCCCTCTCCAAATTTGGGAAATTTTCCATTATTATTTCTTATGTAAGCTTTCTTTTCCTTTCTCTTTTTCTGCTCCTTTTGGGACTCCCATAGTATGAATATTAGCTTGCTTTTTTGGGGTCCTATGAGTTCCACAGGAATTCTTTACTCTTTTTCATTCTTTTTCTGTTTGTTTGTTTCTCTGGTTCTTTTCAAATGATCTGTTTTCAAGTTCACTGATTCTTTATTCTACTTAATTGAGTCCATTGAAACTCTATTGAATTTTGCATTTTAGTCATTGTATTCTCAGCTCTAGGATTTTTGTTTGGTCCTTGTATTAGTCTGTTTTCATGTTGCTGATAAAGACATACCTGAGACTGAGTAATTCATAAAAAAAAGTTTAATGGACTCAAGTTTCCATGTGGCTGGGGAGTCCTCACAATCATGGCAGAAGGGGAGAGGCATGTCTTACATGGTGGCAGACAAGAGAAAAATGAGAACTAAGTGAAAGGGGTTTCCCTTTATAAAACCATCAGATCTCATGAGACTTATTCACTACAACGAGAACTGTATGAAGGAAACTGCCACCATGATTCAGTTATCTTCCACTAGGTCCCTCCCACAACACATGGGAATTATGGGAGCCACAATTTGAGATTTGGGTGGGGACAGAGCCAAACCATATCAATTATTTTTTATGGTTTTGATATAGTTTGAATATGTGTTGCCTCTAAATCTCATGATGAAATGTAATTCCCAGTGTTGGAGGTGGGGACTGGTAGGAGGTGTTTGAATCATGAGAGCAGCTTTCTCATAAATGATTTAGCAACATCTCCTTGGTGCTATCGTCACAATAGTGAATTATGGTGAGATCTGGTTGTTTAAAAGTGTGTGGCATCTACTTCTTCCACCTGCTCCTGTTTTCACCTTTCACTATATGATGTACCTGCTCCTGCTTTGCCTTATGCCATGAGGGAAAGTTTCCTGAGGCCTCCCTCTAGGGAGACACTGAGCAGATGCCAGTGCCATGTTTCCTGTAGAGCCTGCAGAACTGTAAGCCAATTAAACCTTTTCTTTTCTTTCTTTTTCTTTGTGATGGAGTTTCATTTTTGTTGCCCAGGCTGGAGTGCAATGGTGAGATCTCAACTCACTGCAACCTCTGCCTCCTGGGTTCAAGCAATTCTCCAGCCTCAGCCTTCCAGGTAGCTGGGATTACAAGCATGCATCACCAGGACTGGCTAATTTTTGTACTTTTAGTAGAGATGGGGTTTCACCATGTTGGTCAGGCTGGTCTCGAACTCCTGACCTCCAGTGATCCTCCCACCTTGGCCTCCCAAAATGTTGGGATTACAGGCATGAGCCACTGCACCTGGCCAACCTATTTTCTTTATTAATTACCCAGCTTCAGGTACTTCTTTATAGCAAGAATGGTCTAACACAGGTTTCTATCTCTTTGTTGAACTTTTCTTTTTGCTTACATATTGTTTTGATTTCATTTAGTTGTTCTCTTGTAGCTCACTGAACTTCTTTGAGACAATTATTTTGAATTCTGTGTCAGGAAATTCATAGATCTCCATTTCTTTAGTGTCAGTTACTTTTTATTTATTTGATGGTGTCATATTTGCCTGATTATTTGTGATCTTTGTGGCCTTGCATTGGTGTCTGCACATTTGAAGGAATAGGAACCCTTTCTACTATTTACAGACTGGCTTTGGCAGGAGGAGCCCTTTACTAGTCAGCCCATCAAGAGATTCGGAGCAAGCCATCTGGATGGATCCATGGACAGACTTGCTTCTGGAGTTCTTTGGTGGGCTGGATTGGTGCCTGGGTCAACAGGTGAAAGTGCATATTGCCTGGGTACCAAAGGACTGGCCTGGTGCTTGGTTCATGGGAGCCATTCTGGAGCCTGTGTCCATGGAAGCTAAACCTGGAGCTTAGGACTGTGGGGGCAGGCCTAGAGTCCATGTCCACGGGTGTCAGCTTAAAGCCTGGGTTCATGGGGGCCAAGGTGGTGCCAGGATGACCCTTGAGCCTGAGTCTACAGGAGTCAGAGTGGTGCTGGGGTCCACTGGGGCAAATCTTGTTCTGAGATCTGTGGGAGTTGGCCTGGATCCTGTGGCCATGGGGATAGACCTGCAACCTGGGGTTATGGGGGCTGGGTTGGCACCAGAGTTCACTGGGGTAGGCTTAGTGTTGGGGTGTGTGGGAAAGTTGGGTGCCCATTTCACTCTCCGTCTCCTAAGTGGAGGGTATCTGTCCATACTGTACTGTTCAGGCTGGCAGGGAGAGGTGATGTGGGCAATGTGAAACTGTCTTTCCTACCATCTTCAATGTGTCATTTCTTATTTCTGTCCTCCACCCAAGTGCTGCAATCTCTCACCTGGATTCCTTAGCCTTCGTAAAGGTATTTTCATGTGTGGATAGTTGTTCCAATTTGTGTTTCTGCAAAAGCATGAGTACTGGAAATTTGTATTCTAGACTCTTGCTGACATCATCCCATTTATAGTAAGTTTAAAGCTATGCACAATAATACTCTATGCTGGTTAGAGTTGCATACCTATACAGTAAGGTAAAATATACATTTGCTTGATAACCTTTAAACTTTTTTTGTTTTTGAGACAGAGTCTTGCCGTGTTGCCTAGGCTGGAGCACAGTGGTATGATCTCAGTTCACTGCAATCTCTGCCTCCTGGGTTCAAGCACCTCAGCCTCCCAAGAAGCTGGGATTACAGGCAGGGTCCACCAAACCTGGCTAATTTTTGTATTTTTAGTAGAGATGGGGTTTCACCATGTTGGCCAAGGTGGTCTTGAACTACTGGCCTCAAGCAATCCACCTGCTTCAGCCTCCCAAAGTGCTGGGATTACAGGTGTGAGCCAGTTCACCTGGCTAGATAGTGGTTATTTCTGATAGAAAGGAAGAGGAGGGAAATAAAAGTTGTCTCCATTGCATCTTATTTCTTTAGCTAGGTACATCGTGTTTATTAAGCTTTTTTTTATTCATTTCAAAGCATGAAGTAATTAATTATCACTACCCAAATAAAAGATAAATATTGAGTGAATTTTATTTATTCAGATAAGAATCTATAGAACACAGAGCAAGCCCAATAAGTGGAAGGAAATAAGTAGTAGAAACAAGAACAAAAATTAGGAGAATGAAATAAAACGAAAGGCTAGGTTTTTAAGAAGCTTAGTGAAACAGACAACTGGCAAACTTGATCAAGATAAAAATGGAGTAGATATAAATAAAAAGTATTAGACCTGAAAAAGGTAATGACTACTGATCCAGTAGAGATGAAAAAATCGTAAGAGAACACTATGAACAACTTTATGCCAATGCATCTGAAAACACACAAAAAAACTGACTGTTTTTAGAAACGGACTCAAGGTAAAATAGGAAACTTTAATAGACTTATAACCATTAGAGAAGACAGAAGTAAAAAATCTATAATTCAACACTTTTCTAGGTTAGTTGGATTTATAGGTGTGTTTTGTCACATTTTAAGAAACATGTGATCCCTGACTGGGTGCAGTGGCTCACACCTGTAATGCCAACCCTTTGGGAGCTTAGGCAGGCGGCTCACTTGAGGTCAGGAGTTTGAGATCAGCCTGTCCAACACGGTGAAATCCCATTTCTACTAAAAATACAAAAAATTAGCTGGCATGGTGGTGTGTGCCTGTAGTCCCAGCTAGGCTGAGGCAAAAGAATTGCTTGAACCCGGGAGGCAGAGGTTGCAGTGATCCAAGATCACACCACTGCACTCTAGCCTGGGTGACAGCTCTGTCTCAAAACAAACAAACAAACAACAAAAAAACAAACAAACAAACAAACAAAACCACCCAAAAACATCTGAGCCCAATTGTGTATAAATAATCCAATATAATAATAAGGATAAAAACCTGTCTACATTTTTTATATCCTTGATACATTCCTGAAGAGAATTTTAAAAACTATAGGCTTTTAATAGCTAAAAGATAACTGCAAATTATGTTCTTTATGTTTATTTAGACATTCTAAATAACCTGCTAGCAAAGCAATGTGAATCAAGCAATAAATAAATAAAATAATGCATCATGACTAAGTAGACTTTATTTCAGGAATATAAGGAAGATTTGACATATAAAGCCTTTAGTTTAATTTATCACATTGACAGAGAAAAAGAGAAAAGTATAATAATCACCTCAATAGGTAGAGAAAAAGCATTTAGTAAAAATTCAATACACATTGCTATGGACTGAATTGTATCCCTCTAAAATTAGTATTTTTGAGCCCTAACACCCAATATGATGATTATTGGTCAGGAAGTCTTTGGGAGGTAAATATGGTTGATTAGATCATGAGGGTGGGGCCTTTATGATGGGATTAGTGACCCTCCAAAAGGAAGAATGCTCTTTCTCCCTTTCTCTCTTTCCCTGTGAGGATTCATCAAGAAGGCAGCCATATATTAGCCAGGAGGAGAGACCTCACTAGAAACTGCATCAGCTGGCACTTGATCTGGGACTTGTAGCTTTCAAAACTGTGAGAAAATAAATTTCTGTTGTTTAAGCTACCCAGTCTACATTTTTTTTTGTTATGGCAGCCCAAGGTGACTAACACACCCATCGATAATAAAAATTTATATAAAACTAGGAATATGAGAACACATCCTGAAACTGACAGCATCTTATAAAAAGCTACTGCAAATATAATTCATAGTAAAAATTTTAAAAACATTTCTATACAATTCAGGGACAATATTTTAATTGAAGGTGTAGTCATTGTAATAAAAACAAATAAAAATGTAAGGAATCAAAGAAAAGTAACAAAAACCTTACAATTCACAAGTTATATAAAATCCAATAGCAATTCACAAGTTATATAAAATCCAATACATAGAAAATCCAATAGCATCTCGATTAAAATTATTACCAGTAATAGGAAAGTTCAGCAAGTTTACTGGTTCTTAGATAAATATACAAAAAATCAATTATATTTCTAGGTACCAACAACAATGACAAAATGTAGATTTAAAAAATATGCCATTTTGACAAATGCATAGAGTTGTATAACTATCACCATCACTCCCCAAATTTCCCTTGTAATCCTCTGCAGTTAATCCTGTACCCTCCTCCTTAACCTCTCACACCACTGATCTGGTTTTCACAGTTTTTTCTCTCCAGAAACTCAAGTAAATGGAATCATAGAGTTTATTTAGTCTTTGCTGTTTGATGTTTTCATTTTGAATATATGTTTTTCCATGTATTAGCGGCTTGTTACTTTTTATTCCTGAATGGTATCCTATTGTGTAGATACACCACTGTTTTTTTTAAATCAAATTACCAGTTGACAGACATTTGAGTTGTAGTGATTATGATTAAAGCTTCTATGAAGTCTGGTGTAGAGATATTTATATGAATACATGTTTTCATTTCTTTTGGATAAATATCTAAGAGTGAGAATTACAGGGTTATATGGTACTAGGATGTTTAACCTTATTAGATACTGATAATCTGTTTTCCAAAATGACTGTACCATTTTGCATTTCCACCAGAAATACATGAGAGTTCCAGTTGCTTCTCATCTTTGCTAGCATTTTGTTCTGTCAGGTTTTTAAGAATAATTCACTCTTTTTTTTCAGTTTCATTCTTTTGGCTATATTATCCTAAATGCATCTTATAACATTTTCATTAATAAACTGCCATTTTGTTGTTGTTGTTTAATTTATTTTTAATTTCAATAGGTTTTTGGGAAACAGGTGGTGTTTGGTTACATGAATAAGTTCTTTAGTGGTGATTTCTGAGACTTTGGTGCACCCATAGCCCAAGCAATGTACACTGTACCCAATGTGTAGTCTTTTATGCCTCATCCTTTCCCCCGAGTCCCCAAAGTCCACTGTATCATTAGAAGAATTTACTTTTTTAGAGCAGCTTTAGAGTGACAGAAAAATTGAGAGGAAGGCATAAAGATATCCCATTCTTCCTCAACACATGCACAGATTCTCCATTATCAACATCCCCCACCAAAGCGGTACATCTGTTCTACCTGATCAACCTACATAGACGCTTCATTATCATACAAAGTTAATACTTTACATCGAGGTTCACTCTTGGTGGTGTACGTTCTGTGGGTTTGAATAAATTTAAAGTGATGTGTATTTACCTTTATAGTATCATACAGAATATGATAGATAGTATGATAGGATCCTAAAGATCCTCTGGACTCCACCTATTCATTTCTCTATCCCTCCAATCCCTTATCTTAGTCTGTTTTGTGTTGCTATAACAGAATACCTGAAATTGGGTAATTTATTAAAAAAAAAAGGTTTACTTGGCTCATGATTCTTGAGACTGGGAAGTCTAAGAAGCATAGCACTAAAATCTGCTCTGTGTCTGGTGAAGGCCTCATGCTACATTATAACATGGCAGAGAAACAGAATATGTGGATATGACACAAGGGACCAACCATGAGAGGCAATTTCACTTTGTAACAGCCTGGTTCTGTGGGAACCAGTGAAAGCTAATCCACTCTTGCCAGGAAAAGAACTCACCAGAAGAACAGCACCAACCTACTCACAATGGTGGAGCCCCCCTGACCTAAGTGCTTCTCACTGGACCCCATCTCTTAAAGGTTCCACCTCTTAACATTGCCACACTGGGAATTAAAGTTCCAACATGAGTTTTGGTGGGGACAAAAACAATGGCACCCTGAACACCACTGATCTTTGTACTGTCTCCATAGTTTTGCATTTTCTAGAATGCCATATCATTAAAATCATATGGTGTGCAGCATTTTCAGATTGGCTTCTTTCAACTTAGTAATATGCATTTAAGATTTCTCCATTTTTTTTATGGCTTGATAGCTTATTTCTTCTTAATGCTGAATAAATATTTCATTGTCTGAAGATACCAGTTTACCCATTCACCTACTGAAGGACATCTTAGTTGTTTTCAAGTTTTGGTAATTATGAATAAAGTGCTAGAAGCATTCTTGTGCACGTTATTGTGTAGATATTTTCAACTCTTTTGGATAAATAACAAGGAGTGTGACTGCGGGATTATAAGGCAAGAATATGTTTAGCTTTGTAGGTGTTTTAGTTCATTTGGGCTTCTGTTACAAAATACTTTAACTGGGTAGATTCAAAATGGGAGAAATTTATTTCTCACAGTTCTGGAATCTGGGAAGTCCAAGATCGAGGTGCACACAGATTCAGTATCTGGTGAAGACCCACAGCAGAATTGAGTATTCTTGCTGTGTCCTCACATGGTGAAATGGATGAAGGGTTTCTGTTGGGCCTGTTTATAAAGATACTTATCCAATTAATGAGTGTTCCACCTTCATGAACTAATCAGCCCCCAAAGGCCCCATTTCCCAATACCATTACCTTGGGGGTTAGGATTTTAACATTTGAATTTTCAGGAGGACACAATCAGATTATAGTAGTAGAAAACTGCCAAACTGTCTTCCAAAGAGGCTGCATGGTTTTGCATCCCCACCAGCAATAAATGAGAATTCATGTTGTTCCACATCCTCATCAGCATTTGGTGTCTGACTCTTGACCTCTTACAGCTGCTCATCTGTCCTTCATTTCTATAATTTTTTCATGTCAATGGAATATTATTATATGGAATAATGAATAATAAGTGCAATAATACAATATATAATCTTTTGGGATTGACTTTTTTCACTCAGCATAATTCTCTTAAGGTTCATCTGAAAAATAAGAAATGAGACATTATAGATACAGCAAAAGCCTGCTTGTCTTCCTTGTGCCTCCGTTCATCCCCAGAAGGGATTTTGGCTACATTAATAGGTATGCAGTGGTATCTCACTGTTGTTTACTTTTCAATTCTATGATGATACTGATGTGAAGCATGATTTTATAGGCTTATTTGCCATCTCTGTATCTTCTTTGGTAAGCGGTCTTTTAGGGTCTTTGGCCATTTTAAAAATCAGTTTGTGTGTTTTCTTATTGTTGAGTTTTTTTTTTTTTTTTTTTTTTTTTTGAGACGGAGTCTCGCTCTGTCGCCCAGGCTGGAGTGCAGTGGCGGGATCTCGGCTCACTGCAAGCTCCGCCTCCCGGGTTCACGCCATTCTCCTGCCTCAGCCTCCCAAGTAGCTGGGACTACAGGCGCCCGCCACTACGCCCGGCTAATTTTTTTGTATTTTTAGTAGAGACGGGGTTTCACCGTTTTAGCCGGGATGGTCTCGATCTCTTGACCTCGTGATCCGCCCGCCTCGGCCTCCCAAAGTGCTGGGATTACAGGCGTGAGCCACCGCGCCCGGCCTATTGTTGAGTTTTAAGAGTTATTTGTATATTTGTATATGTCTTTTGCAAATATTTTCTCCTAGTCTGTGGCTTGTCTTTTTATTCTCTTGACAGTGTCTTTGGAAGAACAAAAGTTTTTATTTTAATGAAGTTCAGCTTCCCCTCAATTCTTTCTTTCATAAATAATGGTGCTATTATCATATGTAAAATATTATCACCAAATTCAAGGTCATCTGGATTTTATCCTGTGTTATCTTTAGGAGTTTTATAGTTTTGTGTTATAGTCTGTGATCAGTTTTGAGTTAATTTATGTAAAGGGTGTATGGTCTGTTTCTAAGTTCATTTTCTGCTTGTGTATGTTTAGTTTTTCTGGCACTATTTGTTGAAAATACTTTCTCCACTGCATAGCCTTTGCTCCTTTGTCAAAGATCAGTTTACTATATTCATGTGAGTGTATTTCTGGGCTCTCTCTTCTGTTCCATTGATCTATTTGTCTGTTCTTTTGCCAATACCACATGGTCTTGATTAATGTAGTTTTATGGTGAGTCTCAAAGTCAGGTACTGCGAGTTCTCCAACTTTGTTCTTGTCCTTCAATACTGTGTTACATATTCTGACTCTTTTGCTCTTCATATAAACTTTAAAATCAATTTGCAGATGTCTAAATAACTAGCAGGGGTTTGATTGGGATTGCATTAAATATATAAACCAGGGTGAGTAGGATTGATATCTTGACAATATCGAGTCACCCAATCCATGAGTGTGGTCTATCCATATATTTAGTTATTTTTAAATTTCTTTTATCAGAATTTTATAATTTTCCTCATATAGCTTTGTATATATTTTGTTCAATTTATACCTAAGTATTTCTTAGGTATAAATATTATACCTAAGAATATTATAGTATTACCTAAGTATAATATTATAGTATTACCTAAGTGAATGTAAATGCTTTTTAATCTCAAATTCCACTTGTTCATTGCTAGCATATAGGAAAGTGATTGTCCCATTTTATATTATCCTTATATCCTGCAACCTTGTCATAATTACTTATTAGTTCCTGGACTTCATTTTGGTCTATTCTTTCAGATTTTCTGCATGGATGAACATACCATCTGCTGGCAAAGACAGTTTTATTTCTTCTTTCCTAATCAGTATACCTTTAATTTCATTTTCTTGTCTTATTGCATTAACTAGGACATTCATTCAATGTTGACAAAGGGTAGTAAGGGGATATTTTTGCCTTGTTTCTGATCTTCAAGGGAATGCTTTGAGTTTGTCAACATTAAGTATAATGTTAGCTGTAGGCTTTTTTATATATATATTTTTTCCTTTAAAGTTGAGGATGTTCCCTAATAATTTTTTTCATGAATGTGTGTTGGATCTTGTTAATTGCTTTTTCTGCAAATATTGATATGGTAATTTTTCTTCTCTACCCAGTTGCTGTGATACATTATATTGCTGATTTTCCAATGTTGAACCAGCCCTGCATATCTGGGGTAAATCCCACTTGGTCATAGTGTATATATCTTTTTATACATTATTGAATTTGATTTGCTAATATTTTTGTAAGAGTCTTTGCATTTATATTCATGAACAATATTGGTCTATAGTTTTCTTTCCTTATAATATTTTGTCTGGTTTTGGTATCTGGGTGATTCTGGCCTCATATAATTAATTAGAAAGTATTCCGTCTGCATTTATGCAGCCAAAAAACACATGAAAAAATGCTCATCATCACTGGCCATCAGAGAAATGCAAATCAAAACCACAATGAGATACCATCTCACACCAGTTAGAATGGCAATCATGAAAAAGTCAGGAAACAACAGGTGCTGGAGAGGATGTGGAGACATAGGAACACTTTTACACTGTTGGTGGGACTGTAAACTAGTTCAACCATTGTGGAAGACAGTGTGGTGATTCCTCAGGGATCTAGAACTAGAAATACCATTTGACCCAGCCATCCCATTACTGGGTATATACCCAAAGGATTATAAATCATGCTGCTATAAAGACACATGCACCTGTATGCCTATTGCGGCACTATTCACAATAGCAAAGACTTGGAACCAAGCCAAATGTCCAACAACGATAGAGTGGATTAAGAAAATGTGGTACATATACACCATGGAATACTATGCAGCCATAAAAAATGATGAGTTCATGTCCTTTGTAGGGACATGGATGAAGCTGGAAACCATCATTCTCAGCAAACTATCGCAAGGACAAAAAACCAAACACCACATGTTCTCACTCATAGGTGGGAATTGAACAATGAGAACACATGACACAGGAAGGGGAACATCACATACCGGGGACAGTTGTGGGGTGGGGGGAGGGGGGAGGGATAGTGTTAGGAGCTATACCTAATGCTAAATGACGAGTTAATGGGTGCAGCACACCAACATGACACATACATACATATGTAACAAACCTGCACATTGTGCACATGTACCCTAAAACTTAAAGTATAATAATAATAAAATAAAAAAAGAAAATATTCCGTCTGCTTCTGTCTTCTGAAAGATATTGTAGAGAAATGGTATAATTTCTTCCTTAATGTTCGCTAGAATTAATCAGTGAGCCCATCTGGACCTGGTGTTTTCTGTTTAGAAAGTTACGATTTATTGATTCAATTTCTGTAATAGATTTAGTCCTAGTCAGATGTCTATTTCTTCTTCTGTGTGTTTTGGCAGATTGTCTCTTTCAAGAAATTGGTTCATTTAATCTAAGTTACCAAGTTTGTGGGCATAGAGTTGTCCATAATTTTTTGTATTATTATTTTCATACCCATGGGTTCCTTAGTGTTGTCCCCTCTCATTTCTGATATTAGTAATTTCTGTCTCTCTCTTTTTTTCTTAGTTATCTTGGCTAGAGGCTTCCTAATTTTATTTATCTTTCAGAAGAACAAGCTTTCTTTTTCATTGATTTTCTCTATTGATTCCAGTTTTCAATTTTATTGATTTCTGTTTCAATTTTTATTATTTTTTCAGTTTACTTTGGATTTAATTTGTTCTTTTTTTTTCTAGTTTCCTGAGGTTGAAACTTGGATTATTGGCTTTAGAACTTACTTCTTTTCTTATATACACTTTTAATGCTGTAAATTCCTTTCTAAGAATTACTTTCACTGCGTCCCACAACTTTTGGTAAGTTGTATTTTAATCTTCACTGAGTTAAAAATATTTTAAAATTTATCTTGGGATATCTTCTTTGACCTGTGTGTTATTTAGAAGTGTGTTGTTTAATCTCTAATTATTTTGAGGTTTTTCCAGTTATCTTTCTGTTATTGATTTTTAGTTTAGTTCTATTGGGGTCTGACAGCAGATATCATGTAACTTCTGTTTTAAATTTGTGAAGCTGGCCCCTAACAAGGCCCAGAATATGTTCAATTTTGGTGAATAATACCCGTATTCATGTGAGCTTGAGAATAGTATATATTCTGCTGTTGTTAGATGGAGAAGTTTACACGTCTTGGTTTTTTTTTAGCCATACTTCTAATGGGTGTGTAGTGCTACCTCATTTTAATTTGCACCCTCCTGATGACTAATTATGTTATGTATTTTTTCCTGTGCTTATTTGCTATTTATATCTTCTTTTTTGAAGTAGTTCAAATCTTTTTCATTTTTTATGTTTTTTAAAAACTTATATTATTGAATTACAAATGTTCTTTTTATATTCTGAATAGAAGCCCTTAATCTGATATGTGTTTTGCAAATATTTTCTCTTTGTCTGTGGCTTGTCTTTACATTTTTTTCAGTGTTTTCTGAGAAGCAGATATTTTAATTTTGTGAAGTTCAATTTATCACATTGTTTATGGATTACATTTATAAAATTGTTGCCTAACCCAAGATCTTAAAAATTTCTCTCATATTTTTAAAAAAATTTTAGAGTTTTACATTTTATATTTGGATGTATGATCCTTTTCAGACTTTTCTTTTTTTTTTTTCTTTCTCTCTTTTTTTTTTTCTTTTTTTTTTAATTATACTTTAAGTTTTAGGGTACATGTGCACATTGTGCAGGTTAGTTACATATGTATACATGTGCCATGCTGGTGCGCTGCACCCACTAACTCATCATCTAGCCTTAGGTATATCTCCCAATGCTATCTCTCTCCGTTCCCCCTACCCCACCACAGTCCCCAGAGTGTGATATTCCCCTTCATGTGTCCATGTGATCTCATTGTTCAATTCCCACCTATGAGTGAGAATATGCGGTGTTTGGTTTTTTGTTCTTGCGATAGTTTACTGAGAATGAGACTTTTCAAATATGGTGCAGGATATGGATTGAGGTTCTCGTTTTTGTACTGGGATTAGTCTAGCACCACTTATTGAAAAGCCCATCTTTTCCCCACTGAAGTATCTTAGCACATTTTGTCAATTAACTATATAATGAGGACCTATTTCTGAACTCTCTGTTCTGTATCATTGATGCGTAAGTCTATCCTTAAACCAATACCACATTGTCTTGATTATTGCAGCTGTAAAATAAGTCTTTAAATCTGATAGTGAGTCCTCCAACAATATTTTTCCTTTTTGAGGTTGTTTTTGTCACAGATTATTGACTTTTTAATGTAATTTTAGGATGTCTGTCAATTTGTAATGAAATGTCTGCTGGAATTTTGATTGGGATTGCATTGAGTCTATAGATCAATTTGCAGAGAATTAACATCTTAACAATATCAAGTCTTCAAATTCATGAGCACGTATTTCCATTTATCTAGGTCTTATTTATTTTTTCTTTATCAAGCTGGTAAGTTTTGGTGGTTTGTTTTACAGATGTAGATAACTGTAATCATCTGCTTTATTTTTTTTAAATCTTTTTATACCCAGAGATTAGAACCCTGCCTAGAACATTATCTGGTACATGGCTAATGCCCAATAAATATCCTTTGAATAACAAGTTTGTGCACAAAATAAAATTTATTTGCTATCCTGAGAATGTGTTAATATATACCCCACAAAACTGTCAAATAAAATAAATGAGTAAAAAAAGTTAGAAACACGTTTTGAGTACTTGACACAGTTGACACTCAATAAATATTAATCATATTAAAGGAAGAGGAAAGGTAGAACAATGATTTCATGTTGGCTAGGTGATTCTGTATTTCCAAAGGAAGAATAAAAGATTAATAAGCATTTTGAAACAGGATAAATGATAAAGTCTGGGTTAGAAAAATACCTTGATTGAAATTGTATGAACTAGATATTTGTACACATCTCCTTGTTGTGTGTGGGGTGCCGTGTCATTGGGTAGATTTCTGTACTTCAGAGCAAAGCAATTCATCTCTCCTGGTGCAATGATTGCCAGTTCTGTGAGTCTTCTCTAGGGAAAGATCACTGCAGTAGGTCAGGATCTGCCTCAAAGGAGCACTTTTCACAACATTCCTCTTCTGCCTATCTGGGCCCTATGGCAACGATTCAGCAAAACATCCCAGAAAGCACAGTTAGAACAGTGCAGTTGTGAAAGCAGTAAGGTGACAGAAAGAGCACAGGCTCTGAAATGAAGGGAACGTGCATTTGAGTTCTGGCTCCACCATGTACTATAACATGACCTTGGACATGTTGCTTATTATCTCTGAATCTCAACTCTCTCAACTTTAAAGTGGGAAAAATGATAACTGCCTTGAGGATGGCTCTAAGACTTAAATGAAATAATATATGAAAAATACTTGGAACACATAGGCACTCAATAAATAATAATTACTATTTCTTAAAACTCTGGCTGGCGCATTCTGAAATTTATGCTTAAAGCTAGAAGAATGCTCTGTTGAAGTAGTCTTTACATTATTAGAATTTCTTGGGTTGTTGATTAAAAGCCTGGTTAAATTATGATGTCCCCTGAAAACAGGCCTTGATTAAAACAAGACTCCTGAACAAAACAATAATAAGCAACTGCTCAACCCAGAAAATAGTGCATGCCCTCTCCCAATCCTCCAAAAAAGTCCCAAGCAACAATAGCAGCATGGGTCTCTAGACTCAATACTCAGCAACTTTTCTTTAGTGAGGTCTATAAACAAATTTTACTCCCCTCTTAAATTTTAGTGTCTTTGTTTTTCTGCAGTGCTGTATGGCATTCTTTACTTCATTCTTGGAAGCATTGCCATTAAATGCCAGAGATGGATGGATGCCGCGAGTTTGCTACCAGCTTGCTACTTCTGTCCATTTTGGTTGTGAATGCTGAGCTGTAGACACTCCCTTCTTTGGGGTCCGACGGTTGTGAGGGGAGGTGTTAAGGTGGGGCAAGTCTGGTGACAAATTAGTGAGCTCTTTGTGAGTGAATCCTTTCCACTAGAGGGGAAAGATGAATGCTGGCACATTTACGAGTGTTTTCTGAATCACTCTGAGCAGTCCTGGGAGTAGATTTACAAAGAGACATATGTTCTCAGTATTTGACTAAACACAGGCAGGCATTAAAATATGGTGTGCTCATAAGCTGTTTACAGGTACTGAATTTTAAATAACTGGCAGTCTTGGTCATCTATTCAAGGAGGAATCCAAGCTCTCAATTCCATAATCTCCCTGTCGTAACAAAGGCATGAAAGAGATTATCAGCAAGTGCTTGTGGAAGGAGTAGAGGAGGGGTAGGGAGAGGCAAGGGAGAGAAGGAAGAAAGAGATGAAGGAAAGGACTGAGGACAAGGGAAAATAAAGAAAGAAATGAAGGGGAGAAGACAAATTACTAAATAGCACAGTGGAAACTCTCTAGAATATCTGGAGCCTTTGAAAGAAAATGTTAAAACCACACGAGTGTGCCTGGAAACCACACAAAGAGCCATATCTCCTGGTGCCTGCAGTGCCTCTCTGGAACTAATCTAGACCTTCCTTTCAGCAGACCTGTCTTCCTCATCTCCCTCTTACTGTGGCTCAACCACAGGTTTGACTCTGCCCTTCTGCCTTTCATTGCTGTTAGCCTCTCTGACCTCTGATCTTACTGTCTTAGAGGCTTAGATTAGGAAACCCCTCTGAGGCTTGGTGGCTAGTCTTTTCCCTCTAGCCCATACATGCCTGATGTGGGGGCGGGGAGGGAGTCCAGGTCCAGATCCAGGCTGACTTCCTCCCCAATAATGAGTTATGACATTGATTTTCCTACAGTGTCATGGGTGATGTCACACCAAGCACCAGCTTGACTTCACTGAGCTCTGCAGCTGCTAACAGGTCATTTTTTTCATGAGAGAAACCTCCTGAGAGAGGGGCCATCTGGGAGACCAACTGAACAGCCCTCAGTAGGTCTTTCCGTGGAAGAGAGTGATGAAAACATATGAGAAAATGCTTTAAAAAACAGGATCATCCCATAGACCCACCCCAGAGAGTAACACCCACCCTCACCTTGCAGTCTTTACTTTTTCTCTCTTTAAAATACATTTACAGCAATTTCAACTCCAAGCTTAACAGGTTCAAGGGATGACCCTAATTAGTTAATTGATTTCAAGATGATGAATGATGCACTGGCTAAGAAGAAACTCTTTCTCTGCTAGTACAAGTTAAGAACACTTTTAGCTACACTACCCTACTGTGGACAAAGCTTTCCCTGCCCTCTATCCAGGAGGAAACTCTACCCATTGGCTCAGTCCACTGAAGAAATAAGACCATTGACCAATAGCAGTAACTGAGCATCCACTGAGAGTCGAATCTAGCATAGAGTCCTGAGCCACATAGGATAGAAAAGGTCCTTCAAGTAACTTGTGCTTGGAGAAGCAAGTGGTAATCTGCACCCCTCTCTTCTTGTGGTTCTAGCAGCTTGCCTTTTCTGGGCAACTGCTTTACTTCTTTGCCTCCCACTTTTTAAAAAAAATTAAATTAAATTAAATTAAATTTTGAGTTCTGGGATACATGTGCAGGATGTGCAGGTTTGTTACATAGGCAAACATGTGCCATGGTAGTTTGCTGTACCTATCAACCCATCACCTAGGTATTGAGCCCCGCATGCATCAGGTATTTATCCTGATGCTGTCTCTCCCCGTATCCCCTCAACAGGACCCAGTGTGTGTTTTTCCCCTCCCTGTGTCTGTGTGTTCTCATTGTTCAGTTCCCACTTATAAGTGAGAACATGCGGTGTTTGCTTTTCTGTTCCTGTGTTAGTTTGCTGAGGATAATGGCTTCCAGTTCCATCCATGTTCCTGCAAATGGCATGATTTCATTCCTTTTTATGGATGTATAGTATTCCATGGTGTATATATACCACATTTCCTTTATCCAGTCTGTCATTGATGGGCATTTGGGTTGATTCCATGTCTTTTCTGCCTCCCACTTCTAACCAAGTGTTTTTTGGGGGGTTGCCCATCACAAGTGCCCTGCCAAGGCATGTCAATCAGAGCACTTCCACGGGAAATTGTGAATCGAAAGTAAGAGATCACTCCCTTCTTTCTGACAGCAAAGCTGAGGAGACGTGAGCTCTGAGATAACCACAGCCTTTGTTTCAGTCTGGTAGAGATGGCCATGTTGAGTGAGGCAGAGTAATCAGATGCAGAGAAGGAGAGTCCATATTAATTGATTAGAAAATAAGTATAAGATAATGCAAAACGCAGGTTTATTAGTTTCCTATTGCTCTTGTAGCAAATTAAGACACTAGAGTAGCTTAAAACAACACAAAAGTGTTATCTTACAGTTCTGAAGGTCAGATGTCTGAGGCAGGTCTTGCAGGCTAAAATCAAGGTGTGGGCCGGATTGCATCCCTGCTGGAGACTCTGGCAGAGAATCTGTTTATTTCCTGGCCTTTTCCAGCTTTGACAGGCTGCCTGCATTCCTTGGCTCCTAGCTCCCTCCATCTTCAAAGTGCATTGTTCTAACCTCTGCTTTTGTTATCACATCTTTCTCTGAAATTCCTGGCTTCCTCTGATAAGGACCCTTGTGATTACATTAGGCCCACCCAGATAATCTAGGATAATCTCTCCACTCAAGGTCGATTAGCCTTAACTCCATCTACAATCTTAACTCCCCCTTGCTGTGTAACATTCACGTTCACAGGTCCTGTGGATTAGGGCATGGACATTTTTATGGGGGTCATAATTTTGTCTGTCACATCAGTGAATAAAGATGGAGCCTGAGTTAGTATCCTCCAGGTTGCAGAGATTCAGAGAAGGTAATGTGGAGGTTAAGGTGGACTCAACCTAACAGGGCCTCCAAGGCTGAAGTCATATTTATTTTAAAGGTGAATTCACACTTGTTCCAGCAGATCACATTTCTTTTTTCTCCTATATGTGCACATTCTAAAATGTGCAAGCTTTTGTCTTTCAGTTTTCTGGGCTATAGAATCCTTTACATTTATATTCATTTCAAAGATTAGGACACTTTTCCCTGTCTCTTCTTGCCTGGCACCCCAAAACTTCATGATTCCTCTGTCTACTGAATGGTGCTGCAGCCAGGACTGAAGTTCCCTGTGACCCCGAGATGTCTTTGTGCTGGGGGTGGTACTTCCTTATGATCTCATTAGTTCCTTAGGCCTGGTTTCCCTCCAAACGGTGATTGTGCTACCTGTTCTAAGTTGAACAGCCCGTGTTCTGCAAAGCTAAGGTTGAGTTTGCCTGTTTTCCTTCCATTCTATGTTAACACGGCATCCTCAGCCCTCAGTTGTCATTCTGTTCCTTACAGGTTTGTCTTGCTCCCAATGTTTTTCAAAATCTTCTGTTCCCTAACTCATTAGGCACAAGTTTTGTTCATGGGAAGAGCTCCTTCTGACACTGTTTGTTAAGGTTTCTTCATCCTTTTGTATTTGTTCTTGGTTATGTGCTTTTCCTCTTACATTTTGTGTGTGTCCTTTTTTAGGCTTTTCTTTCTTTTCCTTCCTTCCTTCCTTCCTTTCTTTCTCCCTCTCTCTCTCTCTCTCTCTTTTTTTTTGGTGTTCTGAGTAGCTGGACAAGCAGAAGACAGGGGAAGCAGTTTTTTCAGCTCTCTCTAGCCCACCCCCACAGAAAAGTAAGCACTCAGCACAGCATTAAAAAGAAAGCAGAGAGCTACTTGCTGGCCTAATCGACATAACAGCCAGCATTCTTTGAGTGCTTATGGCAGACATCACACTAAGTGCTTTATGTATATTACTTCTTTTAAATTCTCAACCAACAGTAAGCAGTATTAACCTCCATTCTACAGACAAGAAAACTGAGGCACAAAGAACTTAAATAATTTGCCTGTCACAGAATTATAAAATGACACAAATGAGATTCAAATTTAGGCAGTCTCCCATGTGCTTAACTGTGCCTCCCCAACCCCAGAGGGAGGTGAGAGAGGCACTGGCTATTCATGTCATGCATGATGTGCACTCTTAGTAGGATACTCTGAGGTCCAGATGTTCTTTCTTTGGAGGAATTTGAGATGTTGGCAACATTATTGACTCTCCTGGTCTATGGCTTGGTTAAGTTGGATCCTCCCTGGGGGAGCTTGTTTGGGGGAAAGTCAAGACATCTACCAGGTCTCATAGCATTATTGCACAAGCAGAGGGAGGGCATCAAGAAAACTGAAGCTGACGCCTGTGGCTGTTATTCATACAGTATTTTCCCTCATTCATCAGAAACTGGGCCAGTTCTTCAGCCGTCCATCTCTCCCATCAGTGGTGGGAGCTTGATTCTCATGGCTTATTTAGTAATACTTTCAAACACCATTTCTTAGAAATAAATGAGGGCCAGATAATTATGGCTGTTATATTTTTATCTTGATAAGTGGGACAACCTTTGTTGACATCTGCGCTCGTTTTCTAGGGCTGCCATGACAAATAACCACTAACTTGATGGCTTAAAACAACAGAAGTTTATTGTCTCAACGTTCTTGAGGTTAGATGTCCAAAATCAGTGTTGGTGGGTTTGCTTATTTTTGAAGGCTCTGGGATGACCCTTCCATGCCCCTCTCCTATCTTCTGGCACCTGCCAGCAATCCTTGGCTTTCTTTGGCTTGAAGATGCAGCTCTCCAATCTTCGCCTCCCTTGTCACACAGCGTTCTTCTCTCTAAGTCTCTGTGGCTTCACATTGTCTTCTTAAGGACACCAGTCATTAGCTCTAGGGCCCACTCTCATCCCATATGACCACATCTTAACTGATTACATCTATGAAGACCTTATTCCAAATAAGGTTATGTTCTGAGGTTCCAGTTGGATATGAATTTTGGAAGAACTGGACATTATTCATCCCAGTAGAGCATTCTTTAGGTCAGCAATAACTAGTCATAAATGGTTTCTTGTGTTTTTCTACTACCCTCCTTGACCATGCATAAATAAATGTTCTTCTTTCCCTATCTCCTAAGGTGAGATGATTTCAACTAGAATTGTTAAAATAATCCCTAAACATCCCTCTTAAAAGTTGAGTGCATAAGAAGTTTCCCTGGGTGGCTTTGCTGTCTGTCTTCCTCTGGTACCATCCCCTTTTCTTCATTGGGATTTTTTTTTTGGGAGTATTTTAAACTTTATTTTAAGTTCTGGGATACACATACAGAATGTGCAGGTTTATTACATAGGTATACATGTGACATGGTGGCACAGAACAGAACAGAAACAGAACAGAGACCTCAGAAATAACACCAACATCTACAACCATCTGATCTTTGACAAACCTAATAGAAACAAGCAATGGGGAGAGGATTCCCTGTTTCATAAAAGGTGCTGGGAAAACTGGCTAGCCATATGCAGAAAACAGAAACTGGACCCCTTCCTTACACCTTACACAAAAATTAACTCAAGATGGATTAAAGCCTTAAATGTAAAACCAAAAACCATAAAAACCCTAGAAGAAAACATTGGGATTCTTTATAACAATTGTCAGAATTCTTTTTAAAAAAACATTTTATAAAATCTACTCTCTCTTATAATCTCTATCCAAGGGACTGTAAAAGGAGAGACTCCCACTCTCCTTTTCCTGCTGCCTTTCCAAAGTCTAGTGTAGACATCTGACTAGGTGTATGACTCTTCTCCCAAGTTGTCCTTGTTGCTAAGGTAATCTGTCCCATTCTTTCAAGATTCTATACTTTTGCATCACCAACTATTGCTTCCTTATATTGTTCAGGATTAGAACTTGAAAGACAGCTCCTCTGATTGCATTCTTAACCTTTTTAGACAGAAAATTATCTGCAAGGAAAGTCAAGAATTAGCCAAAGAAATTTCCATCAGAAACCTCAAAAGTGTTCATGTCCTTTGATCTGGGAATTCTATTGTTGACATAAAAGCCAAACTTTGTAAAATATTTAAACAGGTTTATCCTGAGCCAATATCAATGACCATGGTCCAGGGAACAGTCTCAAGAAGTCCTGAGAACATGCACTTGAGGTTGGCAAGTTATAGTTTGGTCTTATACATTTTAGGGAGACAGAAGTTACAGACACAAACATAAGTCAATACATGTAAGGTATACATTGGTACAGCTTGGGAAGGTGGGGCATCTCAGGGGGTCAGGGATGAAGATTACAGGTCATGGGTGGATTCAAAGATTTTTCTGGTTGGCAAGTGGTTGAAAGAGTTAAGCTAAAGACTTGAAGTCAGTAGAAAGAAATGCTTGAGTTAAGATAAGGGAGGTTGTGGAAGCCAAGGTCCTTGTTATGTAGATGAAGTCTCCAGATAGCAAGCTTCAAAGAGAATAGAAGGTAAATAACTCTTTTTAGACCTTAAAAGACATCAGACTTTTAGCTAATGTTGCCTAGATCCTTGAAAGTCCTAGCTGCATGAATGGAAATTCTCTACAGATGTAACATTGATGCCACAAAAGATGGCTTTGCAGGGCCATTTGAAAATATATCAAAGAAATATATTTTGGCATGAAATATTTTTATTTCTTACAGGGCCTGTATCTGTCATGTGATGCTATACCAGAGTCATGTTGGAATTTGTTAACTTATTGCCAAAGAGTCTGTTTTGTCAGTCTTGAGATCTCTATTTTGGTTTTAATGCTGATCAGCTGTGTCTAAACTCCAACAGGGAGGGGGTATAATGAGGTGTGTCTGACCTCCCTTCCCATCATGGTAGGGAATTCAATTTTTCAGGTTTCCCTTGGCCCAGAAGGGGTCCATTCAGTTAGCTGGGGGGCTTAAGATTTTATCTTTGGTTTACATCACTTCAGGAATTCACCCTAAGAAAATAATTAAGGCTATATACAGAAAACTGATCATGATAATGCTCATTGAAGCATTGCTTATAAGTTCAAAATATTGGAAACATTACACATAAGTAATAACAGTAGTTTCATTAAATACATTATGGTTCTTTCATGGAATGGGCTGTTATGCAGATATTAAAATGTTGTTGAAGGACAGTATTTATTGACCTGAAGTGATACCCATAAAGCTGCTTAAGTTTAAAAAGTAGATTAAAAACCACGTGACACTATGATCCCACTTTAAAACTTGAGGGAGAATATTCGTGTAGAGAAAGCCTGAATGAATGCATATCAAAAGCTCACAGTGATTACCTCTGAGTAGTGAAATAAAGGACATTTTTTATTTTACCCTTTTGGTCTGCCCATATTTTTTACAGTGAACTGTAATCATTGAGTAATAACTTAAAAAGCACATTAAAAAAGAATGAATAGAAAATTTCTAAAATCCCATTTACATGACCAAAACACTGTTGCATATAAGAAGACTATGACTTTAAGTTAAAACAAAGTGTAGATGATGTGGACAGCCCTGTCATTCTCGGATGCCCTTGCCTTCACCCTGCACCGACTCAAATGCAGAACTCAGTCTGTGCCATCAAAAAGTAATCTGGACTTTACTGAAGCCCTCACAGGGGCAAGGGAGGAGAGGGTTTACATTCAGTCTTGTGGCGAACAAGCTAAAAAAGTCTTAGAAATTTCTCTTCACTACAGTTCTTGGCTGCGTTGCTGCTTCCTTCCTGTCCACTTCCATCCTACCACACCCTTGGAATTTCCCTCTCTTCTGTTATGCAGGGTAATTCAGGGTAATTCAGCCTGGGGTCTTACCCCCAAACTCTAACTACTGAGTGGACTCCCTTTATTTGAATCTTAACCCTGCCTATTAGTCTATTTTGTGCTGTCATAAAGGAATACCTGAGGCTGGGTAATTTACAAAGAAAAGGTTTATTTGGCTTATGGTTCTGCAGGTTGTACAAGAAGCATGGTGGCAGGATCTGATTCTAGTGAGGGCCTCAGAAAGCTTCCACTCATGACAGAAAGCAAAGGGAGAGTTGGTGTGTTACATAATGATAGAGGGAGCAAGAGAGACACCAGGGTCTTTTAAACAACCAGCTCTTGCATAAACTAAGAGTAAGAACACACTCATTACCACTGGGGGAGGGCATCGAGCTTTTCATGAGGGATCTGCCCCTATGACCCAAACACTTCTCACCAGGCCCCACTTCCAACACTGGAAATCATATTTCAACATGAGATTTGGAGGGGACAAATATCCAAACTATATCACCTCGCCATTTACTATGTGACCCTGAGCAAAATACTTAATCTCACTCAGCCTCAATTTTTCTATCTGTAAAGTGGGGTATGTTGGTGCAAGGAGTGAATGAATTAACTCATATGAAGTGCTTAATATAGCGCCTCCCACAGAGCACTCATAAATATCAGCCTTCATAGTGCTTTGTTCTTTTCTCTCAGACTACCAGAGACAGTTCTTCTGGGGCCATTCTTCTTGTCTCTGACTTCCAGGAGAGTATCCAAAGGCTGAGAATTGCACAGTAAGTTCCAGGGGTCCTATAATCTGAACCACTTATTAAAGACCAAATAAGTGATTGTAAAATTGGTTTTGCTAGCATAGCCTTCCACCTCCTCTTGGCCACAGGAGAAGAGGTTTTAATGCAGAAATGTTGGGAGAAGGAAAGTATGGAGAAGTTCCAGGGGTCCTATAATCTGAACCACTTGTTAAAGACCAGATAAGTGATTGTAAAATTGGCTTTGCTAGCATAGCCTTCCACCTCCTCTTGGCCACATAAGAAGAGGTTTTAATGCAGAAATGTTGGGAGAAGGAAAGTATGGAGAAGTTACATCAGGTGAGAGGTCTTGCCTGCTTACTCCTCACTCAGGCCAACTAAGAGGAGCTTCAAAAGGCACCATTAGGTACCATAGCATGTGTCTCCTGGAGCTGGGGAAGAACAGGATCTGACCTCTGACTTGTGCTTGAGGAGTCTAAAGGGGAAATGCTGTGTCCCTGCAGCTGAGGGGAGAGTGGGCTGCACAGGTTGCAAGCTGCACCTTTAGCAGGTGAAGGCCAGGGGGTAGGTTTTCTGGGAACCAGATGTGACTCTTTGAAGGCAGTTAGCCCAATGTCATCTTAAAAGAAGTCTGTCCAGGAGGCTTTCTGAAAGGGTACATGGAACCTAGCAGAAAGGTGATCGATCTATTAGTTTCCAGTGAATTCTCTAACAAATACCATTCACTTAATGACTTAAAACAACACAAATTAGTTTTCTTACATTTCTGCAGATCAGCAGTTTGAACTGGGTCCACACAGCAGCATTCCTTCTGGAAGCTTCAGGGGAGAATTTGTTTCCTTGTCTTTTATAGCTTCCAGAGGCTGCCTGCATTCCTTGGCTCATGGCCCTCTGCTCCACATTCAGAACCAGCAGGGTAGCATCTTTTCTTCTCTTGGGCTTCTACTCTGTCCCCACGTCTCTCTGACTGTGATTCCCCTGCCTCTCTCTTATAAGACCTCTTCTGCTAATTTTGGGCCTACACAGATCATTCAAGATGATCTCACCATCTCAAGATCCTTGACTTAATTACATCTGCTAAGTCCTCTTGCTATGTAAGGCAACATGTTCACTGATTGTGGGGAGATTTAGGATATGACCATATTTTGGGGGCAGCTATCGTTTAGCCTGTCACAGTGAACTGTTGGAAACCAGTCTGAGGCTAAGGATTAATTGGTCACCTGGGGCAAGAGATACTACCTAAACTGGAGGAGAGGAATCCATAAAAGTGCCCCCCAGAAAGAGGACAGGGATGAGGGGAGAACACTTGCTGGTAGCTATACTTTGATTATTTTGGGGGCCCCAAAGCCAGGTGACAACAGTAAGACCCAATAAAGACATGGTAAGACACAAAGGGGTACTCTTTGTCTTAATCTTCTCTCCTTCTGGACATATTTCTAGAAAAGCCAGAAATTTCATCTAGCAAGTAGGAAGAGGTGCACTAGATGGTGGTTTTTAATTATGGAAACAAAACAGATCTTCTCACTAAAAAAGCCCAGAAAACTACAGCACCTGCCTGATATTTTATCCTGAGGTAGAAAAGCACACTTAGCAGTCCACAGAGAGATTCTGAAGCTACAGAGGGAAATGCGATGAAGCTGGTTTTCACTCGCACACTCTCAACTCCAGATGATAGGTTATGGCCGTATGATGGCTTTTTGCACCATCACTGACCTGGAAGCCCCTTACAGGCCAGAAATGGCTTCCTCATCCTCTTGCCTCCAAGCCTGTACCCTGGGCCCACCTGACTTGAGGAATGGGACTTAGGAAATGGTCAGGAACCATATGCTATTGAATGGCATGGACCAAATCTATTTACAGTTCTCTTTCCTGGTGATGACAAGACTGCATGGTTCCATGAGTAATTTATGCTTTGGAAGCCACTAAGCAAAGTGATGTAGACAGACATTTGCCCACAGAAAAAACAGGTGATAGAGAGAAGGGAAGATTTTGATTTGTGCCAGGTTATGTGGGCTTTAGAATCCAGAAGAAACATGACCCTGGTTGCTGACCTCAGCTCCCACTTGGTCTAACTTTACCAGAAATAGTCTGCACTGTGGATGGCTAGTGAGCCACTCTAGCTTGTCACCAGTAGGCAGAGCAATGATGCCTTGAACTGATTTATGTGACAAACCAAGGGGGACATATATTTACAACTCTGCAGGTCATTTGTATTTGTCCCCATTGAGGAAGTTGCTATCCAGAGCCTTGGGAGGCTGGAGAGGTTAATAGTGAATGCAGGGTCTACAGGCAGATCCACCTGGATTTGAATTCTGATTTCCTCACTTAGTTACTGTGAGACCTTGTGCAAGTTCATGCCTGCTGGATTTCCAGTTCCCTCTTCTGTTAAATGGGGATAATAAACAAGATAATCCACATAAAGTACTTAGTACAATGTCTGGCCCAAAGTAAATGCTCAAAATATGTAAGCTGTTATTATTTGTGTCACGGGGGTAGTGAAAAGTATCCTGGACTGGAAATCAGGGGACTTGGGGTTCAGATTCAGTAGACAGTTATGTGAAAATAGTAGTTCACATTCACTGAGAACTTAACATGTGCCAGCCATCTCAGTAAGTGTTGACATCAATCATTTTATTTAAGCTTTATAACCATCCTAAAAGGTGGGGACTCATTAATCCAGATTTTGGCCAGACATGGTGGCTCATGCCCGTAATCCTAGCACTTTGAGAGGCCAAGGTAAAAGAATTGCTTGAGGTCAGGAGTTCAAGACCAGTCTGGGAAACACAGAGAGACCCCATCTTTACAAAGAATTAAAAAAACGTGGCTGGATGTGGTAGTGCATGCCTGTAGTCCCGGCTACTTGAGAGGCTAAGGTGGGAGGATCACTTGAGTCTAGGAGTTTGAGGCTGCTGTGAGCTATGATTGTAGCACTTGCTCTCCAGCCTGGGTACAAAGGGCAACTCATGTTGAAGAAAACAAAAAATCCAGGTAGATGAAGAGGCTGGTGTGCAAAGAAGAAAGTAGCTTGTCCAGGGTCCCACGACTGGCAATGGTTCCAGAGCCTTAGCTCTTAACCAGTGTGTAGAACTGGACCAGTGCCCTCCCCTCAGTGACCACAATGCTTGCTTTTGTTTGTTTCTTTTGGGATATTGTAACATTTTTAAGGCTTTTTAAATGTCTGAAATACTAACATTTTTGTGGACATGACACTTATTTTTATATTAAAAATTACTTTCTGAATAATGTACAACTTGAGCTAAACCTAGAACAGCATACGCTGTACTAATATTTTAAAATGATCCTCCTGTGGCTTCAGAGTAAAGTCTGAAGTCCTCAGAGAGGCCTACATGCTTCTTTGACCTCACCACATACCTTTTTCCCCTTCTCCTGCTTTGTTGGAGCTGTCTGACCTTGCTTGTCCTCAAATGTGCAGAGATGCTCCTGCCTCAGGGCCTCTGTGCTGGATGTTTTGTCTTCCTGGAAGGCTCTTCCCTAGAGACCTGCACAGCAGCCTCCCTATCTTCAAGTCTTTGCTCAAACAACATTTTGTCCATGAGGACTATGCTGGGCACCCTATTTAAAATTGCAACCTGTTCCTCCATTCTTTTACATCCTCACCACACTCAATTAGTACAGTGTTCATCACTTTCTAACATACTATACATTTATTTATTACGGTTTTTTTTATCATATTCCCCCCACCTGCCATTTAAATGTGTGCTCTACAAAAATTTGCCTTTGTTCACTGATATATCCCAGGTGCTTAGGTCAGTGCCTAGCACATAGCAGGCAAATAATGATTAAGTAAATTATTAAGTAAAGATGATTTCCCAACCACACTTTCCCTGCATTTAACATCTTTCCAAAGGAAACTTCTGGTTTTCAGTCCTGTATATAAAAATCTTGGAAGTCACCACTTTGTCCTAACAGCAAGTAAAAAAGGCTGAACAAACTGAAAAATCAACAACTCTTCTTACCTCCATGAGAGAAATGAGGTCAAAGGCAAACTGATATCCACAAAATTAGAGAGACCAACAGGAAAATACTGAGAATCAATACTTTTCGGAGCAGAAACTCATGAGTGGAAACTTCTGTGGGAGCCAGTGCCAGGGTAGGAAAACTGGAACTGTAATTGACAAATTGCTGGAGTTTCCATGTAGACAAGTCTAATAGATGAGGAGGGCCGAGTCACTGGGTTCCCCCACGTTTTTGTGTGACTCTCTTCTCCTGGAGCTCTACCAGTTCTTACAGTGAATATTGGACAAAAATTGCCACCTGCTTCTGGTAGAAGGAGGGAGAAAAAGAACCATTTTGAAATATATCACAGTATTCTGTTCTTAATAAGATCTGCCCTCAGGAGGAACTGTTTTACCAGATCATAACCTGCTTGGGTTTTACCAGAGCCTAACTGACCTGAGGAAAGAAAATACCCAACCCTAGTCCACTTCAGCCATCATATTCCACCGGGCAGGGGGAGAGGGAACTAAGAAACACTTGTGAAGTTCACATTCCAGAGGCACAGGGCTCACTAAGAGACTGAGACCTAGTCCTAGGACTGTAGAATGCCTCCCTCCCCGACACCTTACCCCCACACTACTACAGGATTATTTACAGAAGTTCCTTTTACCAAGTACATCATGCCTGGCTATCAATAAAAAATTATAAGACATACATACAGAACAAGCATCAGAACCAGACTCAGATATGGGAGGCCACGTTGAAATCACCAGACTGAGAATTTAACCCAACTATGATTAATATTCTAAGGACTCTTATGAATAAAGCAGATAGTATGCACGTACAGATAGGCAGTGTAAGCAGAGAGAATAAAAGAATAAAATCCTAAGAAAGAATGAAAAATAAATCCTATAGATCAAAAACACTGTTGACAGAAATAAGGATGTTTTCCATGGGCTTACTGGTAGACTGGAGGTGGCTGAGGAAAGAACCTTTGAACTTGAGAATGCCTCAATAGAAAACTTCAAAACTGAAATATAAATAGAAAAAAGACTAAAATAAAATAAAACAGAATATCTAAGAACTGTGGGACAACTAAAAAAAGTGTAAAAATTCACATAATGGGAATGCAAGAAGGAGAAAAAAGAGAGAAAAGACAAAAGAAATATTTGAAACAATGATGACTGAGAATTTCTCCCAAATTAATGTCCGACACCAAATCACAGATCCAAGATGCATAAAGAAAACGAAGCAGGATAAATGCCCAAAATACTGCACCTAGGCATATCATTTTCAAACTAAATAAAATACAAAGAGAAAAAACTCACAGGTCCTTTGATTCAGATGATGTTAGCAAGATGGCAGATGAGAATATCCTATCCCTTACTCTCAAACAAATACAGCAATAAAGTCAACTATACACAGCACCCCAGAATGAAGTTAGAGGTTTGCAGTGACACAGAGGAGTGCAAAGACTGGGGTTGGCTGCATAGAAAAGGTTTGTGTTGTCCTATGCCCAGGCCAGTGCAGCATCATGATGAATCCACTCAACTGTGAGTTCTGTCTATGGAGGAAGAGGGAAGTGGGGGACCTCAGCAGCCCTTGCCACTGGAGCTCCCAACAGTCCTCACTACCACCATATAGAACTCCCAGATCGTCACTGATGTGGAGTCCGGCCATCAAAAGTGACAGGAGCCAGAACCACCGTGTTCCCTGTAGCTGGAACTACCAATTGTTAGTTCTCCCTCCAAGTCAGAGACACTACTTTTCTACACCCCAGTGAGGTGATGCACATCTGCACTCAGACCAGCACCCTCTGTGAACTGTGGACCTAAAACCTGCCCTGGTGCCTTCTAGTGGCACTGTATATATGCTGTGAGAATGGGCAGTTGTTGCAGCTGTGTGTGTGAGACCACAGGATCAGAGGCCTACCACAGCTGCACATTCAAGCCCACGGGATCAGGCACCCACACCAGCTGCATGTGCCATCCATCAGACTTGGCCCCTATTTTCTTGCCATAAACATACATCCATGTACCTATTGGACCAGGAGCCTTCTGTAGGCAACATGTGCAATCATGTGCCTCCTAGTCCCAACCCCTGTGTATAGCCCTAAGATGGCATTCCAGTGAGCCCCCAGAATAGGCATCCCTGCACATCTTTGCATTAGGATCTGGACCTGGAGCCACCACACACCTCATCCAGCTGGTGCCCTTGCATCCACCCATGGGAGAAGGTCTTTTTCTACCTAGGCCAGTCTGTGAAGTTTGGAAGGGATGACTGCTTTTCCAAATGCAAGACCATGCAAGATTACAAAGAACATGAAAAACCAAGGCAAGATGATACCACCAAAAGAACACAATAACTCTCAATCTATAAATTGGTGAACAAAGACTTTAAATAATTACTTTAAAGAAGCACAATAAGCTACAAGAGAATGCAGATAGACAACAAAATGATATCAAGAAAGCAATACATGGAGAAAACAAGATGTCCAACAAAGAGACAGAAATAATAAACCACCCCCCCCCAAAAAAAATAGAAATTCTGGAGCTGAAAAATACAACAATTGAATAAAAAATGTAACAGAGAGCCACAACAGCAGATTCAATCAAGCAGAAGAAAGAATAAGCTAACATAAAGACAAATCATTTGAAATTATCCAAAAAAGAAAAAAGGAATGAAAGAGAATGAAGAAAATCTGGGGGATTTATGGGAAACCATCAAGTGAAACAATATATGCATTATGGAACTTTAAGAGGAAGAAGGGAGAAAGAGAAATAATGGCTGAAAACTTCCCAAATCATGGGAGGGAAATTGACGTTCAGATTTATGAAGCTCAAAATTCCCAAATAGGATCAACTCAAAAAAGACTACACTGACACCCATTGTAATCAAATTGTCAAAGGTCAATTACAAAGAAAGGATTTTGAAAGCAGCAATGGAACAGTGACATGCCACATATAAGGAAACCTTAATATGTCTATCAGTGGATTTCTCAGCAGAAACCTTGCAGACCAGAAGGGAGTGGCATGACATATTCAAAGTGCTGACAGAAAAATATGCCAACCAAGCATTCTATACCTGGCAAAATTATACTTTAAAAATGAAGGAAACAG